>NC_000014.9:55066258-55369288 GCF_000001405.40 Homo sapiens
AGCAAAATGGTTACCTTTGAGAGGAACATTCAGTGTTTAATCATCCCTTATGTTAACTAGATGATAGATTCAAGCTTTTAGAAATGAGAAAGTAGAAACTAATTTGTTAAGATATTTTCAGACTGCGGAATGTTGTTAGCTTTTTCTTTCACTTCTCTTCAAGGACAGGTGTTAGCTGTCTACAATACTGTTGAACTCTGTTGTCAAAGTAGCCCCCTTAGTCTACAAGGCAGGTAGCCTTGGCTTGAATTATCAATATCAAAATGTCAGTTAACCATGGAGGGATAAAGTAATGTGAAAAGTGAGATGGCTGCAAAGATAGCTCTCCTTACAGTTATTTTGGCTGTCCTACATTGGGATAAGCTGACAAATTAGCAGTATTTAGTTTAACACTGGAGCAAATATAATTTGAGTAGGAAGAAGAGATAGCAGGTTTGGGAATCTATAATTATGAAGTCCATTGATTTTGGGAGAAAATCTGTTGCTAAAGGATTTGAAGGGCCATGAACACAATTTGGGATTATTACTCCCTATAAGTATAATAATTTTGCTAGTGACCCATACTGTCCAGTGTGCCCTAAATCATACTGCTATTGTACTCCCTTTGTTTTCAAGGACTTTGCAACTGGTATTTGGGGGAGATTTTTTTTTTTTTTTGAGACGGAGTCTCGCTCTGTCGCCCATGCTGGAGTGCAGTGGTGCTATCTTGGTTCACTGCAAGCTCCATCTCCCAGGTTCACACCATTCTCCTGCCTCAGCCTCCCAAGCAGCTGGGACTACAGGTGCCCGCCACCATGCCCGGCTAATTTTTTTTTTTTTTTTTTTTTAGTAGAGATGGGGTTTCACTGTGTTAGCCAGGATGGTCTCGATCTCCTGACCTCGTGATCTGCCCGCCTTGGCTTCCCAAAGTGCTGGGATTACAGGCGTGAGCCACCACGTCCGGCCGATTTTTTTTTTTTTTTTTAATGTAAGAATGGAGATAAAAGGGATAATATAATTTGCTTTTATATTGTTATTTTTGTAAAGCATCTTTTCTTCAATTCTTGTTGGCATTCTGGGCCAAAATATTTCAGGTTGGTTCGGTGTGGAGTTAAGAAAAGCAGGCGTTTTAGTGGAGAAATGGGGAACAGCATCAAGAAAGGCTTTTTTCCTTTTTTCTTTTTTTTTTGGAGACAGAGTCTTGCCCTGTCACCCAGGCTGGAGTGCAATGGCGTGATCTTGGCTCGCTGCAACCTCTGCCTCCAGGTTCAAACGATTCTTCTGCCTCAGCCTCCCAAGTAGCTGGGATTACAGGTGCCCGCCACCACACCCATTTTTGTATTTTTAGTAGAGACGGGGGTTTCACCATGTTGGCCAGGGTGGTCTGAAACTCCTGACCTCGTGATCCGCCTGCCTCAGCCTCCCAAAGTGCTGAGATTACAGGCGTGAGCCACCATGCGTGACCTTTTTTTCTTTTTAAAAGGGAACAATGTTGCTTTCAAAACAAGACATGCTAGGCTGAAACTGATTTATGGAAAAGACTGCTTGTTAGCAAGTATATTTGGTCTTGAGGGGGATACAGATTATAGAATATGCTGACATTTGGGCTTCAGAGGAAGAATTTTCAAATCTAATGGAAATAGTTGAGGTGTTCAGGAATGCTGTTTCTTGGAGTTGGAAGCTTAGGTTTTGAAATGTTGAAACCAAAAAGACAAAAATTAAAACATAGACCTTAGGTCGTCATTCACACCCGGTTCTCAAGAATCAAGTGGAGCACTTCAAAGACCTTGGCTTGTCTGTCCCATCCTGCCACTTTCTCATCTTTTCATGCTTTTGAAGACACCATTTACAGCTCTGACTCAGCCCTATTTTGTGTAAAGTAATATAT
This sequence comes from Homo sapiens, assembly GCF_000001405.40. Lineage (NCBI taxonomy): Eukaryota > Metazoa > Chordata > Mammalia > Primates > Hominidae > Homo > Homo sapiens. The sequence continues at coordinate 55,068,126 of NC_000014.9, forward strand.
TGATTATTCAGAAATAGACAATACATTTTTTAATTACCCAAGGACTGACTGTTTTGTGCATTTTACTGTTGGTTGTCTTCAGTAGAGAATAGTAATAGGGCAGAGAAAAGTATATATTTTGCCTCAGTCAGTCCCACCACCACAATGGACTATTGGGATATTTTCTAAAAAACCAATCAATTTGCCCATGATTACCTCACAAATAATTAGTGCTACCTGGGGTACTCTCAAATATACAGCTTTTGAAACTGTAGATGAAAAAAGCTCTACTCAGAGTTTTTGTCAAGACTGTGCCTGGGTTGAATATCAGTCAATTGCCTACACTTCTAAACAATAAGTGCCAATGTCTCAATTTTCTCACCCTGAATGATAGAAGCTAGCTTTATCAAATGCCAAGGTTAGAAAGCCTGGAAATAAAACTTAAGCACAGACATTCAAGTTTTTGAAAAGCATAAGCCTAAATTCAGATAAATCACACTGATATATTGTACTATGCATAGAAAGTTGTAGGTGGCGTTCAGGGAAGACTTTGATTTTAATAAAGCAATATTTAGTATTGAAGACAAACACTTTTTATTTTCAGATTTCTGCCAAGTAAAACAGAAATTGCCAATAAAATAATCAGTATTTTGTAAATGGCAGGCAAGCTTCTGGCTGTCGAAAACATCTGAGTCATTTATTCAGTAGACAATATGTCCTTGATCCAGGTTCTTTGCCAGCTATAAGGGAATCCCTGTCCTTGAGAGGCTCATAGTCTATAAGTAACATTACAGAATTTGTTAGCATACCCATTCATTATTAGTTTTACCTAAACGTGTTAGGATCACTACTGGTGGAAATTGTAACCAGCCTTTGGGCATCTTAAAGGGTGACATGTGGCATGCCTTTTTTTTTTTTTAAGAATTTAATGTTTTTCAAGATTGTAGTGTTGATCAGCGCAACAATTCAAGTGTGCAAAGTAACAGGATAGTTTGCCTCTTCACTTTACCCCTGGATAAAGGCACTTTCACTGCCTGTCACTGATCAGCAGATACTGACTTGTTGCCATTAAGTGAACTTGACTTCTTATGTGTGCTCTATGAGTTTGTTGTAATTTTCTTCTTGAAATTGTGATTTTTCACTGACAGTAATGACAAATTTAATGTATGTAATTGTCTATGCATTTTAAGTTAAACTGCCTAAAATGTGATTTGAGACATATACATATGTTTGTATTATAAATTGTAAGCAATCAGTTTGAGATACTAGGTTTTATCACCTGCTGCTGTATTTGTAAACAAAGACAAATGTTGCTTTAAGAAGTAATTATAATTAGGAATAGGCTATGGATGTGATACTTGGTATTTTTTAAGATAAACTTGTTTGCTTTTGTGTATTATACCTGGAAACTTTTTTTAAAAAATGTATTTTCATGGTTTCACAGATTTTTCATGTTATTTTATTCTTTAGGCCCAATTCTGGGCTTCTCTGAGCAAGTCCAGAGCCTAATTAACTGTAAATTTGTTGTCAAAAAGGAAGAAAAAAGGGCCTGAGATACCTCTTTGCATGTGACCTGCATTCACTAAGGATATCTGGAAACCACCCTTCCTCCGCAAACCCTCTCAGCAACATGGTGTCCATTGTGGTGATTTTCTCTTCTTTTAAGGCTAGGCTACTCTTGGTAACCAGATTATCCGTATATATGATAATATGAAGTCAGGGAACTTTCTCTGTCTGTCCCTACTCCCCTCACTCCCCCACTTTCTGTTATGAAAGATAGTTCTACTTTTATCATTAACTGCTACGCATTTAGTGAGGGTCACATTATTAAACTTGGAGTTTACCATTTTCCCACAGGAGATTTCGCTGGCATTCCTTGGAACTCCCAATTTCAGTAGGGCAATGAATGAATGAATACTTTGCAGTGCTACTTTTGGAAGGAATTTCTGCTTTTTGCCTTATGATTGGACAAAATGCAGCTGTAAAATTTTAAATTGTTTTTGATATGTTATTCAATATCCCATGAAAGTATTCACCTAAAGTGGAGTTATGAAATGGATGGTGAAATAATAAGACCATTCTGGAGCAGGGCCAGTTTCTTTTTTTCCTGTTGTGAGATGACATTGCTCTGACAAACATGCTATCGTGGGTTACCTGACCCAGGCAAGTCCTTTTTTATCACCGTATTAATACTCTTAGCACCAATCCTTTTGCAACTGATCTCCAAAGCAAAATAGAATTCTAAATCTTAGCTCACTTATTTTAAATAAGGCATGCAATAGAATTCGAGTGCCAGGAGAGGATTTGGGTCATCTCATAGAGCTTATTCCTGTGGCTTTTACTTATTTTTGGGACAGTCTCACTCTGTCGCCCAGGCTGGAGTGCAGTGATGCAATCTCTGCTCACTGCAACCTCCGCCTCCCGAGTTCAAGCGATTCTCCTGCCTCAGCCTCCCAAGTGGTTGGAATTACAGGTGCACACCACCAGTCCTAGCTAGTTTTTGTATTTTTACTAGAAATGGGGTTTTGCCATGTTGACCAGGCTGGTCTCAAACTCCTGACCTCAGGTGATTCGCCTGCCTCAGCCTCCCAAAGTGCTGGGATTACAGGCTTGAGCCACCATGCCTGGCCCTCGTGGCACTTAAACTTTTTTCTCTCATTTGGGAAAATTGATTTTCCCAGTGCTGAGGAGAGGACCAAGTAGAGCTTATAACGCTTAGTCTCTCCCTGCTTTCCCTAGAGCAGTTCCACTCTGCACTTCGTGTATTTTCCTTACTGATAAGTTGCTTCAGGAAGGGGACAGATTTGCTGCTTTTAAATTTTAAAAAACTACCATTATAAATGACCATGTCTGCTACTTGAGGTTTATTTAGATCATAGTCAGAGGTTCCCAAGTGTAATAGAATTGGGTCATATGGGATTCTAAGCCATACTTAGTTTTACGTAAGAAAAGAGGAAATAGAACATTTTAAGTTTTGCTCTGATTATGTTTTATGTCAGAGCTTGTCGTTTTATTTAATGGTCATATAGTCTAGCTTTCCTTAAAGATACGTAGATTTAAAAGCCACTTTAGAGATAAGGAAACCAAGTTTAAAAGAGATACGCAGTGACTCATGCCTGTGTAATCCCAACACTTTGAAAGGCCAGGGCAGGAGGATCATTTGAAGCCAGGAGTTTGAGACCAGCCTGGACAACATAGCAAGACCCCATCTCCACAAGCCAAAATTGAAGAATTAGCCAGGTGTGGTGGCATGTGCCTCTAGTCCCAGCTACTCAGGAGGCCAAGGTGGCAGGATCACTTGAGCCCCGGAGTTAGAGGCTACACTGCACTCCAGCCTGGACGACAGAGCAAGATCCTGTTTAGAGGTTAAATTCCCAGAGTCATACCACATAAATAATGAACCAGTGCTTCTGTTATCAAGGCTTAGAGTTTATCCACTAGGTTCTATTTTTTTTGTTCAGGCATCTAGTACTGCAGTTCTTCCAAAACTATCTGGACAATCAAATCTATCTAAATTGAATGTTATGTAGCAGACCTCTCACACTTCATTTAGTGAGTTTCATCGGATATTCAGTTAAAAAAAAAAAAAAAAGCTAATGGTTATGTTTGAAATGCATGGTTTTGTGAATAATCACAGTTCTTCAAGTGCTAACCTAGAACTTGAGTTGTGTTTTCATAAAGGCAAATGTTCAAAGGTATAGCAGTTAAGAGTGGGTTTAAAATGTGAATGAGAGAATTAAGGTAGTGGATGATCAAACCACTAGTTCCAGGTCCAGCCTTTGCAGTTACCAGTCATTGGAGACATGGATATCCAGCTACCCTGCAGTGGCACACACTAGGCCAAGGCTGTCAGAGCAGCTGAGACAGAAGAGGTCTCTGTTAGCAGTGGATGGGCAGCCAAGATGTACAGGAACTGCACAGAGTGTGGAAGAGTCAGAGTGAGGTTCTGCCAAGCACGGCATGACAGTTCTTTTTTTAAACGTGCCAATGCAGGACATGCTAAGTTAAAATATCTTAACTGTTGCTTAGTTACTGCAACACACAAAAACCCCAAGTACTAAGCTTAATGAATCACCTGCGTCCTTTCTTGAATGCTCAAATCTACAAAAAGACTAAACTGCATGACTAACGATTAGGACTCTTACTTGGGCTTTTTATAGAAGTGGAATGAAGAGGACTTGTGCGAACTAGGAAAAGCAGCTTCCCAGCATAAGATTTCTCGTCTGAAAGGGGTAATAAGTCTCCACCTTCGATGCCTCTGTGATCAAATTCTAAAGGGCAGCCCTTCATGGTTCAGCGAGCAACACAATTGCTGGGGATTCACAGGGCAGAGTTGGTATTTTTATTTTTTACTTTTCTTTTTAAATCAGTGTTGGGTCACGAATTTGTTTTTTAGGGTTTTTATTTTAAGCTTTGAGCTCAGCTCTGGTGTGTGATTTACGGCAACTGATTAGCTTCCTGTGCTCACTTCCCTTACCTATAAACATAATAATGCTCAAAGTACCATGAGGGAAAAAACATTCTTCATTCCCTCTAGCTAGAGATCCACTAGGTATGTTAGCATACCCCAAACAATGCACATCTAATATAGTAGCTCTATATGAATATTCCTTTTTTAAAAATCAGATTATCACCCAGGCGTGGTGGCTCATGCCTATAATCCCAGCTACTTGGGAGGCTGAGGTGGGAGGATCACATGAGCCCAAGAAGCAGACGTAGCAGTGAGCCATGATGGCACCACGCCTGAGTGACAGAGTAAGACCCTGTCTCAAAAAAATAAAAATTAGGTGATCAACATTAAGGATTAAATGTTACACAATGTGATTAGCTCTTACCTCACATGCCGGGGGGAGCAGGGAGTACACAATGTGATCCTAATATTTATTAACCACCAACCTTGTGCTCTAAGCAAGTGGTTATATGTCCCAGTTGGATATATGGCCTGGAATCATTCTGGTTCCTGTTTGCCAGGTATAATTTTTTTTTTTTTTTTTTTTTTGAGACAGAGTTTTGCTTTTTCCCTCCAGGCTGAAATGCAATGGCATGATCTCGGCTCACTGCAACCTCCGCCTCCTGGGTTCAAGCGATTCTCCTGCCTCAGCCTCCCAAGTAGCTGGGATTACAAGTGCCCACCACCACACCCAGCTGGTTTTTGTATTTTTAGTAGAGACAGGGTTTCACCATGTTGGCCAGGCTGGTCTCGAACTCCTGACCTCAGGTGATCCACCCACCTTGGCCTCCCAAAGTGCTGGGACTACAGGCGTGAGCCACCACGCCCAGACTCCAGGTATAATTATTAAAGCACCTCCCTTGCATCCACAAAAGTGTCCTGGTGTTTGTGATAAGTCACATGGTTGTCCTAAATATAACAAAAAAAGAGTACCAGTGAAGATTTTATTTCCTCAGAGAAAAAACTTGTCCTAAAAAACATGTTTTACTGTAGAAGTTACCCCTTCATTCACATACAGTCGGCCGCTTGTATCTGTGGGTTCTGCATCTGGGGATTCAACCAACCTCAGGTGGAAAATATTTCGAAGGAAAACAACAATAAATAATACAAAATGTAAAATACAATATAGCAACTATGTGCTAGCATTTACATTGTATTAGGTATTCTAAGTAATCTAGATATGATTTAAAGTATAAGGGAGGATGTGCGTAGTTTACAGGCAAATACGACACCATTTAATATCAGCAACCCAAGCATCTGTGGATTTTGGTATCCCAGGAGGGTCCTGGAACCAATCCCCTGTGGATACTGAGAGATGACTATATTATTTAGGGTGCTACTCAGACTGCATCTTATAAAGGTGAAGAACCATATCCAAGTCACTGAATTGTAGCTACATTATCTTCAGTAAGTCCCAACGGCAAGAAGCAAGCACGTCCCAGTCTTGGAACAGGGAGTCATGTCTTCTAAGATAGAGGAGCTAGATAGAGAAAGAGGGTTGGAACAGGGCTTTCTACTTTTCTGGGCACCTCTCCAAAGGTTTCTGCCACATAGCCACAATTATGTCTTTTTCCCTCCCAAGTCAGAAAGCAATTTCCCTTAAAGCCCTAAGTTTTTCCCCCAACTTAATCCCCTTACAAACTGAGTAGTACCAAAAATTATGTCCATTTTATTGTATTTTAGAGATGGGGTCTTGCTATGTTTCCCAGGCTTGTCTTGAACTCCTGGGTTCAAGCAATCCTCCTGCCTCGGCCTCCCAAAGTTCTGGGATTACAGGCAGGAGCCACCGCGCCTGGCTTATGTCCAATTTTGGAGGGTCTCTGGCTGCTGCATATAAATATTACCAAATATGTAATAGAATTACATTTCATTTCCTCCAACCCTGGGGTGACATACACGTTTTGTTTCTAATTCACAGTAAAGAGGGACTAGGGGACAGTGAAATTATTATTTCATACGATACTTGAATGGCAGGGAAATAGCAAAAACTTGTTAAATCATTTCAGAAATATCTAGTGGCCGGGTAAGAGTTGTCAACTTTTTGGTGCTTGAGGTGCATTTTTGAATACTAGAACTTGTGGCTCTCCTGTAAGGATTAAATGCTTCAGGTGTTACCACACTAGTATTCATCAGGGTGTTTGAGGAGAGCATCTGCTGCCATGGCCGAGTTCTCTCACATAGTTACACAGCAAAGTTCTTACGTGTTGCAGGAAACAATCTATCTGTGGCCCTGGCTTCATGTTACAGTCACCTCTTCACTCCTGCTGTTTGCATCTGCTCTTCCCCATCTGCAGCACCGGTCATCTTAACATTCTGGCAGTCACTGCCACAGAAGTACATGTCCCCAATTTGTGGCAAAATTTTGCACATCCACAATTTAAAGACACGTGTTCTCAGCACACTATTATGCTGCAGCACTGTGGTTGTAAAGTTAGAATAGAAAGCAGCTCACTGACAGTATCAGTTCACGTTGAAAATGAAACTTCAAAATACAAGTTTGAATATTCTTTTGCTGCTAGCACCTTTTATAACACAAAGTACTTAGGAATCACATCTGATATACAGTAGTCATCAGAAAAATTATCGCTTTCAAACAGCTAATACTTTATAATGAAAAGCATGTTAGAATTGCCGGGGGAGGAGTGGGAGAAGGACGCAGTGGGGAGAGGATAGATTCTGGATATATATACACACACACACATATATACACACACACACATATATATATACACACACACAAACACACACTTTTTTTTTTTTTTTTTTTTTTTTGAGATAGAGTCTTGCCCTGTCGCCCAGGCTGGAGTGCTGTGGCACAATCACGGCTTACTGCAGGCTTGACCTCCCCTCAAGCAATCCTCCCACCTCAGCCTCTCTGGTACCTGGGACTACAGGCATGCACCACTAGGCCCAGCTGATTTTTTTTGTAGAGATGGGTTTTCAGCATGTGGCCCAGGCTGGTCTCAAACTCCTGGGCTCAAGCAATCCACCCACCTCGGCCTCCCAAAGTGCTGGGATATTGCAGGCATGAGCCACCGCGCTTAGCCTGAGATTCTGGTAATATTCTATTGAGTTGAGTGGGATGGTGGCTATACATGAGTATTCATTTGACTTATTTAACTCCAAATATATGTCATTCTCTTGCATATATAATTTACATGTTTTTAAAAGCATATGGGACCTGAGAACCTAATATTGAAAGAAAACTCCAGTTTCACTCAGACTGTCTTTGAGAGAGGCAGACAAGCCTAACTTCAGTGGTGACTGATGTCTGAGGCATGTAACAGTAGCACGAGGCTGTGCCTAGCATCCATGGTTTCCTTTTATGCTGATAACTGAAAATCTCAATTACTTTAGGAAACAGGGCTGTCATTTAGAACACAAGAGCATAAAAGGGTCTTCCCAGTAGTCCACTCAGTCTAGTGTCCTGTCTGACAATGGCATCCAGAAATGTTTTTGTGAAAGAGCATAACTGGGTCATAAACCCAGCATGCCAGACCCAGCTCTGCACCAATGGGGAGGCAATTGTCAAGCATTCAATTGTGTAAAGCATTATGTTGAGCCAGTACAACAAGAATCGCAGAATAAAGATAGCCCCACAAATACGGAAGACAATAGGGATGGTATTTTTCACTGTGCTATTAGGGAGAAAAATGAGAAAAACATAATTAGAGTGAGGACAGAGGCAGCGTAGTATAGAGGTAGAGAGCAGGCTGGGCGTGGTGTCTCACGCCTGTAATCCCAGCATTTTGGGAGGCTGAGGTGGGAGGATCACTTGAGGTCAGGAGTTTGAGACCAGCCTGGCCAACGTGGTGAAACCTCATCTCTACTAAAAATACAAAAATTAGCTGGGCGTGGTGGTGCGTGCCTGTAGCGCCAGCTACTTGGGAGGCTGAGACAGAAGAATTGCTTGAACCTGGGAGGCGGAGGTTGCAGTGAGCCGAGATAGTGCTACTGCACTCCAGCCTGGGCGACACAGCGAGACTCCATCTCAAAAAAAAAAAAAAAAAAAAAAACAAAAGAAAACAAACAAACAAACAAAAACAGAGGTAAAGAGCACAGGTTCTGGAACCTGGCCAGCTGTGTTTAAATCGTGACTCCACTGCTTACTACATAGATCACACTGGCTGAATTACTTAACCTTGTAGTGCCTTTGCTTATTCAGCTATAAAATGAGGGCCGGGCGTGGTGGCTCACGCCTGTAATCCCAGCACTTTGGGAGGCCGAGGCGGGCGGATCACCTGAGGTTAGGAGTTTGAGACCAGTCTGGCCAACGGGGTTTCAACCCCATCTCTGCTAAAAAATATAAAAATTAGCTAGGCGTGGTGGTGGGCACCTGTAATCCCAGCTACTCGGGAGGCTGAGGCGGGAGAATCACTTAAACCCAGGAGGTGGAGGTTGCAGTGAGCCACGATCACGCCATTGCACTCCAGCCTGGGCAACAAAAATGAAACTCCACACAAAAAAATAAAAAATAAAATAAAATGAGGATTACACTCATGCCTAACTCCACAGGGTTACGAGAATTAAATGAAGTCATCCATGTGAAGCAGTTGGCACCTGACATCAGATGTGAGCTTATCATGGGAGCTGAAAGGCATTTTTCTAGGTATTGGGCCTACAAGAGTGTTACAGTTTAGCAGAAGAAACAGAAAAATAGGCAGGTGTGATGTTACTGATGCAGGAGGCACGGATTGCTCTGAGTACACCCGAGGAGCACCTAATAGTGAAACAGCTACCATTTGTTGAACACTAGTGATGTCTCAGACAGTCACCCACATGCTTTGTTTTCTGTTTTCTCCCTTAGCAATGCCCTATAAGCCCCGCCCCTTACCCAAGGCCTTTACTCACACTCACTGTGTCCTCACAACAACATAAGCAAGGGGTAAAAATTCACAGCCTGTGGAGTGCAGAGCCATGCTCTTTCCCCTTTATCACGCAGGGCACCATTAATATTTTAAGGCACTTCAGAAAAAGACCTGTCTCGGAGAAAGAGAGTCCAAAAGAACATCTGTCTCCTCACCTCACGCTACTTTGCACCTGGCCATATTTCCAAATCAATTCCACACCCTGTTTGAAAGCAGCTCACCTTGGGGATGGATTAGAAAAATCGCAAGCCCCAGGCCTGGGTATGTGAGTGAGTTTCGGCAACAGATGAAGGGCAGGCAGGCGCCCCGTCTGGGGAGGAAGTCCAGTGTCACAATTGTACCTCTGAGTAGCTGTGTTCCCAACATTCCAGAGAACAGCTCCACCCTGGAACAGCTTTCATGAGTTATCCGCACTGACGTCAGCCACATACCTGTGAACACGACTTGCTTCTTGGCTGCCCACAGCTGCACTATTCCTTCTTGCTGGGTTTTGGGAGTACACATGAGCTATTCATTACAGAGTTTCAGGCCCACTAGCAACTCTGAATACCTCATATTCTAAAAGAGCACGGCTTTTCCCAGCTCATTTGGGATTACATGAGAGATTAGCCTGTGTCCACGAAGGCCAACAACTACTCTGACTGGGGAATCGGCAAGAGAAGGCTTCCTGGAATGAGTCTCGAGGGATTTGAGCTTTGGACAAAGGAGTTGATAAGATTTTGTCCTAGGACAAAGAAAGATAGAACAGGCCTAAGATAAATGAGCAAAGATATTTTAGCACCTAGGTTTTAGTCGTTCAACTTACTGGTATGTATGTATTTATTACTTATTTTTATTTATTTTTTTGAGACGGAGTCTCACTTTGTCACCCAGGCTGGAGTGCAGTGGCACAAGCTTAGCTCATTGCAACCTTTGCCTCCCGGATTCAAGCAATTCTCCTGCCTCAGCCTCCCGAGTAGCTGGGATTACACAGGCACCTGCCACCACACCTGGCTAATTTTTGTATTTGTAGTAGAGATGGGGTTTCACTCCATGTTGGCCAGGCTGGTCTCAAACCCCTGACCTCAGGTGATCTGCCCGCCTCAGCCTCCCAAAGTGTTGGGATTACAGGTGGGAGCCACTGCGCCTGGCCTATTTATTTTTTATTTATTTATTTTATTTTATTAGATGGAGTCTCGCTCTGTCGCCAGGCTGGAGTGCAGTGGTGCAATCTCAGCTCACTGCAACCTCCACCTCCCGGGTTCAAGCAGTTCTCCTGCCTCAGCCTCCTGAGTAGCTGGGACTACAGGTGCGTACCACCATGCCCAGCTAATTTTTGTATTTTTAGTAGAGATGGGGTTTCACCATGTTGGCCAGGATGGTCTCGATCTCTTGACCTCATAATCCGCCTGCCTCAGCCTCCCAAAGTGCTGGGATTACAGGTGTGAGCCACTGTGCCCGGCCTATTTATTTTATTATTATTATTTCTGGGGGACAAGGTCTTGCCCTGTCACCCAGGCTGGAGTGCAGTGGCTCGATCATAGCTCACTGCAGCCTCAAACTCCCTGGCTCAAGCGATACTCCCTCCCACCTCAGCCTCCTGAGTAGCTAGGGCTACTGGTGTGAGCAACTAACTGGTATTTTTTTACTACTTACTCTGTGCCACATCCTGGAAATTCAATACTGAACAAGTTAAATGGTTTCTGCCCTTGTGTAGTTTACAAGCTAGTGGAAGAGACAATCACTAAATAATATAAATTACATTTGTAATGAGCGATGGGGAAATAATGTGTAACAGTATTCTGGAGTCAAGGAAAGCTCACCAGAGGAAATGACATTTGAGCTGAAATTTGACAGCTGAGCAGGATTCAGGCTGGAGATATGCTTAGGGAAGGGTGCAAGAAGAGACTGCAAAAAGGGCAAGGGGGAGAGACAATCCTGTATGCAGGATGGTATGGGTCAGGAGCAGCAATACCTGCCTATATGTTGATAGTGTTGGGGCCAGAGGATGTGAAACGGAGCATGATAGGGTAGAAGACCTATGATTGGCTCTGTTTCTGTCCCTATATTCTGTCTACTAGATTAAGTTAGCTGTTCTCCCATCTACAATACAGAGAGCTCCAATAAACTCAGTTTTAAGTTTTAGGATCCCTTGGCTCTCCAGGCTAACCATATGAGGGAGACGCTTCGCACGGAGATTTGGGTTTCCTGGTGTTCTATTAGGCATATTTTTCCAGCCAGGTGGAAGAGGAAGTCTTTCTGGGTTTTTTTTTGTTTTTCTTTTTGTTTTTTTGAGACAGAGTTTCGCTCTTGTCACCCAGGCTGGAGTGCAATGGTGCGATCTCAGCTCACTACAACCTCCGCCTCCCGAGTTCAAGTGATTCTTCTGCCTCAGCCTCCCGAGTAGCTGGGATTACAGGCATGTGCCTCCACATCCGGCTACTTTTTGTATTTTTAGTAGAGACAGGGTTTCACCATGTTGGCTAGGCTGGTCTCGAACTCCTGACCTCAGGTGATCCACCCACCTCAGCCTCCCAAAGTGCTGGGATTACAAGCTTGAGCCACCACGCCTTGCCTGAAGTCTCCTTTTTATGAACCTAATATCTTTCAACGTGCCTAATATTTGTCAAAGAATTAGTCTCAGCACTGTGCTGTTTAGGGGATGGGACATTATTCCTGTATTTACTCAAAAGGAGAAATTAGAAAAACCCTTGATTGCATAATTTAGTCAGCTCATACCCCAAGTCACTTCAATTTCCCTATCTTGCTTCTTGTTATTGTTTTTAAAAATAGGCTGGGCGCAGTGGCTCACGCCTGTAATCCTAGCACTTTGGGAGGCTGAGGTGGGCAGATTGCCTGAGCTCAGGAGTTCGAGATCAGCCTGGGCAACATGGTGAAACCCTGTCTCTACTAAAATACAAAAAATTAGTCAGGCATGGTGGCGTGTGCCTGTAGTCCCAGCAACTCGGGAGGCTGAGGCAGGAGAATTGCTTGAACCTGGGAGGCGGAGGTTGCAGTGAGCCAAGATCACACCACTGCATTCCAGCCTGGGTGACAGAGTGAGACCAAAAAAAGCAAAAAACAAAAAACAAAAAAACAAACCAGAAAAGTGGGATGTTTATACTTTATAAAAGGTACCCGGAGGAATTTCAGTTCAGCTGTTCAGTCTATGGCTGCTGTAGTAAACAGCTATACTTCCAAGGCCTTGCACAGAGCAATCCCCAAGGCAACATTTCCCAAGGTGTATTTTATACAACACCAATTTCTAGAGCTGCACCTTGAGTAAAGGGTTCCATGGATCAGTAAGTTTGAGGACACTGAATGTGAAATCCATTCATGAAGAAGTACCACCACATTAGTACATTAAGGGGCTAGCAAGTCCTATAGTAAAAAAAAACAAAAACAACAAAAAACCAGTATTTCCCAAGTACTTAATCACAGGAAATTTTTGTTTGAATAACTGCTTATTTCTATGGCAGGACTACCAGAGATTATTGCTCATTTTTATTTTAATTTTTTTTGAGACAAAGTCTCACTCTGTCGCCTAGGCTGGAGTGCAGTGGAGCAATCTCGGCTCACTGTAACCTCCGCCTCCCGGGCTTGGGTGATCCTCCCACCTCAGCTTCCCAAGTAGCTGGGACCGCAAGTGTGTGCCACCATGTCCAGCTAATTTTTGTATTTTTAGTAGAGATGGGTTTTTGTCATGTTGCCCAGGCTAGTCTCAAACTCTTGGGCTCAAGCAATCTTCCTGCCTCGGCCTCCCAAAGTGCTGGGATTACAGGTCCCACCCTGCTTATTTTTTATTTAACATTTATTCAGCATTGTGTACAAAGTAAGTGTGGTGTCATGCAGAAATGAATTACAGAGGGGAAGGGTTTAATATGCATTTGATATATAGTTTCAAAATATTCAATTATTTTATAGAAGAAATGGGATGAACTCATAAGATATCAAGTATAAATCAGTAATTGGCATCTAGAAAATGTGTGGGTTAAACATAGATGAAAAAAGCTGGGAGAACCAAGAGTACACGTGGTAATAAACATACATAAGGGGGACCTGGGCACTAAATAGTGATACATTAAATACCAATATTCACAAGTCTTTAATATGGTCACCCATTGGTGATATCTAGCCTGGCTTCATGTGTTCTCTGCCCAAGTAATGAAAATCCATGGCTGTTCAACAGACTAATGACAAGCTACAATTTTGGCCAATTGCTTCTCTCCAATAGAGCAAATATGTACCATTGACCCAGAACCTCCTCCTTCCCTTGCTTGAACCTCACCACTGGCCTGGAAGTTCCTCATAAGGTTAAACATAAAGTTACTGTATGACCAGCAATTCTACTCCTAGGGATATACACCCAAGAAAAATGAAAATATATGTCCACACAAACACCTGTGCACAAATGTTGATAGCAGCATTGTCCATAACAGCCAAAAAGTAGAAACAACCTAAATGTCCATCAACTGATGGATAAACAAAATGTGGTATTCCCATCAATGGAATATTATTCAGCCATAAATGGACATGAAATTCTGATACATGCTATAACTTGATGCACCTTGAAAACATTATGCTAAGTGAAAGAAACCAGTCACAAAAGGCTGCATATACTGTGATTCTATGTATATAAAATATTCAGAATAGTCAAATCTATAGAGGTGGGTTGGTGGCTGCCAGGGCTTGGGGAGAGAGATACAAAGAGATACCACTACACACTTACTAGAATGCATACAATTAAAAACAGGACTGGGCGTGGTAGTTCACGCCTGTAGTCTCAGCACTTTGGGAGGCCAAGGTGGGAGGATCACTTGAGCCCAAAATTTTGAGACCAGCCTGGGCAACATAGTGAGATCTTGTCTCCATGAAAAATAGAAAAACTTAGTCTGGTGTGGTGGCATGTGCCTGTAGTTCCAGCTACTTGGGAACCTGAGGTGGGAGGATCACTTGAGACTGGGAAGTTGAGGCTGCAGTAAGCCATGATCGTACCATTGCACTCCAGCCTGGGTGACAGAGTGAGACTCCTGTCTCAAAAAAAATAAAATAAAATAATAAAAATGAATAAATAAATAAATAAAATTAATTTAATTAAAAACGTTGACTGTACCAACTGTTGGTGAGGATGTAGACAATGGAATTCTCCTACACTACTGGTGGGAATGTAAAATGGCATGACCAATTGGAAAACAATTTGTCAGTTTCTTAAAAAGTTAAACATATACCTACCTAATGACCCACTCATTCTACTCCCAGGAGAAATATAAGTAGAGGTGGTCTTCGACTTACAATATGGTTACATCCCAATAAACCCATCATAAATTGAAAATATCGTAAGTTGAAAATGCATTTAATACACCTAACCTACCAAACACCATAGCTTAGTCTTGCCTACCTTAAATGTGCTTAGAACACTTACATTAGCCTACAATTGGGCAAAATCATCTAATACAAAGCCTATTTCATAATAAAATGTTGAATATCTCATGTAAATTATTGAATACTGTACTGAAAGTAAAAACCAGAATGAATGTATGGGTACTTGAAGGACAGTTTCTACTGAATGCATATTGCTTTCACAACATTGTAAAGTTGAAAAATCGTAAGTCGAATCAATGTTAAGTCAGAGATCATTTGTGTATATCCATACAAAGACTTATATATAAATGTTTATAGAAGTTTTATATCTAATATCTCCAAACTGGAAACAGTGCAAAATGTCCATTAATAGGTAAATGGGCAAACAAATTTTGATATAGCCAAAAATGGAATACTACTTAGTAACTGATACTCTAAACAACATGAATGAATCTCACAACATAGCTGAATAAAGAAAGCCAAAAGAAGGGTATATACTATATTATTTCAATTATATAAGTAAGATTCTAGGAAATGCAAGCTAATCTGTAGAGACAGGTAGTAGATAGTGTTACCTGAGGACAAAGAAGGGGATTATAAACAGGTATAAGAAAACTTTGGCCAGGCACGGTGGCTCACATCTGTAATCCCAGCACTTTGGGAGGTCGAGGTGGGTGGATCGCCTGAGGTCAGGAGTTCAAGACCAGCCTAACCAACATAGCGAAATGCCATCTCTACTAAAAATACAAAATTAGGGCCGGGTACAGTGGCTCACGCCTGTTATCCCAGCATTTTGGGAGACCGAGGCGGGCAGATCACGAGGTCAGGAGATTGAGACCATCCCGGCTAACACAGTGAAACCCTGTCTCTACTGAAAATACAAAAAATTAGCCAGGCATGGTGGCAGGTGCCTGTAGTCCCAGCTACTCGGGAGGCTGAGGCAGGAGAATGGCATGAACCTGGGAGGCAGAGCTTGCAGTGAGCCAAGATCAGGCCACTGCACTCCAGCCTGGGCAACAGAGCGAGACTCCGTCTCAAAAAAAAAAAAAAAAAAAATTAGCCGGGCATGGTGGCAGGCACCTGTAATCCCAGCTACTTGGGAGGCTGAGGCAGGAGAATCACTTGAATCCAGCAGGTGGAGGTTGCAGTGCATCAAGATCGTACCACTGCACTCCAACCTGGGTGACAGAGCGAGACCCCATCTCAAAAAAAAAAGAAAGCTTTTAGGGGTTATGGATATGTTCATTAACTTGATTATGGTGATAGTTTCATGGGTGTATACATGTCAAAACATGATATTCTATACTTTAAACGTGTTCAGTTTATACTGCATGTCAATTACTTCAATAAAATGGTCTTAAAAATCAGAGAATAGAATTTTCCAAAATAAACGGAGCATCTATTTAAAAAATAACAGCTAATATTTTTGAACATTTACTATATGCCAAGCCCTATGCTAGTTGAGAGTTATTACATGAAAGACATTCCTTTTCTCTTCCCAGTAACCTTAGGAGGAAGGTACTACTATTTTTATTAACTTCCCCAAGTAACTCACTCAAATCACATAAGCCAAATCATACAAGTAGATGCAAAAACAGAATTCAAATCCTGGACCATTTGACTTTACTACCTGAAGTCATAACCACTGTTAAGACCTGGTTCTGGGAGACCTAAAAGGAATTTGCACCTCCCTGCAACTTACAAGAGAGTAAATGAAGGTGAAAGAAAAGGAAAATTTAGTGAAGATGAACCTATCCTCTTGTTAGGTTCCAAGCTGGAACATTGACCCAATAGCATTGGCAATGCTCTTGACATGGGATCCTGTCAGGCCACTGGGGCAGTGGGAGGAAGGGAAGTCACTATCCAGACTGAAGGAGGACAAACTATGTGTGCTTGGTCCAGGTGAGCTCATCATTCAGGGCTCCAGCTTTTTCCATGGTAAAGACATTCAGAAGCAACTGAGCAAACATTTCAGCAATTCCAAGACAGGTTTTTAATTGAAAACCCTAAGGTTTAGAACCTGGGGAGAGTCCTTTCACTGTTCAGAATTCCCATTTCCTCATCTCTAAGATGGGGAAGTGGAACTAGATGTTGCTGTGGTTCCTCCTAGGTTTCATATGCTCTTTCATGCCTGTTTTTATGGTTTTTCCCAAAGCATATAAAGGCTCTGATGGGCATCTATGAAATGTCTAGTAGGGTGACTATACTCTTAGCAGCTCTGCTGACTACAAGAAAATGTACTGAGCTTACAAAGCAGCATCATTAAATAACTAAAAAGAAAATCATTATGTTTGGATGCCTTTATGTTAATAGTTACTTTTCTGATTATAAAAGTAATATATGTTAATTATAGACATTTTAGAAAATACAGACTGAGGAAAGAGTTAACACAGTAGGTCAGGTTGCATAACCTTGCAGGTCTCCAAGGGAACCATGATTAGCCCTTGGCCAATCACTGGGAATATAGTCCTTAGAGAGTTCTTTGTGTTATTGATTGGTGATTTTGTTATATACAACTGGAGCAACGAACCATGCCATACTGGTTTGTCAGGTTGCTTTCCATAAACACCAAGATTGAGGTTTCATTGTTAGGGTCCTGAGTTTTGCTTGCCATGGCTAATTGCATAGCAGGATATACTTACATTACCAGCTCCTCATAAAAGCCTTGGACTCTGAGATTCAGACAGGCTTTCATGGGCAAAGACATTCCACACATGTCCCTGTAGTTAACTGCTCGAGACAGCGAGTACTCCTGTGTGGCCTCAGACAACGAAAGACATTGGAAACCTGTGTTGAACCTCTCTGGACCCTGCTGATGCATGTCTTTTTCCTGCTGCTTTTGCTATGTATACTTTGCTATAATAAATCTTAGTAGTAAGTATATAACCTGCCATTGGTTCTTTTTTAAAATTTATTTTTGAGATAGGGTCTTGCTCTGCCACTCAGGCTGGAGTACAGTGGCAGGATCTTGGCTCACTGCAGCCTTAACCTCCCAGGTTCTAGTGAGCCTATTACCTCAGCCTCCCGAGTAGCTGGGACCACAGGTGTGTGGCACCACACCTAATTTTTTGTAGAGACAGGGTTTTGCCATGTTGCCCAGCCTGGTCTCGAATTTCTGGGCTCAAAGAATCCACCCTCCTTGGCTTCCTGAAGTACTGGGATTTCAGATATGAGTCACCACGCCTGGCCAACCAGTGAGTCTCGTCAGTCCTTCTGGTGCATTGCTGAATTAAACGCAAAGAAAAAAGAAAATATAAATGGCCAGGCATGGTGGCTCACGCCTGTAATCCCAGCACTTTGGGAGGTGGAGGCGGGCAGATCACGAGGTCAGGAGGTTGAGACCATCCTGGCTAACACGGTGAAACCCCGTCTCTACTAAAAATACAACAACAACAACAACAACAAAATTAGCCGGGCGTGGCGGCGTGCGCCTGTTGTCCCAGCTGCTGGGGAGGCTGAGACAGGAGAATGGCGTGAACCCAGGAGGCAGAGCCTGCAGTGAGCCGAGATCGCGCCACTGCACTCCAGACTGGGTGACAGAGCAAGACTCCATCTCAAAAAAAAAAAAGAAAAAGAAAAAGAAAATATAAATGAACCCAAATCCCTTCATCTAGAGATAACCATTTGGCTAGATGTAAAAATAGGTTTTGACCAGCCAAATTTTCTGAAAGTCCTTCTAAATTGTTAGGAAGCAAACAAACCTGCCAATTTTATTGATTATAAAAAGTTGCATTGTGGAGTACGGATTAAGTTTTATGGAAATCCCATATTAAGACTTAAAAAAAGGCCAGGCGCGGTGGCTCACACCTGTAATCCCAGCACTTTGGGAAGCCAAGGCGGGTGGATCACGAGGTCAGGAGATCGAGACCATCCTGGCTAACACGGTGAAACCCCGTCTGTACTAAAAATACAAAAAATTACCCGGGCATGGTGGGCGGGCACCTGTAGTCCCAGCTACTTTGGAGGCTGAGGCAGGAGAATGGCGTGAACCCAGTGCGTCCAGAATTGGTTCCTTCCCATGGGTTCTCGGTCTCGCTGACTTCAAGAATGAAGCCACAGACCCTCGTGGTGAGTGTTACAGTTCTTAAAGATGGTGTGTCCGGAGTTTGTTCCTTCAGATGTTCAGATGTGTCTGGAATTTCTTCTTTCTGGTGGGTTTGTGGTCTTGCTGACTTCAGGAGTGAAGCCGCAGACCTTTGCAGACCTTCACAGTGAGTGTTAACAGCTCACAATGGTAGTGCAGACCTAAAGGGTGAGCAGCAACAAAATTTATTGTGAAGAACGAAAAGAACAAAGCTTCCACAGCGTGGAAGGGAAGCCGAGAGGGTTGCCACTGCCGGCTTGGGTGGCCAGCTTTTATTCCCTTATTTGGCCATGCCCACATCCTGCTGATTGGTCCATTTTACAGAGTGCTGATTGGTCCATTTTAGAGTGCTGATTGGTGCATTTACAATCCTTTAGCTAGACACAGAGCGCCGATTGGTGCATTTACAATCCTTTAGTTAGACACAAACGTTCTCCATGTCCCCACCCGACCCAGAAGCTCAGCTGGCTTCACCTCTTACCAAGAGGCAGAGCTTGCTGTGAACCGAGATCACACCACTGCACTCCAGCCTGGGTGACAGAGTGACTCCGTCTCAAAAAAAAAAAAAAAAAGACTTAAAAAATAACTTTATTGTTTTAAATGACTGCCAAGATGTACTGAAGTTGCCTTTGTGGCATAATAATGCTTTCGTTGATGATTTTGTCCTCAATTTGGAATTTGGAACCCTTTTTTTTTTCGCTCTACACCTTCAGAGAAACTTCTCTAGTAAAAAAAAAAAAAAAACTATAGAAATGATCCCTAAAAGTACAGTCTTGGAACCCAACTTTTAAATTTGATTGATTCCTATGGGAAGAGATAGGACACTTTAGAAGAAATGTGTGATATACATTTATAATATACCCCAGGAATAGGTTGTAGTGAAAAACAGAGGCTGCCTGTCTCTGTACCTGAGAGTTTTGGGAGAGAAATGTGGGGGAGGAAAGTGAACTAAACTAGCTAGCTTTCCTCACTTTGTAAATTACCCTTCTGTGACAGCTTCCCACAATAATTTTAGTAACTACTAACTTTTATTGACTACCTACTCTGAGTGAGATACTATTCTAAGTGCATATGTTTTCTTGTTTAATCTTTACAACAGCCTATTCAGCAAATACTACTATTTTCTTTTTTTTCTTTTTTTGAGACAGGGTCTCACTTTGTCGCCCAGGCTGGAGTGCTGTAGCACAAAAACGGCTCACTGCAGCCTCCACCTCCTGGGCTCAAGTGGTTCTCCTGTCTCAGTCTCCTGAGTAGCTGGGACTACAGGCATGTGCCACCATGCCCGGCTAATTTTTGTATTTTTTGTAGAGACGGGGTTTCGCCATGTTGCCCAGGCAGGTCTCGAATTCCTGAGCTCAAGCGATCCGCCTGCCTCAGCCTCCCAAAGTGTTGGGATTACAGGTGTGAGCCACTGCACCTGGCCAAATACTACCATTTTCTCCCTTACACAAATGAAGAAACCAAGATTAAACATGATTAAGTAAAAGTTCATGAAACTAGTAAGTGGGGTGGGGCTGGGACTTAAACTGGAACCCAGAAGGTCAACTGCTATACATCAGGTCCCTTGATAGTTATTTAAATATGATGTCACTGACACAAAATAGGTTTTGGAGTTGGGTTTTGTATCAGTTAGGGTTCTCCAGAGAAACTGAACACATAGGGATACACACACACACTCAGATTTATTTTAAGGAATTGACTAACCCAGTTGTGCAAACTGGTAAGTCTGGAATCTGCAGAGCAGGCCAGCTTGCCAGAAATTCAGGGAAGAGTTAGTGTTGCCATCTTAAATTCAAAATCTGCCCTCTGGAAACTCAGGTAGGGCTTCTATATTTCAGTCTTGAGGCAGAATGGATTTTTTTCCAGGAA
The DNA here is from genome assembly GCF_000001405.40 of Homo sapiens. Classification (NCBI taxonomy): domain Eukaryota; kingdom Metazoa; phylum Chordata; class Mammalia; order Primates; family Hominidae; genus Homo; species Homo sapiens. The sequence continues at coordinate 55,088,716 of NC_000014.9, forward strand.
ACCTCAGTCTTTGTTCTTAAGGCCTTCAACTTAGTGGATGAAGCCAACCCACATTATGAAGGGTAATTTGCTTTACTCAGAGTCTACTGATTTAAATATTCATCACATCTAAAACAATATCTTCAGCCAGGCGCTGTGGCTCATGCCTGTAATCCCAGCACTTTGGGAGGCCAAGGCAGGTATATCACGAGGTCAAGAGATCCAGACCATCCTGGCCAATGGGGTGAAACCCCGTCTCTACTAAAAATACAAAAATTAGCTAGGCATGGTGGCGTGCGCCTGTAGTCCCAGCTACTGAGGAGGTTGAGGCACGAGAATCTCTTGAACCTGGAAGGCAGAGGTTGCAATGAGCCGAGATCACGCCATTGCACTCCAGCCTGGCGACAGAGCGAGACTCCATCTCAAAACAAACAAACAAACAACAACAACAACAACAAAAAACAAATGGGCTGGACTTGGTGGCTAACACCTGTAATCCCAGCACTTTGGGAGGCCAAGGTGGGCAGATCACGAGGTCAAGAGATCGAGACCATCCTGGCCAACATGGTGAAACCCCGTCTCTACTAAAAATACAAAAAAAAAAAAAAAAAAAAAAAAATTTAGCCGGATATGATGGCACACGCCTGTAGACCCAGCTACTCGGGAGGCTGAGGCAGGAGAATTGCTTGAATCCAGGAGGTGGAAGTTGCAATGAGCTGAGATCATGCCACTGCACCCCAGCCTGGCGACAGAGTGAGACTCCGTCTCAAAAAAACAAAAAGCAAACAAACAAAAAAACAGTATATTCCCAGCAACATCTAGACTAGTGTTTGACCAAATGACTGGGCACCCTAGCCTGGCCATGTTGACGCATAAAATTAGCCATCACGGATTTCATTTTTCTTCTTGGAAGAGAAAGGGGAGGATGAATCCTCAAATGTGATTCACTCAAGACTGATAATAACCCCAAGATGAGCCTGCCGCAAGTGAAAAACCAGTCCTCATGGGTTGGCAATCCTTTAGCCACAGCCATGCAAGTGTAGCATTGGCCAGAAGAGGGCACTGCCTCCTACTCGTATGACTATGTACATGGAAACCAATAGGATGGATGGAGATTTGGATGCTACTTTCAATTAATTACCTTTTTTTTTTTTTTTTTTTTTGAGATGGAATTTCACTCTTGTCGCCCAGGCTGGAGTGCAATGATGCAATCTTGGCTCACTGCAACCTCTGCCTCCCAGGTTCAAGCAATTATCCTGCTTCAGCCTCCCGAGTAGCTGGAATTACAGGCATGCACCACCATGCCCAGCTAATTTTGTATTTTAGCTCGGACGAGGTTTCTCCATGTTAGCTAGGCTGGTCTCAAACTCCCGACCGCAGTTGATCCGCCTGCCTCGGCCTAATTATTATTTTTTACAGCCTCTGATTTAGCTTAGTACAACCTTTGATAGAATAAACGCCTGTGAAATTTTAGTATCACTGTGAGACCAAAGCACCTCATTGGCAATACTTAACATTTATGTTCAATAATGCAAGAAGGGCAGGGCACAGTGGCTCACACCTGTAATCCATGCACTTTGAGAGGCCAAGATGGGAGGATTGCTTGAGCCCAGGAGTTCGAGACCAGCCTGAGCAACATAGTGAGACCCCATCTTTTAAAAAAAGTTAAACATAATAATAAGAAGACATGGAATGATTTTATCCTTTGGCTTTCCTAGTGTGCTATATCTGGTCCAACAAGGCAGAGCCCAGTTTTTCCACATCAGGCAAACACAGGCTGATGCTGGGGGAAGGAGGAAGTTGGGGTATTTAGAGATTGAGAGAAGAAACTGGGAGGAACCCTAGACCTCCAGATAGCTGAGGAATCTTGTGACAAAATAGAGAGGACAGGTTTAGAAGGTTGCACTTTGTGTTGTGATTTGAGAGAATAATACTGCAGGCCCCTCTGGCAAAACAACGCTGCCTACCAGAGCAGTTCATCTAATCTGTGGATTCTTAATTGGAGGAGGGAATTCACATAAGTATAGTTATTCTTTAGTTCTCATTAATCATTAAAATCTCCCTCCTCCTCTGCTTCTGTTTTAATGACAGCCTACATTTGTGCAGTGCGAGTCTTTGTGGAAGGTTGTCCCATCCCACAAGGAACAGAGCAGGTACTAATTATTTCCAATTTACAGTTGAGGAGACACAGAGGGTAGGTGGTTTGCTTTGGCTTCCCTGTAAGCCAACCCTGGGAGGGGACCAGAAGCCTGGGGCCTGATTTTAGCCTTGTGTTCTTTCTCCTATCAAAAACATGTTCCTAACTCTCATACACTGCGATTTCCGGTGTCCACCAACTGACTGTATGCCTACACTGTGACACAGAAGTTCTACTTTTAGGAATCTGGCCAACAGAAATGCATGCACACGAGCACCAAAAGACAGGTACAAGATAGTTCATAATTTGTAATAGCCCAAACTGAAGAAAACCTCAAATTCCATCCACATAGAATGGATAAATACATGGTATATTTATATAATGGAATGCCATATAGTAATGAGAATAACAAGATCTATGTGCAATGTGAATAAATTCTACAAATACATTATATATAAAGTTCAAAAGCAGGCAAAATTAATATAAAGTTTTAGAATTTACACTTTGGGAGGCCGAGGTGGGTGGATCACCTGAGGTCAGGAGTTCAAGACCAGCCTGGCCAACATGGCAAAACCCCATCTCTACTAACAATACAAAAATTAGCCGGACATGGTGGCATGTGCCAATAGTCCTAGCTACTCGGGAGGCTGAGGCAGGAGAATCGCTTGAACCCAGGAGGCAGAGGTTGCAGTGAGCCGAGATCATGCCACTGCACTCCAGCCTGGGCGACAGAGCAAGACTTCATCTCAAAAAAAAAAAAAAATGTTTAGAATGTAGGTGAGTGTTTATAACCCACAGGACTAGTAACTGGGAGGGGAATGAGGGTGTTGGCTAGGGTGCCGCTAGTGTTCTACTTCTTGGCTTATGTAATGAGTTCAGTTTGTAAAAATTCACGAAGCTGTACACTGACGAGGTGTGCTCTTTGATGCATATATGTTACACTTCAATAAAAAGTTGTTTTAAATCCTGATTTGTTTACACAAATTACTTTTACATGAGCCGACTTTAATACTACCAAAACTTAGCTCATCCCTGCTTAAAGGTGCAGCAGGCTTATTTACTCTTATGCTCTGACAGAGAGCACACCAGCATTCCCCGAAGACTTTCTGAAGGGTTGTGAGAGCAGCTCAACATCTGCCATTGCATTTTGAGTGCAAGAATACATTTCAGGAGAGCTGCCACACAGGAAGTTCATCCTCTGCCTTTAATACTACAAACATATGCTCTTTCTGTGTGTCCAGAAAGTAAGGAAGAAGACAGTTTCTAAGTGGGCAGGCCAGATGCAGCAAACATCTCACACAAATGGCAAAGCTCAGAACTCACTACAGTCTCGACCTCCTGTGCTCTTGAATAGCTGGGACTACGGGTGCATGCCACCACACCTGGCTAAGTTGTAAACTTTTTTGTAGACACAAGGTCGCACTATGTTGCCCAGGCTGGTCTTGAACTCCTGGGCTCAAGCAGTCCTTCCATGTCGGCCGCCCAAAGTGTTGGGATTACAGGTGTGAGCCATCGCACCTGGCCCATATCCCACTTTTAACAGCCAATGGCACTAGTACTGTTTTCAGGAAAAGCAAGAAAGCCAACTCCTGCATCCTAATGGTGCAGATGGCACCTCCAGAGAAGACAGAGATGAGAAACGGAGCAGCAAACTAAAGCTGCTCAAAACTCCATGGCAGGCCGCGGTGAAGTCATAAATGGAACCAGATTTCCTGTTTCCCTAAGTACACCTGCTTCTCATTAGCTCTTACTGCTTTTTGCAGGACCAGCAGGCTTGAAAATATTAAAGGACAAAAGTACAACATATTCCTTCAGGGATTGGCTGTCTCTGTTCATGGCTACACACCACACATACACATAAAAAAAACACACATACACACACATATACACACATGTGCACACATACACCCACACACGTACACACGTACACACATATACACACACGCACACACGCACATATATGTAGACATTCACACACACACACACACACGCATGCACACATACCCACATAATACACACACATGCATATATACACAAAACATACACACATACACACACATACACACTGCTGGCTTGGACTGCTACTGCCACTTGAGCTCCTTGTATCCTCTATCTCACTGATTCTCTCCCATCCCACGAACAAAAGAGTAAAAATCCTGAAAAACATTGCTAGAAATCCACTTGCACACTTTCTCCAGCTAGATTGCTTTCGGAGGAGTTGACGCTCTTCCTCCCAGCGGACAGAGGGACACAGGATATGTGTCTGTAATTTTTGCACCTCTCCATGATGGGGCAGGGGGCAGTTTTCAGAACTCTGGCAGGCTGTGCCACAGGTGTGTCTTCAACCACACGTGCAGGATCATAGTGTGGGAACTGAGGCAGGCTGCTGTTCTGCCAGAGTCTAAAGGAGTCCTGGGGGCAGCAGAGATAGCTTGGAGTCTGCTTGCTTAATTGGGGCCCAACATCAGGAATTTTCTGCAGTGGCAATACTCAAAGCCAGGTAGATGGCACAAAGACATATACAAAGGTGTTCATTATAGCATTGTCATCAAAGAGAAAAAGAGAAACGACGAAAACATCCAGCAACAGGAAGTGTTAAATTATATATAATCAGCTGGGTGCGGTGGCTCACGCCTGTAATCCCAGCACCTTAGGAGGCTGAGGCAGGTGGATCACTTGAGGTCAGGAGTTCGAGACCAACCTGGCCAACATGGTGAAACCCCGTCTCTACTAAAATACAAAAATTAGCTGGGCATGGTGGCATGCGCCTGTAGTCCCAACTACTCCGGAGGCTGAGGCAGGAGGAGAATCACTTGAACCCGTGAGGTGGAGGTTGCAGTGAGCTGAGATCACAACACTGACCTCCAGCTTGGGCAACAGAGTGAGATTCTGTCTCAAAAAAAAAAATTATATATAATCATATACCATGGATTATCACACAGCCATGAAAAGAAATGAGGCAGCTCTATATTAACCACCATGGAAAGAAGTTTATGCTATGTTGTTAATGATAAAAGCAAGTTGGAGAAAACTACATATAGCATGATCCCATGTATGGATTAAAACAATTTGTATGTACACACAGGCACACACTATTTCACATGTTAGACTTGATAAGCTGATAGAAAAACATCTAGGAAGAAGGAGGAGGAGGAGGGGGAGGACGAGGGGGAGGAGGAGGGGGAGAAAGGTCTTGAAGGATACACACTAAACTATTATCAGGTTATTTCTGAGCAAGGGAGCGGAAGTGGGGGTCGGTGAGGGGAACTTTCCCATTTTGCCCTATTTATTTCTATGTTATTTAGGATGCACCAATAGTGCTTCCCCATAAAAACTATGGGGATGGAGTATGGAGGAGGCATGGAGGCACATTTGATGGGGATGTTAGCACAGCCAGAGGCTTCTGGGAGTCAGGGCCAAGGGCTGGAAAGCAGACTGCAAGCTGGGGGAGAGGATCTAAGCTCCTGACTATGCACCGCATGTCCTTTTCTTATTTTGTTTTCCCTTTCCTGGGTCTCTTTCCAAACCCAGGCAGCTAGAGAAGAACCCCTCCCTAGGAAACTCAGAGAGGATGGCTTGGCTTGGCCCCAGGCCTTAAGAAGAAACCTCTTCTTTCCCTTAGTGCCCATTTCCTTGTTTGTTTGTTTGTTTGTTTGTTTTGAGATACTCACAGACTGAGTACAGTGATGCAATCATGGGCCACTGCCACCTCGACCTCCTGGGCTCAAGAGATCCTCCCACCTCAGTCTCCTGAGTAGCTGGCACTACAGGCATGCAGTGAGACCCTGTCTCTACAAAAAAAAAAAAAAATTAGCCAGGTGAGGTGGTACGTGGTAACGTGTTGTGCCACTATATTACAATAGCTATGATGTCACTAGGCAACATAGTGAGACCTCAAACTCCCGATGCAAGTGATCCTCCTTCCTCAGCCTCCCGAAATGTTGGGATTACAGGCATATGTCACCTTGCCCAGCCTTCCTTGAGGTTCTCTTCCTGTGCCTTTTGCTATCAGAGCAAAAGATCTCCAGGAGCTGAGGAAAACAGGCTACAATAATTTGGCTGACTTCCAGTGGAGACCACTTGTTTTCTACCCAGACTCCTCCTTAGAATTGCCTGGGGAGCTTTTAAAGAATACGTAAGCCTCACGCTTAGTCATGCATCACTTATAAGAGACAGGGATGTGTTTTGAGAAATGCATTGTTAGGTGATTTTGTCATTAGATGAACATCACAGAGTTTATTTACACAAACTTAGATGATATAGCCTACTACACAGCTAGGATACACTATAAAGCCTATTCTTGCTCCTAAGCTATAAACCTATACGGCATGTTACTGTACTGAACACTGTAGGCTATCCTAACACAATGGTATTTGTGTATCTAAACACATCTAAACATAGAAAAGGTAATGCGTCATGCTACTACATTACAATAACTATGACGACACTAGTCAATAGGAATTTTTCAGCTCCATTATAATCTTATGGGGCAACCATCATATATGTAGTTCATTGTTAACCGAGATGTCATTTATGCTGCTTAGTGTATAGACATATACACTGAAGTATAGAATAAATGTTTTGTTATTTTAGCAAATATCCAATGCTGGATAAATCGAACGTTTCTTTTATTCTGGAATGAGTGTAAATTGGTTAAGAACCCTTTGAAAAGCAATTTGACAATACCAAAGTCTAAAATGTTTTTTAATTTTTATTTTTGAGATAGGGTCTAGCTCTGTCACTTGGGCTGAAGTACAGTGTCATGATCACGGCTCACTGCAGCCTCGACCTCCCAGGGTCAAGCGACCCTCCTAACTCAGCCTCCTGAGTAGCCAGGACTGCAGTCACGTGCCATGATGCCCTGCTAATTTTTTTTTTTTTTTTGTAGGGATGGGGTTTCACCATGTTGGGCCAGGCTGGTCTTGAACTCCTGGCCTCAAGCGATCCTTCCACCTCAACCTCCCAAAGTGCTGGGATTATAGGCATGAGCCCCCTTGCCCAGCCAAAAATATTTTCATACCATTTTGTTCAGCAATAAAACTTCTGGGAATTTTTCCTAAGGAAATATTTTTTAAAGAAAATATATGTGACAGTTGCTCTCATTATGATTCCTTTTATAATTGCTAAAAATTGGAAACAAATTAAACCTTCAACAAATGGCAGGTGCTTACTACATTGGACATTTTGCAGCAATTAAAACTGTAATGGAAATTTGTAATAATATGTAAAATATACTGATAATGAACTGGTAACCTTTCTTTTTTGGACTTAAGTGCTTTTGTGCTTTTATGAAAGTTCATTTCAAAGGAAAGAATAGGCTGGGCGCGGTGGCTCACACCTGTAATCCCAGCACTTCGGGAGGCTGAGGTGGGTGGATCACCAAGTCAGGAGTTTGAAATCAGCCTGGCCAACACAGTGAAATCCTGTCTCTACTAAAAATACAAAAATTAGCTGGGCATGGTGGCTTGTGCCTGTAGTCCCAGCTACTCAGGAGGCAGAGGCAGGAGAATTGCTTGAAACCAGGAGGCAGAGGTTGCAGCAAGCCGAGATTGAGCCACTGCACTCCAGCTTGGGCGACAGAACGAGATTCTGTCTCCAAAAAAAAAAAAGAATAAGCATGCTTAGACTTCATCCCAGTCTAATAATCTAATTAAGCCAAAACTCAGGGAGTAGGGGCTGGTCATTCGTATTTATTATTTATTTATTTATTTTTTATTTTATGTTTTTGAGATGGAGTCTCACTCTGTTGCCCAGGCTGGAGTGCAATGGCATGATCTCAGCACATTGCAACCTCCGCCTCCCAGGTTCAAGCAATTCTCATGCCTCAGCCTCCAGAGTAGCCGGGATTACAGGTGCCCACCACCATGCCAGGCTAATTTATTTTGTATTTTTAGTAGAGGTGGGGTTTCACCATGTTGGCCAGCTGGTCTCGAACTCCTGACCTCAAGTAATCTGCCTGCCTCGGCCTCCTAAAGTGCTGGGATTACAGGCGTGAGCCACCGCACCCAGCCCTATTTGTTTTTTAAAAATTTGTTTTAACACAGCAAAATTTCATCATGAAATGTTGGTAGTTTTTAAAGTTCCCCAGATGATTCTAATTGAAGCCAAGATTGCGAGACAACCATTAGCCTTGGATCCAAATAAGAACCTCCCCCACAAGTTCAGCTGTGGCCCAGTCTAGATTGTTTGGGTGGAGTTCTAAGTGGGGTATTAAATGGTCTCTTTCCCTAGACTTGTCACCTGCACATACCTCTCAAGGAGTAGTGGGGCCAGTGGTGGCCCCAGTAGGAGGCTAATCGTAAATTTGGGATCACGGCCCGAATAGTTATACATCTTACCACAGCCAGCGGCAGGTAGACTCATTAGGAAGTAGGTGTTAAAATAATCTAGGTAAAAGTCAGTGAGGGCTCGACCAGGGTCAGGGCAGCAGAGGAAGGCAGGCAGAGGCAGAACCCGCACCACTGAGCAGCTGAGGAAATCTAGGATCTACAGAGTTGGAACCAAATTCCGGAATGAATCTGGCCTGTTGTGGAGGGGATCCCAGCCCTACAGAGGCCCTGGTTGCCTGCCCGCTAGTATCTGCACAGTCTTGCTAGAGGGGATAAAAGCAGAAAGCTTAGAGGGTTTGCACTAGGAGATCCTGGCAAGAGATGCTGGTGTCTACAGGGCTCTTTAGAAGAAGGTGCTACAGCCAATTTGCTGTTGGACCAAAGGAAACAAACTAAAATTGAATAGGAAAGAGAAGAGTCAGGAGAGCAAAAGAGGTCCATCAGAAAAAGATAATGATCCCTTTATGGCCCAACATTCTGTGACCTCAGGGAAGAGTGACACAGGTGATGTGGCACTACTGGTGAGGCAGCAAGGAGCCCCCTGCTCATCAAAGTCCTTCTCCCCCCAGCTCCCTATTGCCTGTAATTCCACTATTGGGTCAATTCTATTTGGATTAATAAGCATCGCTCATTCATTATTGTCATCTGCTAAAACACAGATTCCTGAAAGGACTAACAATTTGATTAGCAACAATTTAGTGGAATTGGTTTATGATGTATTCAGCCAGTGTGAGTGCCTACTCACTAGGAAGTCAGATACAATAGAAACAAGAACTTGTCAAGGTGACTAAGAAGACTCGATTCAATTCAGAAGTATCTACTAGACATTTCCTGGTCACCTGACAAGGTAGGAAAACAGAAAAATGCATGATACTGTCACCTCCCTCAAGGAGCTTTTAGCCTTGTTGGGAGGAATTCAAGCACACCAAAGCCACAGACAGAACAAGCAACTGCTTATTAAACTGTTAACATAGTCAAGGGCCAACATGAAGAGCAGAGCTAAATGCCTTCATGTCAAAGAGCCTTTTCAGAAGCTCTCATGATTGAATCACACTGACCCTTTTCATTAGGGAGCCTGGAAAATAAGCTATTACAACCCCACTGTTATCGAAATATTAACCTGGGTGTAACTTCCTGGTTCTAAGGAACCATAGTTTCTACCCTGCACCAGAAGTCTTGCCTTTGCACTACTGAGAGTCATTAATAAGCGTTTCAGTGTGTGTAGGAGCCCACCTACCTTCTCTCTTTGTCCTCCCAACTCTGGCCATGTGCCACATCTTCTGGGTTGGCTGAGTAGTTTCACATTTACTAATCACCCACAAGACACATGGTTCCTGTCTATCTCAGTCATGCTCACAAGGAACCCTCGTGAGGAAACCTCACAAGCTCCTGTCTCGGGCTGTCACTGGAAGACAGGACTGTAACCATCAAGAAATTGGAAAAAAAGAAGCAAGATTTAGGCAGGGCATGGTGACTAGTGCCTGTAACCCCAGCACTTTGGGAAGCTGAGGCAGGAAGGATTGCTTGAGTCTAGAAGTTCGAGACCAGCCTGGGCAACATAGCATGAACCCATCTCTACCAAAAAAAAAAAAGAAAGAAAGAAAGAAGGAAGCAGCAGCAGAAGAAGCAGAAAAAGAAACAGAAGAAGAAGCAGAAGAAGAAGTGGAAGAAGCAGCAGAAGCAGAAGAAAGGAAAGAAGTATGGGCCAGGTGTGATGGCTCATGTCTGTAGTCCCAGCACTTTGAGAGGCCAAGGCAGGTATATTGCTTAAGCCTAGGAGTTTGAAACCAGTCTGGGCAACATGGTGAAACCCCACCTTTACAAAAATTACAAAAATTACAAAAATTAGCCAGGTATGGTGGTGTGCTCCTGTAGTCCTCGCTACTCTGGAGGCTGAGGTGAGAGGATCACTTGAACTTGGAAGGTGGTGGCTGCAGTGAGCCATGGTCAACCACTACACCCCAGCCTGGGCACAGAATGAGACCTTGTGTCAAAAAAAAACAAAACAAAACAAAACAAAAAAACAAAAAAAAAAACTATAAGTCACAAGGGTGTATCTATTTATAAAAAATTGTTGAATTGTATACTTAGGACTTGTGCATTTCTATATATATAAATTTTACCTTTAAAAATGTGAGCAGGCCAGGCACGATGGCTCATGCCTGTAGTCCCAGAGCTTTGGTAGGCCAAGGCAGGCGGATCACCTGAGGTCAGGAGTTTGAGACCAGCCTAGCCAACATGGTGAAACCCCATCTCTACTAAAAATACAAAAAATTAGCAGGGCGTGGTGGCAGGCACCTGTAGTCCCAGCTACTCGGGAAGCTGAGGCAGGAGAATTGCTTGAACCCAGGAGGCAGAGGTTGTGGTGAGCCAAGATCACACCATTGCACTCCAGCCTGGGCGACAAGAGCGAGACTTTGTCTCAAAAAAAAAAAAAAAAAAAAAAGGTTAGCAAATTGAACTCTGGTTAGGTTTACTTTTAGCAGTGCTATGGACTAGCAATTCTGAAACTACATTCTGTGTATTCTTGAGCTTAAGTCTAAGGGGAACCAGATTTTTCACTGTTGGGGAAAGAAGTTACAAATATGGAAAGTTTATTACATTGGAACTGGAGTTAATCAGTAGGAATTCATATTTTCTAATATACATCTATGTCTCTATAGCTATTTCTGTGTGTATATATGTGTGTGTATAATCTATTGCCTAATCCTGTCTGCTGACAGGGCCTACAAGCAACGACACACCAATAGGAATGAGCATGTAAGCACCCAGGTCTTGGTTTCTAAATATCATGCTTCACTAAAGGAACCAGGGATCCTTGAGAAATGGTTTATTCCAAAGCTGGAGCAGGAAAAGCTGGAGAGGATTAGCCTGAAACATCTTGTGCCAAAATGTAAGGAAGTGCTCCAAGAAAAATGGGATGTTGTAAGGACTCAGAAGCCAGTTTGGAGAGACTCCTAACTGGCCGAATCTGAAACAATTTAAGTATCAAAATAAATAATATTTGTAATGGGCCTTATCCCGTTGAATAAAATAAGAATCCATATAGATATAAATAAATAAATGCATTTTTTTAAATGGGAGGGGAAATCTCTCTTTTTAAATTTTCTTTTTTTTTTTTTTTTTTGAGACAAGGTCTCATTCTGTTGCCCAGGTTGGAGTGTAGTGGCACAATCATAGCTCACTGCAGCATTGGTCTCCTGGGCTCAAGTGTTCCTCCCACCTTAGCCTCCCGAATAGCTGGGACTACAGGCATGTACCATCATGCTTGGCTAATTTTTGTTTTAAATTATTTGTAGAGACAGGGTCTCACTATGTTGCCCAGGCTGGTCTCAACCTCTTGAACTCAAGTGATCCTCTTGCCTTGGCCTCTCAAGGTGCTAGAATTACAGGTGTGAGCCGCTATGCCTGGCGGAAATCTCGTCATTACAGTAGAATGCCAACTAATAAATATAGAAGGAATGACGAAGGGAGAAAATCATCAATGAATGCTAAAACTGGTGAGTACATGTTTGATAAGAAATAGGATAATTATACAGTTGCAAAGTATGCTGCCACAAATTACTTATTTGTTACAAAGGAAAAATAATAACTCCACAGTAGCAGACACCACTTTAATCAAGTCATCAAACTTTACGTCACTATATTGGCATAAACCAATATCCAATATCCAATATCATGTGCCTTCCAGTAAGATGCTTGGAGAAGGAAAATAAACAGACCTGGCAACAAAATGCTGTTGTGTGATCTTGGACACAGGAAAAACAAGTAAAAGCCTTGTTAGGGCAATGGATGAGATAGATAGTAGTACTGTATTAATACTTAATTTCCTGATTGTGTTAACTGTACCATGTAAGAAAATGTAAGGGAATATAAGAGAGTGTCTTTGTTCTTGGAAAATGCACACTGAAGGCCAAAGTGGGAGGATTGTCTAAGGCCAGGAGTTTGAGACCAGCTTGGGCAATATAATGAGACCCCATTTCTGGAAAAAATATGTAAAACTTTACCAGGCACGGTGGCAAGTGCCTGTAGTTCCAGCTACTTGGGAGGCAGAGGCAGGAGGATCACTTGAGCCCAGGAGTTTGAGGTTACAGTAAGCTAGGATTGTGTTATTACACTCCAGCCTGTGGGACAGAGTGAGACCCTGTCCCAGCACCCCCCATTTTTTTTTTTAGAGACAGGGTCTCTACAAAACAATAGAAGGAATTCCTATAATCCTTTATCCAGAGTCACTGATGGTTTGCATTTTTGTCTTTTTTGTCCCAGCACTTTGGGAGGCTGAGGAGGGTGGGTCACGAGGTCAGGTGATCGAGACCACCCTGGCTAACACGGTGAAACCCCATCTCTACTAAAAATACAAAAAATTAGCCGGGTGTGGTGGCACCTGCCTGTAATCCCAGCTACTCGGGAGGCTGAGGCAGGAGAATCACCCGAACCCAGGAAGCAGAGGTTGCAGTGAGCCGAGATTGTGCCACTGCACTCCAGCCTGGGCAACAGAGTGAGACTCCATCTCAAAAAAAAAGAAAAAAAAAAAGCACACTGAAGTTTTCAAGTTACTTTTTATTTTTTTTGAGACAGGTCTCGCTCTGTTGCCCAGGCTGGAGTATAGTGGCACGATCATGGCTCACTCTGCAACGCAACCTCAACCTCCTGGGCCTAAGTGATCCTCCCACCTCAGCCTCCTGAATAGCTGGGACCGCAGGCACATGCCACCACGTCCAGCTAACTTTTTTATTTTGGGTGGAGACAGGGGTCTCCCTATGTTGCCCAGGCTGGTCTCAAACTCATGACCTCAAGCAATCCTCCTGCCTTGGCCTCCCAAAGTGCTGCAATTACAGCCATGAGCCACTGTGCTCAACCAACAATTTACTCTTAAATGTTGCTATATATACATATATATATCACACATACATATTTATGGATAGAGAATGTTAAGACAAAAATGGAAACCATCAGTGACTCTGGATAAAGGATTGTAGGAATTCCTTCCATTGTTCTTGTAATTTTTCTGCAACATTGAAATTATATCAGATTAAAAGGCCCTCCTCCAACAAAGCAAACAAACCTATGAGTGTGGCCAGGAATCAGGCAACACTTTGGCAAGAGCAACCGGGAGGCCTGTGCTTCCTGCTGGGGCCAGAGCCAGCCCCAAATACGTCCACCCAGGGCCTGCAGGAGGGCATGAATAGCGACCCTGTAGGGTAGGCCTGGTTGGCAAGAGCACGTATTATGCAAATTCTGTCAACAACTAGACCACAAGCTGGGTTGCAGTTCCTGGCAGAACTCATTATGTCCTTAGAGCAGAGAGGCCTTACAGCTGTTTCGTGTTAGATGATTCACAGACAACGTGCAGCAAACCGAAGAATCATTGGTGAATGTGTGAATTGCATTTGCATTTCATCTCTTTTCATAAAAATTATTGTTTAAGTCTGCTTTTGTTACAGCTCACTAATAAATGGAGTGTATTTGCATTTTTGCAAGGAGGCCTGAATTTTTAACACCTAATCATCTTTACCAAAGAGCAAGAATCGGCTAAAGTTTTCCCATTTAGTAAGAGTAGTAATTAAGACATACACCTTCCCTAAGCAATTCCTTTTCAAAAAGGAGCACACATTTAAAGATAACTCATTAATATCTCTTCTGAGGCTGTTTATCCAGTTTTGTCATGGCTCTAGAGCACAGGAATCTTTTTTTCTCCTCCATCTCTTTTTTAGCCAGTCTCTGAGAATCTCTGAGTTGCTAAGTATTATTTATTTCTTCCATTTTACCCCCAGGAGCTTAGCCATTTTTGATTTTTTGGCTTCGTTTTTTGAGCAACTTGAATGTCCCACACATCAAAGGCCAATTAGCTAAAAGACAGGCTTCTTCACACAACCCCTAGTTGATATCAACCTGTCTTTTTCTCAAAGCAACAGGAAGCCAGGTGGCCAGCTCTAAAACCAATCCCACCACATAACGTTTTTCCTAACCTCTGACTTACACCTCCGGGTTATGCCTGGTTAACCTTCTCGTTTTCCTCCTGGGGCCAAGAGTGAGCTGCTGAGGAGTGAAACAGACAAAGATTCACGTTCCTCTCCGGCCGCCTATGGGGAGCAGTTTCCAAACTCCCATCCCGGATCACGCAGGGGCGGGGCAGTGCTAGCCTGGGGAGCACCTGGCCGACATGACTGAAGAGGCCCTGCCCCAGAAAGGCCTCAAAAACACTCGTTAAAGCTAGGGCTGAGTCATCTGGGTGTGGAGGCTGTCGGGTCACATTCTTGAAACATAACAGGCAAACAGGACAGGCAGAGAACATCTAGACTGTGGATTCTGTAAAGCTTTTTCAAGGCCAGTTCACAGAAGCATTCCCTACTCTGTGAGCGTGAAATATAAAGGTGAATGCAGCCCCAGTGCCAGCACATAAGGCCAGTCAGTGCTATACAGGGTCAGCTTAGCCCTGGGCTGACCCTTAAGATCAGGAAAAAGTTATGGGGCAGTGACTTCTCAGCAAGTCTTTTCCATGTTTCTGGTGTCTTCGAATTCCTAGCTGAACAGAATTTATCAAAGCAGAAGGTAGCTGTTTATACCCCAGTTTACCCAGGCAAAGAGAAATGCTTTGGAATTGAGATATTTTCAGGGCATGAGTGGTTTAGATCTCTGAAACTGGAAGACGAAAATCCAGGTTATTAGAGATCAGCAGCACCTGAGAGGCAGGCTTCCTGGCACCTGAAGACTCACAGACAAGCCTTGGTAGCCTGGCTTGTTTTCCTTGCAGTTCAAAACCATTTCTTTGAGGTCATGATCTGAAAGGGGACACTGGACCCTGAGACCTAAATTCTGGTCCCTATGAGTAAATGCTTCAGACAGATCAAGTTGGGGAGCTTCCACTGAAAAACACTGAGACTAACACCCTGGTGTGACAGCCACACCTGTCTCCAAAGTGTACACACCACCCCACCAGGACATCACCAACCTGACATTTAATTAGCAATGAGACACTTGTTTTCACTCCTGTGGTCAAAGAATGGGGAAATAGATGCTTTCTGTCTCCTTGCCTTTGGTTATTTTTCTCCTACTTCCTGAGCTGGGCTGGGAGCAACAGAAAAGAGAAGGAAGGAGAAACCCAGCAAGGCAAGAGCAGCTCCTTCCCTTCTTTGACACATTTATGTTCTGCTCCTATAGTGGTGGAAGCAGGAAGTAGGGTGACTGGCCTGCTCCACTCACATTCTGATCATTTTCTCTACAAGGCAAGGATGGCTAGCACCTCCAGTTGTGTGGAATGCTTCTATCAGGGGCCTGTGTACGGTATCATTGACATCTGGAATGTCTCATTCAAGCAATGAGGGCCACGTGTGGTTGTGGATGGTGAGATAAAAATTCATCTTTGCCTCTGGAAAAACAGTCAGAAGGCATGCCTTCCTGAAGGCGGGCATATCCTCTCTAAATCCAGCATATTGTATAGCATTATGGAATAGAGCAGAAAAGAAACCTAACATTTGGCTGGGGGCTGGCTAACTGTACTGGAAATTTTAGCTATCTTCTCAATCTGCCACCAACTCTGAGGCAGATGGCCTTGTACCCGTTTTACAGACAAGGCAACTGGGGCTGTGGATTTGGCAAGGCGCTAGTTGCAGGACCTCAGGTAACTGGCAGAGTTAGGATGTGAACCTAGGTTGCTATCTACTCATCAAGCCTGTGTGTTCTCCATGGGACCAGGCATGCTGTGCTTGACTTTTCCACTGGTTCGACATTCAGGTCATTTGTTCATCCCTGGTCACCTACCACTTCTTCAGTTTTCCATGATTTCTTGAAGACTGCCAGGAGTGATTGTGAGGTCACTGGTGATTTGAATTTCATCTTTTTAATACATTTGATTTGAATTTTATATTTAAATATACTTGGATTTGATTTAAAAATTTTTTTTAACTATAATTAAAAACAGCCTAGGTATGGTGGCTCATGCCTATAATCCCAACACTTTGGGAGGCTGAGGTGGGAGGATCACTTGAGCCCAGGAGTTCAGGACCAGCCTGAGCAATGTAGGGAGTCCCTATCTCCATTATTTTTATTATTTTATTATTTTTATTTTTTAAAACTAGAGATGGGGGTCTCACTGTATTGGCCAGGCTGGTCTCAAACTCTTGGGCTCATGTGATCCTCCTGCCTCAGCCTCCCGAAGTGCTGGGATTATAGGAGTATGCCACTGCACCCAGCCTCCATTAAAAAAAATTTTTTTTCTTTAACCTGGTGGTTCATGCCTGTAATCCGAGTACTTGGGGAGGCCAAGGCGGGTGGATCACTTGCGGTCAGGAGTTCAAGACCAGCCTGGCCAACATGGTGAAATTCCTCTCTACTAAAAAAAAAAAAAAAATACAAAAATTAGCCAGGCATGGTGGCAGACACCTGTAATCCCAGCTACTTGGGAGGCTGAAGCAGGAGAATCACTTGAACCTGGGAGGCTTAAGAGACTCTGTCTCAAAAGAATAAACAAAAATGAAAATAAAAAAATTTAAAAACCTATAACTGAAAACACAATGTGTTGCTGTGCTAGGTACCAAATTATAATAATGCTGGCACATAACTTTTGCTGGCAGTCTTTTGAGCAAATCTTGGATTGAAGCTTTCTGGGCCCTTCCTTCTTTCCTCCCTGCCTCTCTCTCTGTCCCTCTCTCTTTCACTGACTCTTTCAGCTAACAGGACATTGAAGTATAATTAATCTACAGCAGAATGCACAATTCTTAAGCGTATAGCTCATGAATTTTCCCACATATATACTCCATATAATCACTACGTATAACAAGATATAGACAGTGTCCAACACTCTGGAAAGTTTCCTTGTGTCCCTTCCAAGTCAAGAGCACCGCCTCTTGTTACTATTCTTACTTCCATCATCAAAAATTACTGAGTTGTGCCACTGATTAGGAAGGTTAGGGGTCTGCCCTGGCCTTTTCTATCTGTTCCTGCGACAATGTTCCCGAGAAGACAACTGCTGCACAAGGCTCAGGATTTTTGGTTCATATTCTTGTCATGCCTCAGTTGTGCATTCACGAGCGATGTGTAACCCACCCTGAGGCTCTACTGCTTATGAAAAGTTTTGAGTATTTTGTGTTTTGTGTCCAACTTTTTATTTAGGACAAGAAATTTAATAGTCTTTTTTTGTTTGTTTGTTTGAGACAAGGTCTTCCTTGGTCACCCAGGCTGGAATGCAGTGGCACGATCTAGGCTCACTGCAGCCTCGACCTCCCAGGCTCAAGTGAGGTCAAGTACCTTCAGCCTCCCAAGTACCACATCCAGTTAATTTATAAACTTTTTTGCACAAAGTCTCACTATGTTGCCCAGGCTGATCTCAAACTTCTGGACTTAAGTGATTCTCTTGCCTTGGTCTCCCAAAGTGTTGGGATTACAGGCATAAGCCATGGCATCCAGCTTCAGTGGTCTTAATAATTCACTTTGAAAGTTAAAAAACGTTCTGGTATTCCTTTTCCAAATTGGATCAGTTTTAAGATGAGATAAATGACAAGGCAAGCTGTTTTTAAATATGTGTTTATCTTTTGCAACTAAAACAATATGAAGTAAATTAAATGCTGAGCTTGATAAAAGATTGCAATGGTTATGCCTGTATTATTTCAAATTTTGGTGTTCATCAAAATGGTAATTTTTCTCATAGATTGACTTTATGAGAAGTGAATGCTAAATGAATTTTAACTTAAATGTAGATTCATAAATTATTTCTTTTGTGTTTTTATCTTTTATTGTTTTTTGAGACAGAGTCTCACTCTGTTGCCCAGGCTGGAGTACAGTGGCTTGATCTCGGCTCACTACAACCTCCACCTCCTGGTTCAAGTGATTGTCCTGTCTCACCCTCCCCAGTAACTGGGATTACAGGCGCCCACCACCACACCCAGGTAATTCTTGTGTTTTTGTAGAGGTGGGGTCTCGCCATGTTGTCCAGGCCGGTCTGGAACTCCTGGCCTCAAGCGATCTGCCCGCCTCAGCCTCCCAAAGTGCTGGGGTTACAGGCGTGAGCCACTGCGCCCGGCCTCCTTGGTATTTTTATGTCTATTTTTTTAGATGGAGTCTCGCTCTGTCCCCCAGGCTGGAGTGCAGTGGCGCGATCAGCTCACTGCAACCTCCACCTCGCGGGTTCAAGCAATTCTCCTGCCTCAGCCTCCTGAGTAGCTGGGATTACAGACGTCCATCAACACGCCCAGCTAATTTTTGTATTTTTAGTAGAGATAGGGTTTCACCATGTTGGCCAGGCTGGTCTTGAACTGCCTACCTCAGGTGATCCACCCACCTTGGCCTCCCAAAGTGCTGGGATTACAGGCGTAAGCCACCTGCGCCTGGCCGGTATTTTTAAATTAGAGTTCTTCTAAGATTTATCTGAAAAAGTTACACTACTAAAAAATTTGCAACCCACACCCAAGGACATAATTTGTCTGGGCATAGAGACTTGATGGCACTTCAAGTAGCTGGATGAGCTTCTCTTAACATGCGATTTCTCTCAGGTTTACATTCTTCTTGACTGCCCTTGTTCCTTTCCTATTCTATTTGAAGCAAAATGGTTAACGTTCTTCCACTTTCACCAGGACAGCCCTATTTGCCCCTTCCTTGTCCTTGTTAGCCTGGTTTTATAAAGCCTCTTTTGCAGGGGTCGGAACAGTTAATAGCATTGGGGATTGTCGCTTGTTCCCTGTAGATGAAAAGTATTTTTCTATTGTTTAAAAAAAAATCGAGGTCATTCTCCAAAGTAATTTCCTGAAATAAAGCGTGGGAGGAAGTCATGGGCATGAGGATGAGTCATCAGGCAGCAGCACGAGGCTGCAGGCGTGAGCTGGGGAGCCCTGGCTCAGTCCTCCGCAGGCTTGGATCCCTGAGCGGAGCAGGCCACTGGGGCCTTCTGCCGTGAGAAGAGACCTACTGAGAGGCGGGGAGTGGGGGTGGGAGTGGTTGCTTCTGACCTGTAGGACAGTGGTCAGCGTGGGCGGGTGGAGGCACAGGAGAAGGCCGACAGGCCCTGGGTCCTAGGGCCACTCAGCTGCTGGAAAATGAAGTTCAGAGTTGTTTGGACTGTCTGAAGTAGGATAGAACCAGCCTTAGCCCTAGTTAGGTAACACATGGCAGAGGCACCTGAGCAAAGACGTGAGCTGGACCATGGGCTTCCTGGCAGGACTTCCACGGAGGAGGGCGAGGGGAGAGGAGCAAGGGAGCAGAAGGCAGCTTGCCGTCCACGAAGCCTCCTGAGGCCCCAGATGAGTCACCAGACAACAGCCTGTCTACTTAAAGCAACTGCTGGGCAACTGCTGAGTAGAACAGTCCCTAACCACATGAACACTGGGGAGGAGGTTCTGAAAGACGCTGCTGGGTGCAAGGTCCCTAACTAGGGTAATCCAATTTCACTCCAGGCTAACATGAGAAATTATGACTCCAGCAGCCAATCCTGTGGGCCGTGAGAGAGTGGGAGAGGGATTTTCCAGATATAAGTCCCACTAGAGCTTCTTTTTTTTTTTTTTTTTTGATACGGAGTCTCACTCTGTTATCCACGCTGGAGTGCAGTGGCACCATCTCGGCTCACTGCAAGCTCCGCCTCCCGGGTTCAAGCGATTCTGTTGCCCCAGCCTCCTGAGCAGATGGGACTACAGATGTGCACCACCATGCCCAGCTAATTTTTGTATTTTTAGTAGAGACAGGGTTTCACTATGTCGGCCAGGCTGGTCTCGAACTCCTGACCTCATGATTCTCCTGCCTTGGCCTCCTAAAGTGTTGGGATCACTGGCATAAGCCACAGCTTCCGGCTGAGTCCCACTAGAGCTTCTAAGAAGAAATTAGGGAAGCAGGATTATGAGAGGCCTGGTCCCACTCACAGTGTGCGACATCACTGATGACTATGCTTGGTTACCTGCCTTGTTATTTGCTACCTTTGTTATTGTCTATTTCTTGGTAATTAGTAGTACACTATAGTGATTAGGAGTGATCAAGAAGATGCCTGGCTTCATATTCCAACTTTGTCGTTTACTAACTGTGAACTTGGCCGAGTTTTTTTTTTTTTGCTTGTTTGTTTTGTTTTGAGACAGGATCTCTCTCTGTCACCCAGGCTGGAGTGCAGTGGCGTGATCTCAGCTCACTGCAACCTCCACCTCCTGGAATCAAGGGATCCTCCCACCTTAGCCTCCCAAGTAGCTGAGATACACGTGTGCACCATCACACCTGGCTAATTTTTGTATTTTTTGTAGAGATGGTGTTTCACCATGTTGCCCAGGCTGGTCTTGAAGCCCTGGGCTCAAGCCATCACCCACCTTGGCCTCCCAAAGTGCTGGGATTACAGGCATGAGCCACCTCCTGACCTCAGGTGATCCACCTGCCTCAGCCTCCCAAAGTGTTGGGATTACAGGCATGAGCCACTGTGGCCAGTCCAGTTTCAATTTCTTTATTTGTAAATTTGTAATAATGACAGGACTAGCTCTTAGCCAGAAGCAGCAGCTCTTGCCTGTAATCCCAGCACTTTGGGAAGTTGAGGTGGATGGATCACTTGAGGCCAAGAGTTTGAGATCAGCCTCAGCAACATGGCAAGACCCCCATCTCTACAAAAAATATAAAAAATTATCCAGGTGTGGTGGCACACACCTGTGGTCCTAGCTACTTAGGAGGCTGAGGTGGGAAGATCGCCTGAGCCCATGAATTCAAGGCTGCAGTGAGCTATGATCACACCACTGCACTCTAGCCTGGGTGAAAGAGCAAGATCCTGTCTCAAAAAAAAAAAAAAAAAAAAAAAAAAGATAGGACCAACTGTATGGTAGACACATCTGTGTATGGGAGACACGCCTGACAGCAATAACCTAAACATTCCCTGAGAATGACACTGTATGGCAGATGCACCTGAATGTGTATGCTGAGTCCCAAGCATGCCAACTCAGAGATTCATTCCTTATCTATAAGGAACATCTGAGCTCTTGTCCTGACCATGGAATGCTGTAGAGGGGATCAAGGCCCTTTGTGTTGGTTTAAGTGAAGGTTGCCAGGTGGTGGTTGTCAGGGGATGGGTGTTAAGTGAAAATGCTATATAAACTGCATGCTTTTTTTTTTTTTTTTTTTTTTTTGAGATGGAGTCTCTCTCTGTTGCCCAGGCTGGAGTGGAGTGGCACGATCTCGGCTCACTGCAAGCTCCGCCTCCCAGGTTCAAGCCATTCTCCTGCCTCAGACTCCCAAGTAGCTGGGACTACAGGCGCCCACCACTGCGCCCGGCTAATTTTTTATATTTTTAGTAGAGATGGAGTTTCACCGTGTTAGCCATGATGGTCTCGATCTCCTGACCTTGTGATCCTCCCGCCTCGGTCTCCCAAAGTGCTGGGATTACAGGCGTGAGCCACCGCGCTTGGCCAACTGCATGCATTTTTACAAGCAGTGGCAATTCTCCTGTCCAGTTCACCTCCATCAGACCACTCTTTATGTAAGTGCCCTTCAATAAACTCTATGTTGGCTGTGTGCAGTGGCTCCTGCTTATAATCCCAGCACGTTGGGAGGCTGAGGCAGGAGGATCCCTTGAGCCCAGGAGATTGAAAGCAGCCTGGGCAATATAGCAAGGCCCATCTCTAGTGAAAAAAAAAAAAAGAAAAAGAACAAAAAAATAACCCTATGTCTCATTCGCTGGGTCTCTTCTTTGGCCTCTCAGACATGGCACCATCCCCACTGGAAGTTTTTTTTTTTTTTAATTTTTAAAATATTTTAAATTTTTAATTTTTTTCTAGTCCCAAAAGTAACATCCTGACCTACTGGAGTTAATGGGGTCCAGTATGATAGGTGGTGAGCCCAGCAGGAGGTGGGAGAAAAGCCCCAGATGATGAGATTGGAAAAGGGGAGATCTGCAGGGGGAAATCCCAGGTTGGCTGTCCATGTCTATATGGGGCCCAAGAGCCGCTATCCTTGATGGATTGGGCCTAATGTGTGAGTACAGGGATGCTCTGCAAACACTGAAAGGTCTGGAAGGGTAGTTGCAGGGGGTAGATCTGACTGAGCAAGGCTCAGATTCCTGAGCTGTGGCAGCTGTAGTTGGCTGGCCGCTTCGGACCATGCTCTAAGGAGCCATAGAGGCTGAGCTCACAGCACAAGCAACGGTCCAACTGGGCACAGATGGTGGCTTCTCTTCAGGACAAAATGGACTGTTGAGCCTACAAAGAGCCGCCCCTTTCCTCCACCAGGGGCTTGCTGTGGCACATCCAAGATGAGCTCCCAAGAGCTTGGGAGAACCTTCTGTCGTATTCATTGTTCTTTTTGTTGTGGTGGTTTGTGTTGCTGCTGCGCTGGTGCCAGTGCTCCTCTGTATATCTGGCCCCAGGGAATGTGATGAGACTATGAGAGCTATTCAAGGGCGTGCTGGGGTGGGGCGTATGGTAGATGCACCTGTGCGTGGCAGAAGCACCTGACAGTAATAACTTAAGCCTACCCTGAGAATGACCCTGTATGGCAGATGCACCTGAATGTGTGTTCAGAGTTCCCAGTGCGGCCAACCCAAAGATTCATTATATCTTTTTTTATTTTATTTTTGAGACAGAGTCTTGCTCTGTCACCCAGGCTGCAACCTCTGCCTCCTGGGTTCAAGCCATTCTCCTGCCTCAGCCTCCTCAGTAGCTGGGGTTACAGGCCCGCACCACCACGCCTGGCTAATTTTTGTATTTTTAGTAGAGACAGGGTTTCGCCATGTTGGCCAGGCTGGTCTTGAACTCCTCACCTCAAGTGATCTGCCTGCCTCGGCCTCCCAAAGTGCTGGGATTATAGGCGTGAGCCACCACGCCCGGCATCATTATATTTTATCTATGAGGAACATCTGAGAGCCTGGGCCATCCTGTGGAATGGGCTGTGCAGGGGATCAAGGCCCTTTGTTTTGGGTTAAATGAAGGTTGCCAGGTGGAGGTTGTTAGGGGAAGGGTACTAAATGTAAACACTATAGAAACTGCATGCTTTCTGTAGGTGCTGGTGCTTCTCTGGCCCAGCCTGCTGCCACTGGACCACCCTGTATAAGTTCCTCTCAATAAACCCCCTATCTCATCTATTGGCTTTGGGTCTCTTCTTCAGCCTCTTGAACCTGATGCCATCCCTATTGGGGTTAATAGGGGTCTGGCATGATACCAACTCTTTTTTTTTTTTGAGACGGAATCTCACTGTGTCACCCAGGTTGGAGTGCAGTGGCACCGTCTTGGCTCACTGCAACCTCTGCCTCCCGGACGAGAGATTCTCCTGCCTCAACCTCCAGAGTACCTGGGACCACAGGCATGCACCACAGCACCTGGCTAACTTTTGTATTTTTGTAGGGATGGGGTTTCATCATGTTGGCCAGGCTGGTCTTGAACTCCTGACCTCAAGTGATCCACCTGCCTCGGCCTCCCAAAGTGCTGGGATTACAGGCATGAGCCACCACTCCCAGCCCAACACCAACTCTTGAGGTAAAAATGTTTAAGTGAGAATGTGTATAAAGCCCTTGGCATTGGTAAGGGTGATGATGAGGATAGAAATAATAGTAGCAAGAGAAACAGTGATGGTGACAAGCCAAATAGCAGTTGTGTGCTGGTTTGGGGATGGGGGAGTGGATGGGAAGGTGGGGAAGGGCTGTCCTGCAAGCTTGGGGCCCAAGGGAATCTGAGAGGAAGAGCTTCCTACTGTGATTAGCCTCTGAGGGCCTCATGATCCCAGGCTGGTTCCTTTCAACCTGCCTACAGCTCTGGAAATCCTCCCTTCACTCAGGACACTTTTTATTTTATTTTATTTTTATTTTACTTATTTTTCTTTTTTTGAGATGGAGTCTCGCTCTGTCGCCCAGGCTGGAGTGCAGTGGCGTGATCTCAGCTCACTGCAACCTCTGCCTCCTGGGTTCAAGCGATTCTCCTGCCTCAGCCTCCCAAGTAGCTGGGATTACAGGCACCCACCACCATGCCCGGCTAATTTTTGTATTTTCAGTAGAGACGGGGTTTCACCATGTTGGCCAGGCTGGTCTCGAACTCCTATCCTCAGGTGATCTGCCCACCTCAGCTTCCCAAAGTGCTGGGATTACAGGCGTGAGCCACCGTGCCCCGCCCACTTAGGACTCTTCATTGAAGCCATCTGAGTGGATTCTGTCTCCTGCTGGGACCTCAACTAATCCAGTATTTGATGATTGCTGTGTGTCCTTCCGTCAGTCTTTTGAGATGGTCCTCAAACCAGCGCCTTCTCTGAACTTCCCTTGGCTTCTTCCCTTGGCTGTAGACACTAACATTTCCTGAAGCACCCAGGTGTGACTTTTAGTCATGCTTGATTGATGCTTCCCTCTCCCTGAGCCCCCACATCCTGACACTCTTACCCCCACCAATCTCTCATGCCCACTCCTTCCTTTCCCTTCCCCTGGCTTCTCCTTCCCTTCCCTTCCCCTGGCTTCTCTTTCCCATTCCGAACTTCCTTCCTCCCCCTTGGGCTGTGACAGGAGTCTCCTAACTCGACCCCCACGCTCTTCTACACCCTCATTCAGATGAATCTCTCTAAAGCTGGAGCTTTCCTGTTTCTTTCTTTTCCTTTTTTGAGACTTTTTTAGACAAGGTCTCGCTCAGTCACCTGGGCTGGAGTGCCGTGGCACGGCTCACCGCAGCCTCGACCTCCCAGGCTCAAGCCATTCTCCAGACTCAGCCTCCCAAGTAGCTGGGACTACAGGCACACACCACCATGCCCGGCTAATTTTTTGTAGAGACGGGATTTCACCATGTTGCTCAGGCTGGTCTGGAACTCCTGAGCTCAAGTGATCTGCCCACCTTGGCCTCCCAAAGTGCTGGGACTTATAGGCATGGACCACCATGCCTGGCTAAAGCTGGAGCTGTCAAGCCTTTTTGACCGTGACTCATAATAAGAAATATATACATATACTTGAGACAGGGTCTCGCTCTGTTGCCTAGGATGGAGTGCAGTGGCATGATCATGGCTCACAATCACAGCTCACTGCAGCCTTGACCTCCCAGGCTCAAGTGATCCTCTGCAGTTGCTGGGACTACAGGTGTGTACCACCACATCCGGCTAATTTTTTATTTTTATTTTTAGTAGAGATGAGGTCTCGCCATGTTGCCCAGGCTGGTCTCAAACTCCTGAACTCAAGTGATCCTCCCAAAGTGCCGGCATTACAGGCATGAGCCACTGTTGCCAGCCAAGAACTATATTTTACCTTACAACCCAATACACACACACAAAACTCACAAAGCAATACTGCATTCTGTTTTATTCATGATCCACTAAATTGACTTTGTGGCTCAATAACGGGTCATATCCCACAGTTTGAAAACACTGCCTCAAAGCATAGCTCCGATTATGCCACTGCTCCAGGGAAAGCTTTCAGTTATCTCTGGCATCCACTGAATTGAGTACAAGTTTAACCTGGCATTAAAGGTCTTTTATAGGATGACCCCAAGTTGTCTGTCTAAACATTTCTCTCCCTACCTCCAATTATGCCATTTAACCTGTCCGGTTCTTAGTGGTCTAATATATTGCATGGGAATAAAAATACTTTCCTAGCCTGGAAGCCAGGGGTAGACCAGATGGTCCATTTAGTTTCCTTCATCTATAAGAGCTATGACTCTGGGATTGTAAGTACCCAATATCAATGACCAAACACATCTCCTCTCTGGTGTTTGTGCATTCTCATGTCTTTATCTGTGTTCATGTTGTTTCCTTTAGTCTCTATCCATCTCCCTCTATCTTCCTGTGTTGAAATCCCAACAAAGTCCAACGAGAGCAAAGGACACAGGAAGGAAAGGTAGGAACTTACTCAAGGAATGCAATTAGTCCACTAAGGCCAGAGACATGAAGGCTGGCATATTACCTGAGATGGGCTGGGCTAGATCACACCAAACCAAGAGCCTCAGGCTGAGATTTTACCTTAAATTAGAAGTCATAGGGAGTCAGGGCTAGCTTCTGGGCAGGTGTGACATGTTCAAAGGTGAGGTTGAGCCAGGGGTGGTGGCTCACGCCTGTAATCCCAGCACTTTGGGAGCCTGAGGCGGGTGGATCATTTGAAGTCAGGAGTTTGAGACCAGCCTGGCCAACATGGTGAAACCCTGTCTCTACTAAAAATACAAAAATTAGCTGGGCGTGGTGGCGGGCGCCTGTAACCCCAGCTACTCGGGAGGCTGAGGCAGGAGAATTGCTTGAACCCAGGAGGCAGAGGTTGCCGTGAGCCAAGATCACGCCACTGGACTCCAGCCTCAGTGACAAAGTGAGACCCTGTCTCAAAAAAAAACAAGAACAAAAAAACGTGGTGAGGTTGAAGGCTGATTTACCTGGAGCTGGGGACATAAGAGGTTACTTCAACAGTGAAATGGACAGAGCCTAGATATAATTAGTATCAGGCCAGACCATGGATGAATTCTAGAAATCCAGGCAGGCAGCATCTGGGAGGTATGGCTTTGGCTACAGATGAGTGTGCTGGAGAGCAGGAGGGACACGGTGTCAAGGTAAAAGGGGCAGGCCTGAGCAGTGAGTGCCTGGCTGGAACACAGTGCAGGGACACAGCCAGGGACTGGGACTTGGGAGCAGGAGGCCATCCGTGGGAGGCTGATGAGAGCTGAGCTTCTGACAGCAAATAAAAGATGTTACTCTTAACTCAGTTCCTGCTGTGTGACGGGTTCCCTAGAAAGCTCTCTGGGGGGGGGGGGAGGGGGGAGGGATAGCATTAGGAGAAATACCTAATGTAAATGATGAATTAATGGGTGCAGCAAACCAACATGGCACATGCGTAAATGTGTAACAAACCTGCACGTTGTGCACATGTACCCTAGGACTTAAAGTATACTAAAAAAAAAAAAAAAAAGAAGAAGAAGAAGAAAGTACTCTATGGAACCCATTGCTTGTCATCCATCTGGCACCAAAACCTAAACTCTGAATGATACCAAACTACCACCAAGGTCTCTAAGGCACAGATGCAAATTCTCTCTCCTCCTGGGACCTAGCACAGTGCTTGCACAGAGCAGGCCTTGACAGGTTTTTGTTGGGTAGAATTGCAAAGGGATTATCGTCGTTATCATCCCATGGATAACACTGTTTGCTTCTCTGTCTTCATGGGTGACTTTTTTTGTGTCCTGGGCCTGAACTGTCTTCTAAATACTAGAGCTCTGTGGCCGGTTATGTTAATATTCTGATTTCATTAACCTAAATGCATTTCTAGATGAAAGCCTTGATACGCAGCTTCAACAACTGGTGCCAGTGTGAACTGGCAAGCCAGCAGCATTACTGTGCTGTTGTCTTTCATCCCAGAGCCCTTGAGGAGCAGTGAGAACTCAGTACTGTGGTGAAACATTACCTATGAAGAGTCATGAGACTTGCTTCCTTCTGGTGCAGAAGAAACTGTTACCAAGCAAGGGTTGTAGAAGCCAATACTGTGGCAATGGCTTTTGAGATAAGAAAAAACCTTATCACCAGTTGACTGGCAAGGACACAGGAGGCAACATTCAACTCTGTCGCCGGGATCTGGGTGGTTGGGTCAAACTTTTGTGGCATTTCTAACTAGTCCCAGTCCCCCATGGCAGCCAGTCTGCTATGCAGGTGGTGCTAACAATGAGGAGGCTAAACTCTTCCCATGGCACGTACCAGGGCAATTTTGACTGTGTGACATGGTCGAAGGTGAGGCTGAACACCCTAACAGCTGTTCAGCTGTTGCTGTAACAACTTAGGCAATGGTTAATTGGTTTGATCCGGTCCCATGGTTACAAAACCAGCACTGTTATTTTTCTTTTCATGCACTCCAGATATGCCATAAACGTTCCAGTCCCTCCCACCAACGTGTCAAGGGGCTCAGTTGCTGAGTGCGTCCATTCAAGGAGCAGTGTCAGGAGAAAGCTGAGTCCTGGGCTGGAGCTGCTGCATCTGTGTGGCTCCCACTGTCATTTCGGCAGCCCTGAAACAGGTGGGGGAAGCTGGCTGGGGTCTGTTTGGAGCAGCATACTCTTGGGGTGAACAGGGAACATTTGACTGCCAGGAAAAGGGTGTAAAACACTTTCCCTTGGTAATCTCTCCATGAGCATCGGTTATTCAGAATCCATAAGTCCTGCTTATTCATTAACACTCACTAAAAGCTCCTTTGCTAACCCAGAAGCAGAGGGAAGGCTGGCCCATTCCACTTTTGAGGCACAAGGTATACTAAAAAAAAAAAAAAAAAAAGTACAAATGGGCCGGGCACGGTAGCTCATGCCTGTACTGCCAGCACTTTGGGAGGCTGGGGTGGGTGGATCACTTGAGGTCAGGAGTTCAAGACCAGCCTGGCCAACATGGTGAAACCCCATCTCTACTAAAAATAAAAATTAAAAAAAATAGCCGGGCATGGTGGCACATGCCTGTAATCCCAGCTACTTGGGAGGCTGAGGCAGGAGAATCACTTGAACCTGGGAGGCAGAGGTTGCAATGAGCCAAGATCACGCCACTGTACTTCAGCCTGGGCAACAGAGCAAGATTCCATCTCAAAAAACTTTTTTTTTAAAGTACAAAGGGCTAAACAACATTTTTAAATTGTGGTTTATTTTAATGTTTATTTTTAAAATTAAAATTGTATAATGAATATTGCCTTTCCCTCCTGTAGGTATACCTCTGCGTCTGAGTTCATAACCTCACTTTCAGATAGCTCAAAAGCCCATATTTGAGGCCCTTTATGGATATGGTGACTGGATCTATCCCCACCCATGGCTGGTCCCTTGTCCCCATCCCCCATCAGCTCCCTTGCCATGTCATGATGCTCAGAGGGCTGAACTGTGGTTTATTACGTGTGTCTTAGACTAATGCCAGACTATCCACCTCCTGCGCAACCACGGAGGAGACTCCCTTTGACTTCAAATTGAGCCTGGAGCTTTGATCTGCCCTGAGAGGCTCACACTCAGATGCAGGACTCTGTTGTGGTCTGAGGCAACTCTTCTAGGTTGGGAAAGCCTTTCCTGCCCAGCCGACAGTAAACCATGCTATTTGGCTTAAGTTATATCTATGGTTTCCCCACATGCATTAGAACTGTGGGGAACACCCTCTATGTATATGCTTGGACATGCTCATCTGTAGCAATAGGGAAAGAAGGGATTCCCCAGGGAACCTCTTTTGCTTGGCCACATGATAAACTCCTCTAAAGCCACAGAGTCAGGAATAGGAGGTGCCGTGATGTCCAAACACAGAAGCACATGATCTGATTTCCATTGTGATAATATGAGGAACTGCCAGCGCCCTTTTTTTAAAACAACAAAGAGACCTAACCCACAATACGAATAGATTTACCAGATTTTGGTTTTAGGAAACAATGGATATGAGGGACTCATTTCTTTGGAATCTGCTTCTTCTACAGCTTGGTGTTTCGGGGGGACCCAAACTGGGGCCTCCCACAAGGCCAACCGAAGTCTGAGGCAAAACCTTGCTGGATTTCCTTACTAAGACCTTTTCTCTAAGAATTTCAAATTTGTTTTGAGAGAGTTAAGGAGTTAGCACTTCCCTGACAACACTTAAGAAGAAAAGGGCTTCCATTTCTTCTGGTAGTAGAAGATCTGAGCCCTGTGGCCTGTTCTGTGTCCTTGGTGGTGGATTGATTCCTGCCCCAGGGTTCACTGACAGCTGAAAATGTGAAGGGACGCTGAGGAACAGGGAGTGATGCAGTTAGAGGGAGCTCTCTAAAGAACTTGGTAACCCAGAAATTCTTCATGTGTAAAAATGCCTACCCATCCCAAAAAGCCGATAAGAAGGAGCAGGCAAAATAACAGAGTCTCTAATATTGCTAAAGGAATAAAAATACTTTTTTTTCACATCAATTTCATCTTAATTACAAAGATGCATGAATGTGATGACGTAGCTGTCACTATCGTGTTTCCTGGCACACAGCTATGTTATTTTGTTTCCTTACAGGCTTGTAGCAAAGGAAAAAACATTAAAAAAATTTTAAGTCTCAAGGGGAAAAAAGACACAAGTGGAAGGAACATTTTTTTCTTCAGACCAGTTCACACTTGCATTTGAAAAAGTAGCACATCTCTTAACATATTTATCTTAGGAAGCTTCCACCCCGCCCAGGAGAAATGCTAGAAATTATGGCTAGTTACTTTGTGTTTATCTTGGGTATTAGCTCTTGAAAGAAGAGAAAATTATAATGGAAGTACCTGTCTATTATTAATTACTGAGCTTCAGAAATCCTGTCACATGACTTCTAGTGTGTCTTTCTAAAGGAAATAATGACCATGGCCTTCCCTTCCTTACTTTGCCTTTAAGAATGAAAATTCTGGTGTAGCTTTTATATGAATTCTGGGGAATTTGATCATGACTATAGCAGTTCCTTCACTCCTGTTCCCACCACCCTCTTTCTCACCAACTAAAGGTGATTTTCTCCATCTCCTGCCATCAAGGACATTGGCAGACTGGGCAAAGTGGTGCACAGGAGTTTGAGGCTGCAGTGAGCTATGATTACACCACCGCACTCCAGCCTGGGCCACCGAGAAAGACCCTGTCTCTAAATAAATAGAACATCGACGCTGGTGACTCCTTCATATCTAGGAAAAAGAGATGTTCTGGCATTTATTCACTTTATTTGGCATGTATTCATTTAGTGCCTGGTATTTTGCTAGGCACTGGGGATAAAAGAGTGACCAAAAAAGGACAGAGCCCTATTATTAAGTGGTAAGAATCATACCAATAAATATGAAATGACACTCTGACAAATCCTATTCTTTCCAAGGAGAAATCCTGCTTGTTCTTAACTCATTCCTTCCTAACCTTCTTGTCCCTCTGCAACTGCAGCCTTAACCTGTTCACCTGATCCTTCCTCCCAATCAGCAACATGCTCTGGTTTCCCCTTTTAACCCTGCCTCCAAATAGTCTTACCTTCCTCACCTTCTTTTTAGCCAACAAACCATGTAAGTTGGTACCCACTGGCTTTCTCCAACCTACTGGAAATTCTGTCTCAGGACTGGCCACAAAGGCCTCGCCATTACTGAATCCTCACCGCAGCCTTCACTGTGGCTCCTGATCTCTCCACTGTGTCTAACGCCCTGACTGCCTCCACCTGGAAAAGTTCTTCCCCCATCAGACAAGCCTCTCTTCTTTCTCCTTACACCACATAGGGACTGGTGTTCCCCAGGTTCCAGTCTTGGCCCTGTTCTGTCTTCTGTCCATTCTGGGAGATGGCACTGAGTTTCAAGCCTTCAATGGCACTCTCCCCTACACCTCCAATTTGAGTTTCTCCTGAGCTCAGACCCATGTTTTCATGTCAGCCATTATTCTTGAATGCCCTGTTGGACTTCAAATCTGAAGATGTGCAAAACAAACCTCATGGTTTTCCCTCCCAACCCAGTCTTTCTCTGTTCTCCGTCACCATCCACAGCATGGCTTTCCATTCAGGGACCCATAGCAGAAACTTCCAAGTTATCTGTGACTACATTTTTTTTTTCACCTTATTGGGACATTCTGTCTGCCATTGTGTTCACCTGAAAATGTCTGTCACAATGAGAGATGACAAATAGGTTTCATCTAATGTACCAGCTGTGACTGATTGGCAAGTGGCTGCCTGGAGCACTGTGTTGAGAAAGATTCTGAGGCAGCATCTGACCTCAGCAAGAAAAAGTAGCGTGATTTGTTATCACCTCTGCCTTGGGTGGTGGAAGGCATGCCAGGCATTTGCCATCTGGCTGCAAACTTCACCAGTAAGCAAATGGAGATAAGCTCCTCCGGGTCCCATCGCCACTGCCCTGGGTTCTCTCTTAAGAGTGTTGCAATAACCTCTCTTGGTCTTCTCCTTTCTGTCTCTCTTCCCCTTCCCCACCCAGCCCTTGCATTATCCCTCTAGGGCAAATTTCTCCTACTGGGTTAAAGCACATGGCATTAAAGGCCATTGCGAATGTGACTACAGCACCCCTCCCTTCCTCCAAACGTCCCATGTGCTCCCGGATCAGGTAGTAGGGCATTGTGGTTCACAGCATGGACTCGAGGCCTTCCTGCCTGGTTTCAAACCCCAAATCTGACACTTACCAGTTGTGTGACCCTGATTAAGTTATTTGACTCTCTGTGACTCTGTTTTCTCAGCAGCAAAATGAGAAGATCTACCTTATAGGTTTGTTGTGAGCATTAAATGAGTTAAAGTATAGAAAATGCCCAGAATATCTGCAGGCATATGATAAACCGAATGTCAATGTTCAGTCTTATTGCTACCACACCCGCACCCTAATCCTCATTGGCTTTGATCAGGCTGTTTCCACGGGCCTGCCCCACCTTTCCCAACTCTCAGGAAGAATGAAGTGTTCCTCGCGTTGTCCTTCCATAGCACGGGTAATATTCCTCTACTCCAGCAGTTATTGCATTGTACTGGGGTTAGTTGTTCATGTGTGTGTCTGATCCAACAGTTGGGGGATCCTTGGGGGCAGGGAACATGTCTTTCCTACTTTTGTGTCCTCTACTTCTTTTTTTTTTTTTTTTTTGAGACGGACTCTCGATCTGTTGCCAGGCTGCAGTGGCGTGATCTTGGCTCACTGCAAACTCTGTCTCCCAGGTTCAAGGGATTCTCCTGCCTCAGCCTCCCTAGTAGCTGGGACTACAGGCACTTGTTACCACGCCTGGCTATTTTTTTTTTTTTTTTTGTATTTTTAGTAGAGACAGGGTTTCACCATGTTGGCCAGGCTGGCCTCGAATTCCTGACCTTGTGATCCGCCCGCCTCGGCCTCCCAAAATGCTGGCATTACAGGCATGAGCCACCGTGCCCAGCCTGTGTCCTCTACTTCTACCAGAGCAGAAGTCTGGAGGACAGTAGATATGATAATGTGTGAATGATGACATGTTAAATAACTGAATGAATGAATGAATTGGCAGCAGAGACAGAACGAGCACTGGGTGCTAATAATGGTTATAGTGGAAACTTGTTTATCTCCAAGGGAGATAATAAACAAAAGTTTACCTCCTGGAATACTATCTCCATAGCAGGTAAATTCTTTCTTGAATACCAGTACATCTCCAGGAATCAGTTACCCAGCTCTGACTTTTCCTTTGCCCCTAGAAAGGGCTTTTGTTAACTTAAATGTAATCGTGCTCATTCTCATCTCTATAAACATAAATTGCACTTTTTATGGCCTATATGGCCTAGTTCCTCCCCCATCTGTAATTCTATGCTAGGTATAGAACAAACAGAAACTTCTTACTCAATTGTAAGACCTCTGACCTTTACTCTCAAAGGACCAGGGGCCAGTAGTGCTGAGGATTTCATGATTGCTGCTAATGATAACGAGGCATTTGGAGAGCTCTGACTTGCAACCTGGATGAGAAAGAATTAGCTCTTTTCTGAAAACTACCTGCCTCATGCTCTTGCTATGATTTAGATTGTGCATTTGTAGTCAATAGACTTCCACAGTTTATAGTAAACAGCCAGACCTAACTACACGTCTCTTAGCTTCTCTGTGAAGTTTGCAACCTTGGTTCTGCCCTTGGCAGAAGCACATGGCACGCCCTTCAAAAGTGCAGAGAGGGGCAAATCCTCCTCCACGTTCCCTGATTTTCTGCACAAACTAGATCTCCCCAGCTCATTCCACAGAGATATTTATGGTTGCTGGCTAGCAGACATATTGAAAATATTCATGGCACGTTGCCAATGTGCAGATCTGGAAGAAACAGGAGCCTGTCAGTCCTGTTCCACCCCACCCTGCCACAGCCCTGGCAAGCCTCATGGGTCAGTTTGCACTGTGAACACTCCCACTTCATTGCAGGCGACGCTTATCAATAGCGGCCCTGGCCTCCTCCCTCTGCTCTCTGTAACATAACAGGCTGGCAGCGCCCAGAGAGGATTTTGACTATTCCAGTTTTAGTAAAAGGCTGGGGGAAATCCATATAAGCAAGTCTATTGTTCTTGGGGAGAAAAAGAGTATGACTTTGGTGTAGAGAAAAGAGGACAGAATCTGCAGAGGGACAGGTAGGAGGCAGGATGACAGTCCTGGAGAATGCCACAGGTGGAGGCCAGAACATGGTGGATCCGGGCAAATCTGAGCTGACAGTGGGCCAGGATGAGCTGCCTCGCAGGGAAGGTGCAGCCCAACCCCAGCTTCCCAGGAAAGACTTCCCCCTGAGTTGTAAGCCAGCAGTGTGGGAATCAGTGGGTGGGCAGTGTGGGATTCAGTGGGGAAATCCTACAACATGAGTCAAATAGCAGTAACCATGGTGACAACACTGAAAGCCAGCTCTCTCTGGCTCACGTCTCCACCAGCACACACACAGGACCCAGCCCTCCACAGTCAGGTGGCCTCCAGTGAGGCCCCATTTGGGTCTATATTCTGTATGAGGGCCCCTTGGTGGCAAGTGACAGAGACAAGCGTCAGCAAGCCTGAGCAGAAAAAGGATGCGAAAAGGGGAGGTGGGCCGGACGCGGTGGCTCACGCCTGCAGTCTCAGCACTTTGGGAGGCTGAGGTGGATGGATTGCTTGAGCCCAGGAGTTCAAGACCAGCCTGGAAAACATGGCGAAACCTCATCTCTACAAAAAATACAAAAATTAACCCGGCATGGTGGCACGCGCTTGTAGTTCCAGCTACGTGGGAGGCAGAGATGGGAGATTCACTTGAGCCCAGGAAGTCAAGGCTGAAGTGAGCCATGATCACGCCACTGCACTCCAGCCTGGGCAACAGAGTGAGACCCTGTCTCCAAAAAAAAAAAAAAAAAAGTGTTGGGGGAAGTTGGGGTTGGATTCCTTGGATTCAGAATCTGAGGAAAAAAAGAGGAAGGGTGTGGGGGCAAGAGCAATACACAAAATCCAAATGCAGATGTGAGACCAGGCCTCAGGAATTTAAATACTGCAGGACTCTCTCTGTCTTGTCCCTTCCCTCTGTACAGCTTCTCAACTCATCTCTGCAGACCGGCTTGCTCTACTCTTCCTTTATCATGGCAGAATGTGCTTGGCTCCCAGGCTGACATGGTGCAGATGCAGCCACACATACCAACTGACTCACAATCCGTCAGGGGCCCAAACTCAAGCTTTCAGGTGAGAGAAACCAAATACTCAGCTGCGTTAGGAATTCCTTCTGATTCTTGCTGCAGGTGAGCCGTGACTATTGGGGCCAGTGGCGTGGGGGGGAGGTAAGAGGAATTTATCAAGACAGTTGTAGATAAAGAAAGGCAGATTTATTAGAAAAAGTATAAAAATATGTTGCAAGGAAGCAATGGGCAGGCTGGCAAAAGAGAAGCTGAGTGAAAGGAGACAAAGGCTGGCTGGGGATTTTATAGGATGGAGCTCGTGCTGCGTGCTGAAGAGTTTTGTGTAGTACTGATGATGCCAAGGTTGCAGTGAGCTAACGTGCATTTTTTCTATCAGCCAAGGGTCTAGAGAGAGCTGGGAGCAGGCAGATTGTGAGTTATTTGCGCAAGAGGGCTATGTGTCCTGGACCATGAAGAAAGGCAGACTTATAGCTTATCTGCCTTTTTTTTTTTTTTTTTTTTTTTAGACAGAATCTCACTCTGTTGCCCAGGCTGGACTACAGGCACCTGCCACCATGCCTGGCTAATTTTTGTATTTTTAGTAGAGATGGGGTTTCACCATGTTGGCCAGGCTGTTCTCGAACTCCTGACCTCAAGCGATCCACCCATCTCTGCCTCCCAAAGTGCTGGGATTACAGGCGTGAGCCACCGCGCCCAGCCTGCTGTCTCTTTTTGCTTTCCCTTGATCCCACCAGCCCAATTCTCCACTTCCCCCAGCCCCCAATTAGGACTCCACAATTCTCCCAACTCCACTTAAGGTGAGAGGTCATGAAGTGCTAGCTCGGTTGCCGGGCCACTTTATGAGGATGGCAGGGAGGGGATTCTGAGAGGAGTGGACAGGAGGTGCCCCATGGGTGTCTATGCTGGCACAGGTCCCTGTTGCAACTCACAGTGTTATTCTTGCCATTCCCACTTTCTCGGATCTTTACAAGCCTGCCCCTACTCCTTATTTAGGTCTCAGCTCAAATACCACCTCCTTGGAGAAATCTCTGCTGACCACACTTGCTGAACTGACAGCCAGCTCCTCCCCTGCCCTTCTCTGATATGGGATGAATTGTGTCCCTCTCTCTTTGCAAAAACATTTATGTCAGTACCATCCGAGCCCCGGATACGTCAGAATGTGACTGTTTTTGGAGATAGGGCCTTTAAGGGGGCAATTAAGTTAAAATGAGGTCTTAATCTAATACGAATGTGTCCTTCTAACAAGAGGAGATTAGGACACAGACAGGCATATAAGAA
The DNA here is from genome assembly GCF_000001405.40 of Homo sapiens. Lineage (NCBI taxonomy): Eukaryota > Metazoa > Chordata > Mammalia > Primates > Hominidae > Homo > Homo sapiens. Next base: position 55,125,335 of record NC_000014.9, read on the forward strand.
AGACCATGTGAAGATATAGAGAGACGTAAAAGCCAAGGAGAGAGGCCTCAGAAGAAACCCACCCTTCCAACATCTGATCTTGGACTTCTGGCCTCCAGAATTGGGAGAAAATAAATTTCTGTTATTTAAGTTACTCAGTTCCTGGTGCTTTGTTATGGCAGCCTTAGCAAGCTGGCACACTCTCTATCCCTTTCCCTGGTTTTATACTTCCTCAAGAGGCAGGTTAATGCTGTAGCGTGGTTAAGAGCGTAGCCCTGGGTGTGGCTGCAATAAGGGCAGTAGTAGTGGCAGCAGCCACTTCCTGTCTATAGACAGAAGTGACTGGTGGGAATGTGGGTTTGGTGATGGCTAGTGCTGAAGACAGGCCTGGGTTAGGCTTGAAGGACAAACAAGGAAGGTTAGGCTGAGGTGGCCAGGGCTGAGGTTGGGCTGGAGAAGGGGTTTTGCACCTGCGGTGGCACCTGGGACACCTCTTCTCCCTGATGCTGTTGGCCTGCCCATCCAAGGCAGGAGGGGCTAGCTCCCTTCTAAGCAGGTTCTGGCTCTCACTCTGTCCCAGGGGGCTCTAGTTGCAACCCAGGTGGTAAGACCTTGTAAACCATCATTGGGCACATTACTGCCACCAACCCTATTTCATTTGTTGACCAGGTTTTGGTGAGCCTGTTCATTCAGCAAGCTAGAAGGGGTGGATTTTGCAAAATAGTTGAGGCATATATTAGGCCCCCACTAAAGGCCTTGGATATGAGTAAGTACATATAGATAACTGGGACTAGAAACAGCAGACAGCCACAGTCATTTCGTTCTGAAACTGGAAATTACTTTGTCTTCAAGGCATAAATGGTTCCCCAGAACACTCAGCCTCTCTTTCAGTCCCTAAGTCTGCCAGCCACCCAGATTCCAGTTGTTGGCACCAGAAAGACCAAGTGCCCTGAGGCCTGACTCAACTCTTCACTTGTCACCCAGATGTGTTAACACCATGTAGACACAGAATTGCCAAACTTGCCTGGGCTGCCCAGGGTCCAAATGTGAAAACTGGAAAGCAGCCGCTTTGCTCTTTTCTGGCTGTTCCTGTATTCTGCTGTCTACACGACTTAATACCAAGATTTTTGTTTATATTTCATAGGAACTTCAGCTTTTGTGAGACATTCTTTCCCTATCTGGCCCACTGTAGTGCTAATTTCTGGGAAATTTCTCTCCTCTTTTCTGGCTTGTTCCAGGTTCACTCACTTTTTATATTTTCATAATTCTTCTATTCTCCTCTCTTTTTCCTTTCTCTCTGGTTCTATTTTCCTATTTAAAAGGTGACTTTAAAAAACTGGCTTTGCTGCCGGGCGCAGTGGCTCACGCCTGTAATCCCAGCACTTTGGGAGGCTGAGGTGGGCAGATCACCTGAGGTAGGGAGTTTGAGACTAGCCTGACCAACGTGGAGAAACCCCATCTCTACTAAAAATTGGCCAGGGTGGTGGTGCATGCCTGTAATCCCAGCTACTGGGGAGGCTGAGGCAGGAGGAGAATCACTTGAACCTGGGAGTGGAGGTTGCGGTGAGCCGAGCAAAACTCCGTCTCAAAAAAATAAAATAAATAAATAAATAATCGGCTCTGCTTTCTTCTCCAATTACTGTCTTTCTTTCTCTTTTCTGCTTATCCTTAAAGACTTTCCCTTTTTGTTCTCATCTTCATCTCCTACTCTCTTCTGGCTCTAACTGAAGTTCTCACGCAGCTTCCCTCCTGACCTTCTGGACAGCCACCTGCTTTCCCAAGTTTCCTCCTTTCCCTCCTGTGGAGATGCCTCTCTTAGAATCCTTGCTTTTATCAGCGGCTTACAATCTCTGCATCCGTAGAAACCAGACAGCCTTTTTGTTTGAGGGCTAACACTTGCCTTGTCCCTATTTCAAATAACACAGTGAGCTGTACATAGAAGTTACTCAATGATATCTTAATTGATTTTATTGGGTTCCTTTTTACGCTTATCTTAGAAAAGGGATGTGACTTTGGATTGGGTAATAAAGAGCCGTTTATTGCATGTGTACAAATTATAAATTCCCAGGCACACCCTGATCATAGCAGGATCCTTTTGTTAGCTTTATGGGGCATGAAGTTGGCACCAAAGTATTCATGGGGATGTACAAGTAAGGAAGGGAAGCCAAAAGCATGTCTGATCATACAATCAGGTGTAAGCAAGCCCCCTAAGTAGCCAGGGCATGAACTTTGTCTATCTCTGAAATGACCAGAAGAAAAGGCAAGAGTGTGATTCATCCCTTGCCTCCACAGCAATTCATTTGGCTATCTACTTTTCTTATTACCAATGGCTAACCCTCTAAGGGTACCACTCCTGGCCATGAGGCCTCATGACTCAAAGTCTTAAGATTTATAGCATTTTCCCTGGAGACCAAGGGCATTCCTTTGGGTGATACCTTTTTACTACCCAGAGGTTAGTCATTTACTATGGGTGATCCATTCAAATAAATTGGTTGCCAGGCTACCTCTTCAGATAAGAGTTCAAACTTGCATAAATAATCCCCAGCCACACTGTGACTTCTATGTGCAAGCCTAGAGGGGACGATGTTGCAGGAACCGTGCCAACCACTAAGACACTTTCAAGTTTATCCTAGAGAATGCCAAGACAGCTTCTCAATTCCATCAAGTGAGTCCTTCACAGGAACATTTCCCTAAGTTGAAAAACTGCAGGAAATAATTTATCTTTATGTTATTAATTGGTTACTATAAGGGCTACAGGAATTATTTAGGAACCAGATGATACCTGGTTTTCTCCATAGTTTACATAAGCCAGTCCCTGCAAAGATTCTTCCCCTACCCCCCTTAATTTTTTTTTTTTTCCTCAGAGATCCTTGTTCCAACCTGCAAGGATTCTTTGGCCTGGTGCTTTTCCAGGTAAAGTGTAAGAGCCAGGATTTCTGGATTTTGTTCCTAGACATGAGTGAGCTTGGATAAGTAAATCATTTTCTCTTTTAGTCTGTTTGGGCTTCTGTAACAAAATATCATAAACTGGGTAGCTTATAGGCAATATACATTTATTTCCCACAGTTCTGAAGGTCGGGAAATCCAAGATCCAGGCCAGCAGATTTGATGTCTGGTGAGGGCCTGCTTTCTGGTTCACAGAGGGAGCCTTCTGGCTGTGTCTTCACAAGGTGGAAGTGGCAAGGGGTCTCTCTCCGGCCTCTTTTATTAGGGCACCAATCTCATTCATAAGGACCCTGCCCCTATGACCTAATCACTTCCCAAGGCCTCCACTTCCTAATACATCACCGTGAGGGTTAGGATTTCAACATATGAACTTTGGCGGGATATAAACATTCAGACTATAGCACCCTGACAGTAAAAATGAGATAATAATACTTATCTCTTTCTTCCAACAAAAAGATAAGGTGAAGTTAAAAGGAGGGTATATATATATATAATGTGAATTTCCTGTGTAAAATGTGTTAAAGAGTTGTCTGATTAATTGCTTTATAAGGGAATTGCTTTGAGACTAGGCCTATTGATCTAGAATAAGTAGTCAATTTGTAGTCAGTTCCCTAGGGAATAGACATTGAAAAGATTTTTGGTTTTGTATTCTACAAATAAAGCAACCTATTAATTGAATTCCTCTCAGCGAATTCTTCACTCAGGTGATTCTGGAGAGGGCGGGGGACAGACGCGGCCGCAGCCCAGGTCCCGGGAGCGCCACGGAACCTAACGGTGGCAGCGGAGGTCGCGCCCCTCAGTGCCCGCGCTCTCCCCGTCGGGAGCTTCCTGGTCGCCCCTGCGGCGGCGGCTCGGGGTGTCTGGCCGGCGCGGGGCTCGCCCAGCCTGGTCCGGGGAGAGGACTGGCTGGGCAGGGGCGCCGCCCCGCCTCGGGAGAGGCGGGCCGGGCGGGGCTGGGAGTATTTGAGGCTCGGAGCCACCGCCCCGCCGGCGCCCGCAGCACCTCCTCGCCAGCAGCCGTCCGGAGCCAGCCAACGAGCGGTGAGCTGCGCGGGGCGCGGGGGACGCGGCTCCGGCCGGGCAGGGGAGAGGGCGCCCGGGCGCTGCTTGGGGCGCGGTCCGGAGAGGGTTCGGCTCCCCGGGACCGGGCCGGGGCGCGCGCGGAGAGCCCCACAGCCTGTGCTCTGCCCTCCAGGAGCGGGGCGGCGGGCAGCGATCTGGGCCCGGGGCAGTCGCCTTTGATTATCGAGGGCGCTGGCGTTCGGGGAAGGTTGGCAGCACCTTACGAGACCCACACACGTCCCCGGGGCGGCACGGGCCACCTTCTGCGGAGCCTCGTGGGCTTCGCCGCCGTCGCACCTCCGCCGCCTGCGCTCTGCGGCCCCAGAGTAAGCCCCATCCGGTGACGAGCCGCAGTCTGGTCACCCCAGTCCCACCAGGTCCCGCTGCGAGGGGAGGCGGAGGGGCTCGCTCAGCAAACCAGACGGCCGCTCCAGTTTCTCTAATTGGGGTTGGAGCCCCGTCACCCTTCCCCAGATCACGGCCGCGGGGGAGCGAAGGGACTTCCCAGGACTGCATAGGGCGCCTCCCGGGACCCACAGCTTGGCTGGCCCGGCCCCTTTTGAGCATCAGCTGAGGCTGGACTTGGAGGAGATCTCGCTGTGGAGCGCGAATGAGTTCTTCCACCGGGACCAGCTGCGGCCGGGCTGCAGCCGCTGTCTGGTTGCTGATCCCACAGAAAATGGTGCTTGCCCCATGGCCTGAGTGGGCATGACCCGGCTTTGCAAAGACTGCAAACTCTAAGCTTTTCCGAATCAAATGCCCCTCCCTGCCCAGACTGTCTGTGCCCAGGAAATGGTGGGTGTGGCAAAATGTTGGTCCTAGCGTGCAGAGCCCTACCGGGGGGCTTTCACAACATGTTTGAGAGTTTATTCTGAATTATCGGGTGCTCAAATAGAAACACTAAAACGATTGCCCTCTGAGCAGTAGGCGTTCAGGTCCAGGGAGTCGGGGACGCATGGTGGAGGCTGGGACTTAGGTTTCAGCCTTACCCTTCAAGTTCGCCATGCGGGTTCCAGAGACTGCGGAATGTTTGTAAAGTGACTCTGGGAATTGGGTTGCTGCGCAATGAGGACACCTGGACCTCAGTGACTCAGGCTGTCTCTAGGATTCTGGGGAAGAAATGGGAGAAGGCTCAGTTAATTCTGAAGAAAATGAGACTGATACAATTAACTACTTGGGCACAGGGCCTGAGAAGAAAAAGCTTTCGTCAGCTTCCAAAGTTCTGATTTGTTTACCTAAGGTTTTTTTTTTTTTTGAGACGCAGTTTCGCTCTTGTTGCCCAGGCTGGAGTGCAACGGCACTATCTCGGCTCACCGCAACCTCTGCCTACCGGGTTCAAGCGATTCTCCTGCCTCAGCCTCCCGAGTAGCTGGGATTACAGGCATGCGCCACCATGCCCGGCTAATTTTGTATTTTTCGTGGTGGTGGTGGTGGGGGGGGGGGGGTCCCTCCATGTTGGTCAGGCTGGTCTCGAACCCCCGACCTCAGGTGACCCGCCTGCCTCGGCCTCCTAAAGTGCTGGGATTATAGGCGTGGGCCACTGCGCCTGGCCTACCTCAAGTTTATAAACATTTCATACTAGGAAATTGTGTGTTTCCATAAAAGGTAAAGTTGAATAATGATCATTTACTTTTCTACAACAATAGTCTCCCTTTTAGACATTGACTCTCAATCCTTAGGGTAGGGTCTCTCATTCTAAAGATGATCATACCCCATCCTTGATCTTTGGGGGACTTAAGCAACTTCCTAAATTCATAATATTTAGAGGTGATGTTTAAAATCAGCACTTAGTCCAGATTCTGGGGAGAAGTTTGATGATGGTCCTTGAATATTTAGCACTTAGAAGTGCTAGGAGGATGCCTCACTAAGTTACGTAAGAAGCAGAAGAGGACGAGTACCGCCTGATGGATTGACCCCGAAAACTAGCTGTGTCCAAGTAGAATAGGTGTCTCGCTCTGTTAAGCGGTCTTTAAACTATGATAGTTCGCTGTACTACAAATATGCATAGGTGCTTTACAAAGACTTTTCACTTAGTGAGGTCAAGAGGCTAATGCTGGTCTCATGTATAATTTAGGTACCTTTTTACATAGAACCCTCATTAGCCAGACTCTAAACCTTAACTGCAGCCAAGACCTTTGTTCATGTAGTATGCCTTCAGAATCTCGTGTTGACCTTAAATGCCAAGTGGCTTGTAAACTTATGTACTTGATACTTGTGGTAACTGATCTCAAACATAGCTCTTCTTTCCTGTGATCGTTTGGGACACAGGCTCCCACTCAAGGGTAGCTCCTTGTGTCTGGTGCCTGAACTGGATCTTCTCATTAAATTCTGAGTGGGTAACTTAAGAACCAGTCTAGGCTGTGCTTGCTGTATACTTCCAGTTCGCTATTGACCAAGTGTCATGTGTTCTCTTTTGAACTGTTCAGCTTTTCCGTAGGGGGGAAGATCAGTCATGAGAAGCAGAAAGTAACTCTACCTTCCTTGATGCCAGGGAGCTATGATGAGAAAGAAATCCTAGGAAAGGACCAGTTCCCCTTATTCCAACTTAGCATCACTGAATTTGTCTTTGGCAAATGGGCTTTCCTCAAGTCCTGCTCTGTGTTTCAGCAAGGACAGGAAGTAGACTGCCTCTTGTGTTACTTGAGGAGCAGTGTAGGGCAGTGCCTAGGGGCTCAGGAAGTAGTCTTCTTCTGTGACGGTTGCGCACAGGTCAGGGACCTTTATGAGCAGACATTTCAGAAGTGTTCCTGGGAACCCAGACAACTGGACTGATTGCTGGGTGGGCCTAGAATAGCATAGTGCAGCGGATAGCTACTCTTTGTTAAAGGGAAAAGCTACCAATTAACAGCCGATTAAAATGGTCTGTATTCTAACTCATGTTTAAATTCCTTATTCTGAAGCTACACTGAACTGCTTACTGTAGGTGTTTACAAATGTGGAGACCCAGCTAGTATTTCTCTACTTTTAGTTTATTTTTTGAAGTTTTTTTTTTTTCCCCTCTGACTGTTCAAAATTCTCTGATCCTGGAAACACCAGGGTGGGGTTCACATATCTATAGTGTCTGTAGAGTGGGAAGATTTGTGACATTTGATTGTATGTCTCTCTCTGTAAACTACTCATCTGAAAAGAAAAAAGAAAAAAATTTCAGGCAAGTAAGGATGATACTTATCTGAATAGATGTCTTTTTTGTTTTCCTGAAAGTTTTGAGGTTAATAATCTTGATTTCAAAAGAGCATCAGTTATAATGCTTTTCTTTTCTTTTTCTTGAGATGGAGCCTCGCAGTCTCCCAGGCTGGAGTGCAGTGGTGCCATCTTGGCTCACTGCAACCTCTGCCTCCCGGGTTCAAGCGATTCTCCTGCCTCAGCCTCCTGAGTAGCTGGGATTACAGGCGCCCACCACCACACCTGGCTAATTCTTTGTATTTTTAGTAGAGATGGGGTTTCACTGTGTTGGCCAGGCTGGTCTCAAAACCCTAACCTCATGATCCTCCTGCCTTCGCCTCCCAAAGTGCTGGGATTACAGGCATGAGCCACTGCACTCGGCCTATAATGCTTTTCAAAAAAGAAATCTCATGGTTGGAAGTTGACGGGGCATACCCAATTTTTGGAAAAGTACACTTTATTGGTTAAAATGTCATTATAATTAGCAAATGACTATACAAAATGGCATTCTTGTATTCAATATTCAATATTATTTTGTGCTTGAATGAATCACCCAGTTAGTTTTCTGACCAAAACACAATCCTTTTTAAAAAATTTGTTTACAATTTCAGTATGTTATGTAGTTACAGATGAGTAAGTCAGAGAATTAATTTCACAATGAAGTAATTAACACTTTCAAAGGACTGTACTTTAAAATTTCAAAGTGTGATGTTTTCTATTGGTGTAGAATGAGCCTAAATAAGGAGTAAAAAGACACGAGCCCTACTCCTTGATCTGCCAATGACAGATGACTTTGGGCCACCATGTTATCTCTCTGAGCCTCAGTTTCCTTATGGTGAGAACACAGTAGTCTCCCCCTTATTTTCAGGGGATGCATTCCAAGACCCCCTGTGGATGCTTCAAACCATGGTTAGTATCAAACCCTATATATACTGTTTTTTTGATCTGATAACCAAGCCTGCTACTAAGTGACTTGTGGGTGGGTAGCATCTACAGTGTAGATAGGCTGGACATAGGGATGATTCATGTCCCAGGCTGGACAGTGAGATGGCAGGACAGTACAAGATTTCACCACAAAGAATGTCATTATAACTAAAATAGATAAGGTATGTGAACATGCTTCATAAGCTGAAAAGCGCCACACAAATGCCAGGTTTTGTTCTAGTGGCCTTGTCTAATGTGTCGAGACACAATCTATACTGCCCTCCGAGGTGGTGTTGAAACAGTGGAAATGCAACGAGATCTGCTTTGTTTCCCAAACTGGATTTGGTTAGATTGGAAAATAAACTAAACATGCTTGAGCAGAGGCTTTGAAAAGAATAAATATTAAATTATGGAAATGCCTTCTTTATTTGACTTTCTGGTTGGAATCAGCCTTTAAACACATCTTAATTTGAATAGAGTTATGTTAGGACCCTTTATAAGGCAAATTCAGCTAGTTTTAACAATTGAAACTACCTTTTTGGTTTTTATTGAACCACGTGTGTACATTCATGTAGGGATACACTGCTAACTAGCTAGATTGGCGGTCCTCAACTAGCCATGATTTTGCTCCCAGGGGATATTGGCAATGTCTGAAGACATTTTGTTTTCCTTTTTTTGGTAGAGACTGGGGTTTTGCTGTATTGCCCAGGCTGGTCTTGAACTCCTGGGCTCAAGCAATATTCCCGCCTCAGCCTCCCAAATGACTGGGATTACAGGTGTGAGCCACCACACCTGGCCTGAAGACACTTGGTTGTCACAAGTTGGAGTGTGGTATGCTGGAGTTCTGGCAGCATATGTATTGAAGCCAGCAATGCTGCTGAACATCCTGCAGTGCACAGGACAGCGCCCCACAGCAAAGCATCTGACCTGAAGTGTCAGTGGTGCTGAGGTTCACAATAAGCTCCTGTGCAATGAGGACATTTAAAAGAAATCAAAATGTTGATAACGTTATTGCTGGGTCTTTGATATGTTGCCTTAGGGTGGAAGAAGTATGTGTAATTAAAGGAACTAAGCTTTCTGCCCACCTTGAAGTTCAAGATTGTTTCGTATGGCATCCAAAATGAGGGAGACTTTCTTTTTCTGAATTAAAAATTTTCATTTATTTTCCTTTTCTGTAACAACTCTTCTCTCAAGGTCCCCCTGCAGTAGCAACTTATACGGTTTCTTATACGGTAGTGTGGCAGCCTTTTGGGGAAGGAGGCACATGCAGAGGAGCTCACAACTTTTGCTTTAAAAAGCCAAGCACTACAGGATGTAACGTAAATGAAAGATGCAGTAACCTCTGGAGTCACCGTGACTTCCCTGTCAAGCTGCCAGCAGTTCCCTAGGTTGGAAAATGGGCATGGTCATAACCTAACCACTTCTGAATAGGTTTCAGAATGACCATGTTCAAAAAGAGATGTGTGGCTGGATGCGGTGGCTCATGCCTGTAATCCCAGCACTTTGGGATGCTGAGGTGGGAGGATCACTTGAACCCAGGAGTTTGAGACCAGCCTGGGCAACATAGTGAGACCCCGTGTCTAAAAAAAAAAATAACTTAGCTGGGTGTGGTGTTGTGTGGCTGTAGTCCCAGTTCCTTGGGAGGCTGAGGTGGGAGGATCACATGAGCCTGGGAGGTGGAGGCTGCAGTGAGCCCTGATATCATGTCACTGCACTCCAGCCTGTGCAACAGAACAAGACCCTGTCTAAAAAAAAAAAAGATGTGCAAAAATATTTTAGTCAAAGGTAATGTCTGACTATGATATAAATAATAGCAGTATAGTAAAGGATGAGCATCCCCAATGCAGAAATCTGAAATGCTTCAAAATCCCAAACGTTTTGCATGCCTGCATGATGTTCAGAGGCCATGCTCTACAGAAATGCTCACTGGAGATTTTGGATTTTGGCTCTTCAGATTAGGGATGCTTAACTGGGCATAAGGACATATTCCAAAATAAAAAAAAATGTAAATCAGAAACACTTCTGGTCCTATTTCAAATAAGGGATACTCAACCTGTATAAAATATCCAGTGTGTATAAATGAAGCATATGTTAAGCCCTAGGAGGAGCTCTGCCTGTTTGAGTTTTACCAAAAATAAGGTAATATTTTATGGTTTTTTTTTTTTTTTTTTTTTTTTGAGATGAGGTCGCTCTGTCACCCAGGCTGGAGTGCAGTGGTGCCATCACAGCTCACTGCAGCCTTGACCTCCTAGGCTCAAATGATCCTCCCACCTCAGCCCCTCGAGTAGCTGGGAACACAGGCATGCGCCACCACACCCGGCTAATTTTTGTATTTTTCATAGAGACAGGGTTTTGCCATATTGCCCAGGCTAGTCTTGAACTCTTGGGCTCAAGCGATTTGCCCACCTTGGCCTCCCAGTGTGCTGGGATTACAGGCATGAGCCACCACACCCAGCCAATATCTTGCATTTGAATCAAGTAGTGGACATTTATTGGATCCCTTGGGGCCGATGCCATTTCTAAAAGTGATTGAGTAAATATCACAGGTGGGCAAATCAAAGAGAAGGATATTCTGGTTGTTTCAAGGTCCAGGTAATTCAGGCCATGGCACAGGTGATCCTGAGCTTAGGAAGAACTCACCCATGCCTCAGGGGCCCAGCTGCCCTCCTCCCCTCACTGCTGGAGCACCTACAACAGCTGTGAAGCATCTTGTGCTTTTGGAGCCTTGACATGGGAAGGAACAGGAGAAAGCAGGACTGATGTCTCCAGACCACCCCTTAGGCAAACCCTCTTTGGTAGCATCTTAGACCCAAATATTTTTTTCCTTCACGTCACGTTGCCTGAATTTTTTCACCTTAGTTTGTTGTACTGCCAAATATTTTATTTGGAATAACAAGTACCTTTGAAAAAAAAAAAGCACATACAAACTTCAGCTCCCCTTTGAGGCTTAGCTCCAACAGCACCTTTCCTTTCCTTCTTAGAAGTAAGCTTTCTGGGTTTGAATTCCTACAGCACACATTCTGACTCATAGCATCTGTGACTTGTTATTTCACATTTCCATGGATGCATCTCATCTGCCTTGCTGCACTGTAGGCCCTTCGGCTTTTATTTTTTTTTAATTCTTAATCTTTATGGGTACATAGCAGGTATATATATTTATGGCATACGTTAGATGTTTTGACACAGGTATGCAATGCCTAATAATCACATCATGGAAAATGGGGTATCCCTCTTCTCATTTATTTGTGTTACAAACAATCCAGTTATACTTTTAGTTATTTTCAAACGTACAATGAAATTATTGACTATAGTCACCCTGCTGTGCTGTCAAATACCCGGCCTTATTCATTCATTATAACTATTTTTGTCACCCATTAACTATCCCCACCTCCCTCCCACCCTCCCTCACTACCTTTCCCAGCCTCTGGTAACCATCCTTCTATTCTATATCTCTGTGGGCTCAATTGTTTTGAGTTTTAGATCCTGTGGCCCCTTTGACCATGCAGATCATGGCCTATTCATCTTCACACCTAGATAGGAGCCTGCGCAGTGCCTGGCCAGGAGCAGGCATAAGTGTGTGCAAATAGAGGAATAAATAGCAGGGCAGCAACTATGTCTGGAGGTCATTGTCTTTCCTGTCTCAGTAGTAATCAATCACTGCTTATCTTCAAAAACCCAGAGTAGGGGATGGGGCAGTTAGTGGGGACAGAGGGCAGATGGGTAAGATTCAGAGCACAGGCTAGTGTGACGGAAGTTTAAACTTGTGAGTTAAATAGGGTTTGGCAATCTAGCTGGATAGCATCCCTGCCCCTTGAAGAGATGTTTTTGTGGCGCCACACTACTGACTTAGGCATAATGCCTAGAGATGGATTAGAACTGCACAATGAACTAGTGGTGAGGTTCAGTTTAATGGAAATTGGTGAAAGCTTTTAGGATAAAATGATAATCTTTGTTTCTTTCAGGAAAATGGCAGACAATTTTTCGGTAAGTGTTTTATGCCTGTTTCTTCCCCTTGATCAGCTCCACATGGTTGAGGGTTGGGGGTTTTGTTTTTACCATGACTTTCCCTTTTCACTCTCCCACTGCGTGGCTTCCCCTGGACTCATTTGTCCAATGAGGGCTTGCAAGCTGGAGCCTTGTTTTTCCAGCAGCAGATTTGGGAAGAAAGCCAGGCAGAGCGAGGCCTGGGACTCACTCACAGTAACCCTTTCACCAAAAGGCCCAGGGCGGAAGGGAGTGGACTCTGCCGGCAGGAGCTGAGAAATCCTCTGAGTAGCGGGAAGTGCGGTACAGTCTGGGCATTCTGATGTTTGTGATTGTTTTTCTCACGGTGATGAAAAAGTATGTGCTATAAGTAGAGGAGCGCTAACTCCTGACTTGAGCTAATTATGAAAATGCAGCCCTCCCTGATCTGAGACGTTGGGAGGCAAGAATAAAGTGAAAAAGTATATGTAATCCCAACATCTAATTTTAGTCTTAGAAACTCAAACTATTAATAAGTGGAAAAAGTTTAATGATATGCATGTAATGCCTTTGCCATATTCCTCTCCTTCTTAGATCACATATTCCTATTTTCCTGAAAATTCTGCTTTTGAGAATGCTTTCTGTCCCGTAATTGTGTATGTCTTTCTTTCCAGCTCCATGATGCGTTATCTGGGTCTGGAAACCCAAACCCTCAAGGATGGCCTGGCGCATGGGGGAACCAGCCTGCTGGGGCAGGGGGCTACCCAGGGGCTTCCTATCCTGGGGCCTACCCCGGGCAGGCACCCCCAGGGGCTTATCCTGGACAGGCACCTCCAGGCGCCTACCCTGGAGCACCTGGAGCTTATCCCGGAGCACCTGCACCTGGAGTCTACCCAGGGCCACCCAGCGGCCCTGGGGCCTACCCATCTTCTGGACAGCCAAGTGCCACCGGAGCCTACCCTGCCACTGGCCCCTATGGCGCCCCTGCTGGGCCACTGGTGAGATGGCATTCCTTCTTTCATGTACTTGACATGCAGAGGGCTTCAGGGAGACCCTGAGCTTTAAAGCTGCTGCTTAGAGCCACTTCTCAAGGGCCAGCCATGGGTGTATGTTGGTAGAGTCAAAAAATTAAGTGTTCATATTGAGCTTATTGTGTGTGGTTAGTATAAACAGAAGGTAATGAGTATTTTGAAGGCACTGATAAAACTGCTTATGAATATAAATCAAGATTGTAGTAATGGAGAACATTTTGGTTATTATTAACACTTACGGAGTACATGTCAATAGTATGCATCTACATGGATAATCTCATTTAACCCCATTACCACGCTATAAGATACTGTTAATAACCCCATTTCACACATGGGGAAATGGGGCAATAGAGAAGTGATATAATTTGTCCAGGGTCATTGAGCAAACATGTAGAGGAACCAGGGTAATCTGGTTTTGAAAAACCTTCTAAAGATAATTTTGTGATCTAAGGGTTGAATTTTCACGCAAATTAAAATATGTCATAGCAAGTGAATTCTAAGTGTAAAACATAACTCCATGGGGGATCCAGATACATCTCAGCCACAGGATCCTTCCTTTCCAGATTTATAATCTAGTTGGATGATAAAACATATAATAAATATGAGGAAAGAGCTAAGTACCAGTATGGGATTAGACCATTTCAGGACTATGCAGAAGACAGCACAAGGTAGCATTGTCTCCTTTTAGGTCAGTTTAGAGTAGAAAGACTTGGGGGAGTGGGTGGCATTGAGAGGGCCTATACCAGAGATGGTTAGTCAGTTGCAGAGAGAGGGAGACATGAAGGCTGTGGAAAGGAACAGGCAGATGTAAGAGAGATTACAGAGGAAGAACCCCCAGAATCTACTGATTATGTCTTAGGAGTCATAGAGGACTCTGACTTTTCAAGGCTGAGCAACTAGAGCCATCAGCAAAGCTTTAGCCCAAACTGGGAACTCATGAAGGGGAACTGATGGGGGAGGGGGTAGGGAAGACCATTCTAGTTCACACTTGTTGAATTTGAGGCACTAGCAGCAAATCTAGGTGGGAGGAAGTACAGGACTAGTACACACCAGGACTAGAAAGAAAATATTTGGATAGGCTGGGTGTGGTGGCTCATGCCTGTAATCCCACCACTGTGGGAGGCTGAGGCAGGAGGATCACTTGAGTCCAAGAGGTTGAGGCTGCAGTGAGCTATGATCACACCACTGCACTCCATCCTCAACAACTGAGACTCGGATTTTTGAGACCTTGTCTCAAAAAATAAAAAGGTTTGGGTGATAGTTAAACCCAGGGGGAAGTCTTAAAAAGGGAAAGAAAAGAGGCCATAAATAAATAGAGCTTTGGGGATATTCACAGTACCTTGAATGTAGTTGGTCAATAAACATTTGTGGAATGAACCTCACAGTGTTAACAGTGTTCATTCCATAAATATTGAGTATCTGCCATATGCAAAGCACTCTGCTGGAGCCATGTGAGTACAAAGCATATGAGAACCCACAAGCCCAGAATGTGATATGCTGCTTGCCCCCAGGAAGCAGAATATCCACAGTAAAGCATGTACCATGACAGGGCCTTAAGAGTGATACAAAAATGTTAATGTTGATCACAAGATCTAGCTTAAGCCTTTCCAAAAATAGTCAACATGAATGAGTACAAATTGGGATGGCCGTAGTAATGAGATTTACTGATGGCTTTCTTTTCAATTATTTGTACATCTAGGGAGCCTTATCTCTTTGGCCCCTGGGCAAAGTGGCCTGAGAGTCTGGACAGATGGCATATACTAGAGTTATGTGTTTTTCACACATATTAATAGTGATGGAACTTTAGCAACATCGTTTTTTCCCCAAAGAAACATGACTCCTTATTGACACATATGTACTTGTTAATTCCCAGATTGTGCCTTATAACCTGCCTTTGCCTGGGGGAGTGGTGCCTCGCATGCTGATAACAATTCTGGGCACGGTGAAGCCCAATGCAAACAGGTAAGGAGAGCAAAATTAACAAGTCTACTCTATTTGTAGATTGGTTTTTGAATAAAGAATGGCCTACTTTTTTTCTTCTTGCCCTGTCTTACAGTGCTATTTTGAATTTTAGTAAAATTTTAAAAACTACATATTTAGAATCTTGGCTATACCATCATATAGGATTATCCCATAAATCCATACATATTCCCATATAATTTTGCTAAGCATCATGGCACTCATAGTAAACGGTAACACACCTTATTCTATACTTTGATATGTATTATGTCAGCTAATCTTCATGGCTGAAGGCAGGATAAGGAATATTGCTCTCCCCTTTTTATAGACAAAACTGAGGTTCAGGTTCTACAGATGATCAGTGGCAGGCCTGGGAACCCGTCTTTTGAGCAGATACTATTTGCTTATGGGTTTGAAGAGATTCTACAAGTTAAAAACTTCATCATTATAAATCAACCTTTACTATTGGAAGTAGTTTGATTGATGAGGTGGGCTAGGATGGGGTGAGGCTTTATTTAGGAAAATACATGCTAATTATGGCTGTCCTGGGCTGCTTGGCCCTGGTTGTCACCACTGGTTATGTAGTACTTACATATCATACAAGGAAGCTGGCCATGTCCTGAAACCATCTGAGATGCCTGCCCCTAAGGTTAGTGGAACTGTCTCTAGGTCTTATGGACAGTACCTAAATGGCACAAATTCAAGCCATGTACACAGGTTTATGCAAGAATCCATAAACAGTCTCAGTGTCTGTCACCTTGCTCCACATCCTGCAATCAAGAGATGGACTTCACTTCTGATCTGATAATTTCACATTCAAATGCTCATTCCCTCCACCTCAGCCAGCCTCCTCTGCTTCTGCAATGGTAGTCACTATCCTAAGCCAACCCATCTTTCCACACAGCCTAGACAATTTCTGTAAGCACAGAACTTCCCCGTACAATAATGCCCGTCTCATAGCAAATTACAAAATATATACATCCTCTACCTATGTCCTTATCCGTATTTCCTCCCAACATCACATAGAACCCAGCACACCTTATCCTGTGCACACAGCACTCATGATTTATTAAATATCTGCTCTCCTCCTCCCACAACCCCTAACGCACACTGAATACCCAGTTTGGTATCCTTGTCTTGTTAGAGTCATTTCACTGGAAAGTTTAGTTCTAATAATGCTAGAGATGTAGATTGAGACTGGCAGATCAAAACTAATTCTGGTTGAAATGGTTAATGGTAGTAAACTTAAAAAAAACTGTTGCTTAGTCCTGCAAATTCTATATGACGAACTGTGTAGAAAAAAAAAGTGCTTAAGGTGACAGAGATGACAACATTGTATATTTAGTCAAATACAAATTCTATGCTGTTTTTTCCTTACAAATTTAATCACTGGAAGATCATTTGTGGTTGAATGTGACTGTTACTGGGTGAATCAAAATACACAGACAATCTTTGTTAGTTGGTCTAGAGTGCAGATTAAAATACGAATACCTACTGATGACTCTGGTGTTACCGCTCTATAGAGCGCACTTTGAGAAACTCAGGGATGGGGTTAGTCAAAGAGGACTTGTGTTTGCATTAACCTCCAGGGAGAAGGAACAGGGTCAAAAAGCTAAACTAGCAATTTCATTGGTTCTGGCTCACATCATAGAATGTTTACCACATTTACTATCATGACTTTACAACTTAGCAACAAGATACTGAATATTAACTACCTTATCTCATTCTTGCTGTTTTAGAGGAACTAGGGCTTCTGGTTAATTATGAGGAAGCCAGGTATTTGATGGCTGTTAACTATATAGCTGGCTTGCCTTTACCAGGTATTGAAAGCAAACTGGAAGAGCAGGAAAGAGATAACCATTATCTATAGTAAGGGATAAAGTGTCCTCAGAGTGGCTCTAAACCTCTGTAAGAAAACCTCGAAGGGTTTTCATGAGTCTGTAGGGGCATTACAGATGAATGGAAATATGATCGAAGACAATGAGGCAAAAAATTCAACATCTATTGTCTTGCTTACCTTTAGATTTTGTGATAGTACATAGAATATCAGGCATAGGATATTTTCCAGTTTGAACCCATTCTGATTTATTTGCTTTCCATTCAGAAAAATTTCCTAGGTACTGTATTATGAAATTATTTGCTTTTTAGAAAATTACATGTTCTTTACACAGTGCAAATGTACAGCTTTAATCATTTTAATAACTGGTCTTTGGTTTAAAACAGAATTGCTTTAGATTTCCAAAGAGGGAATGATGTTGCCTTCCACTTTAACCCACGCTTCAATGAGAACAACAGGAGAGTCATTGTTTGCAATACAAAGCTGGATAATAACTGGGGAAGGGAAGAAAGACAGTCGGTTTTCCCATTTGAAAGTGGGAAACCATTCAAAGTAAGTTATTGCTACTATTATATATTGATAATGTATATTTCTCATGAGGAATCACTCTAAAACCCCAAAGCACTTGAAGTGAGAGTTTTTATCACCTCTCCTAAGGTGCCTAACCAGTTTATCTTCTCCCTGCCCAGGGGACCAGGCTCAGCAGGCTGAGAACATGGCCAGGAGTGGCACACTCCCCAGTTCCTTTCAGGCACCTCTCCATCATCACTGCTGCCACCCCTCTGAGTTTAAGCCTTTCTAGAAATGAAAAGAATATAATCTTTAACAAAAAAGGCAAAAAGTCTTTATGGTACAGTTATACTGCGACTTTGTTGCTTAAAACACAGTTGGCAGAGAGATGAAAACTAAAGGTTTTTTATTCTAAAATTAAAGTTTTATGAAAAGTTTATAAATTTTTAAATTAACAAAGTTTCCTATCTTTTACTCCTTCCCCCATCCTCACAAAGTTGCAATTCGATGAGTATCTTCCCAGTATTTTCTGACATACAGCACGCTTTTTATTTGTAAGCACTGCTTCAACAAATTAGATCCACAGCATTTAGGGTTGACTATAGAGTGGTGAATAAAACAGCTGGAGTGTAAACTCTTCAACAACAGGGACAAATAAGGACCACAGTCTACATTTGGTGGATATCTTTTCGTATCAGAATATTGTTACTTAATAGCACTTTTTTTTTTTTTCGAGACAGAGTCTCGCTCTGTCGCCAGGCTGGAGTACAGTGGCACGATCTTGGCTCACTACAACCTCCGCCTCCTGGGTTCAAGCGATGCTCCTGCCTCAGCCTCCCAAGTAGCTGGGATTATAGGCGTGCGCTACCATGCCCAGCTAACTTTTGTATTTTCTGTAGAGACGGGGTTTCACCATGTTGGCCAGGATGGTCTTGATCTCTTGACCTCGTGATCCGCCCACCTCAGCTTCCCAAAGTGCTGGGAGGATTACAGGCATGAGCCACCATGCCTGGCCAGTAGTATTTCATTTTTAGATATGTGATAATTTAACCAGTACCCTACTGATGAAAATTTACAGAATAGAAACACTCCAACCTGGAAAGATTTTACTAAAATACTGTAATAACTATCCTTACAAATCTTTGCTTCCTAGAAGCAAGTCTTCTAGAAATCTTTGCTTCCTAGAAGCAAGTCTTCTAGAAATCTTTGCTTCCTAGAAGCAAGTCTTCTAGAAATCTTTGCTTTAAATATACATGTTTACAATTTAGATATTGTCAAATTGCTGCTTCCAAAAAGATATAGGAATGAACATCCACTATTGGGAAGAGTAGATTTCTCCTACCCTTGCCAAAACTGATTATCATCAATCCTTACAACATTTGCCAGAGGAATCCTATTTTCGTGTTTTTCTTTTAGGTGTTTTAGACCATATCAGAACTTTTGGTTGTTTTGAGACAGGGTCTCACACTGTCACTCAGGCTGGAGTACAGTGGCATGGTCACAGCTCATTGCAGCCTGTCAACCTCCCAGGCTCAAACGATCCTCCCACTTGAGCCTCCTTAGTAGCGGAGACCACAGATGTATGCCACCCACGTGTGGCTAATTTTTGTATTTTTCTTGTAGAGATGGGATTTCACCATGTTGCCTGGGCTGGTCTCAAACTCCTGGGCTCAAGATCCGCCCGCCTTTGCCTCCCAAAGTGTTGGGATTACAGGCGTGAGCCACCACACCCAGGCTCTTTTAAGTTTTTATGCAGGCAAATCTTTAGCCTCCACCTTTATGGCTTCACTTATGTATCCTTCTAATAAATTTGCTGCTTTAAAAAAAAAACCTGAATAACTTGGAATTTTTTTGTTGTTGCTTTTTGTTTTTTTGAGACGGAGTCTCACTCTTTCGCCCAGGCTGGAGTGCAGTGGCACTATCTCGGCTAACTTCAAGCTCCGCCTCCTGGGTTCATGCCATTCTCCTGCCTCAGCCTCCCAAGTAGCTGGGACTACAAGGTGCCCGCCACCACAATCAGCTAATTTTTTGTATTTTCAGTAGAGATGGGGTTTCACTGTGTTAGCCAGGATGGTCTCGATCTCCTGACCTTGTGATCCACCCGCCTCAGCCTCCCAAAGTGCTGGGATTACAGGCGTGAGCCACCCCGCCCAGCATAACTTGGCATTTTTGCTGTAAAGTTACTTTCTCTGGATCTTAACTGGTCCCACAAATGATAAGGATGAAATGTTGGACATCCTGGGCTCAGGCCAGACTGGTTTGAAATTAATGGACATTTTTTCCCTTTATTTCAGTTGACAAAAAATTGTTTCTATAGTGCAGATGAAATATGTATATATTGTGGAATGCCTAAATCCAGCTGACATATGCATTACCTCATGTAACAGTTTATGTATATGCCATTTCAGATACAAGTACTGGTTGAACCTGACCACTTCAAGGTTGCAGTGAATGATGCTCACTTGTTGCAGTACAATCATCGGGTTAAAAAACTCAATGAAATCAGCAAACTGGGAATTTCTGGTGACATAGACCTCACCAGTGCTTCATATACCATGATATAATCTGAAAGGGGCAGATTAAAAAAAAAAAAAGAATCTAAACCTTACATGTGTAAAGGTTTCATGTTCACTGTGAGTGAAAATTTTTACATTCATCAATATCCCTCTTGTAAGTCATCTACTTAATAAATATTACAGTGAATTACCTGTCTCAATATGTCATTTAATTGGAGTGGTTTATTCTAGATAATGCACAATGGAAAAAATATGTAGCAATATTAATACTGCATTGGGGCCTCAAGGTTTCCTATACTTGTTAAAATATTTTTCTTAAGGAGAAAGTAAATATTACCACAAAATTATCTCTTCCAGAATTTCATAAAAATCAGCTGTTTCAAGAAAATTATTCTCTCATTTTCTTAAGGAAATATAACATGTTCAGGAAATCAGAATAGCATTAAGAAAAAGTTAACCTATAGATGACCTATGACCCATAGACAATTATTGTTAGGATTCTGGTATATTTCTTGACGGCTTTTTAATCCTATTTTCTCCTTCTATAGTTCACTGCTTTCAAATCAGTAATTTGATACCAATATAGGACCATCTCCCTGGTTTTTATGAAATCTCTTATGGAGAAAAAGGTATCTTATATAGTCGGCTTTCAAAATTTAATTGTTCCCATCGTCAACATTCTTGCCCATGCCTTTCTACCCTTATTAGCAGCAAGCCCAAAGATTAATAAAATTCCAAAACTAGGATGTGGCAAAACCACTTCATCTTATAGAAGACCAACATTTTTTTTTCTTTTTTGAGACAGAATCTGACTCTGTCGCCCAGGATGGAGTGCAGTGGTGCGACCTCAGCTCACGGCAACCTCCACCTCCCAGGTTCAAGCAATTCTCTGCCTCAGCCTCCTGAGTAGCTGGGATTACAGGCACCTGCCACCATGCCCGGCTAATTTTTGTATTTTTAGTAGAGACAGGGTTTCACCATCTTGGCTAGGCTGGTGTTGAACTCCTGACATCGTGATCCACCCGCCTTGCCCAAAATATTATTTTATACAATACTATCTTTTCAAATCTGTTAAATCAGTAATTGTCACAGGTTGGGTCTCCCAGGAAGCAGAGAGATTAGATCTCAAGAAGCTTGTGAGGGAGTGTACTTGCAATCAATACATGTGGGGATGGGAAAGACATGATTGAGTTGAGGGAGAAGTTGAGCAGCAATAACTTACCCTACCCTAGGGGGAGTTCTGAAGCTGGGATTCTTCTTCAGAGCTTCAAGCGGGGCCAGGCCTTTTTATACCCCCACTTTGATCAGTCACTGACTATAGGACACCTGGGAAAGAGAATGTGACCTGAGATGAAGTGGCTCTCTTCAGCTGAGGCAACATAATCCTCACAAGGGATGTCAACTGAGGGCTGCCTGCCAGCAGCACTTCCTGTAGCTCAAGGAATAAGTCCTCTATCGCTAAACAGGGATGTGGGCAGCATATCATAGCATATTTCAAAAAATTTCTTACCCTAACATTCTGGTCTTGACTATTCTATTCTTATTAAACAAATGGAAGAACATAGCTTTGGAGAAAAGAGAGAACTTGGTTTATACAAAATTACTTAAATCCTCTGAGCCTTGGTTCCTGTGTCTATAAAATGCACACAGCTCTTATAGAGTTACTGTAACATTAAGTAAAATATTGTTTGCAAAGGGACTGTCAAAAAGTAAGTCCTCAATAAATAGAAATTCCCATTCTATTTTTGTACAACTTTTTTCTCTGACAATACACCGCATTAAGAACTCTTGCTCTGTCCAAAGCAGTTTTCTTTCATTTTGTCTCTAAAAATTTTCCTAATACCTCATAATTCTAGACTCCAATAGCCAAGCACATTATCTAGTAAGGGACACTGATGGTTGCCTACCCAATATCCATTCCATTTCCTAAGAGCCATGGTTTTATTCAGGTGTGATCCCAGATTCAACAGGGAATTCTGATTAAGTCAGTCCCCTGCTGGCTCACTGATCTGCAGATGGGGATGTGGCATTAGTTGGTCTAATCAGGCCAAAGGGAAGGACATAACTCTAACTGCCACTAGCAGCCATCTTATGACCCCAAAAAGACCCAGCCATAGAGGAGAAGCCGACATCAAGGATAACAGAATGAACTAGGAATAGAAAGTTGGACCTTGATGTCATCACTGAGCTATTGATTATATAGTACCTGAAATCACTTTGATAACTTGTGAAATAATAAATTTCCTTATTGTTAAGCCAGTTTGAGTTCATTGCTTGTTTGGGTAATTCAAATAAGCCATGTAGGAAAAAGAAATATACATAAACTAGGGTTTTCTAATGGCCCAGGGCCATGAACAGCTGTAAGTTTTCGAAACAATTCAGTGATACATCTTATTAAAGACATTTACTGACATTGTCTTATTATGATCTGCTTTATTTTTGAGAGCAAAATATTGTTGTGTTGCATATTGCTTTGTATAAACTGTAAATCTTGGGTTTCTTTGCACCAATCTTTTAAATGCTCATGTGACTGATATATGATTGATATGATTTTTTTCAAAAGAAAAAAGCATTTCCTTAATGGCTCTTGGCCATGCCAATGGGAAAATAAAAACAAAAAGGTAAGGATTTAATGCGCATCTCTAATGATTGAACTGTTTGAAACCGCAGCATGTCAAACTGACTTCGGAATCCGAAAAGCTCATCTAAAGAAATTCAGAATACTCTGGAATATGTAATACCCAAAGCTGTTCAACGTCAACAAATTTAGGAGTTCAAACTAAGAATAAAGTGTAAAAAGATGCAAATATTTCTGTCACAGGTTAATATTTCAATTAAACTAAAGAATGTTTAAAGTGCTAATAAGTATACTTAGCCTTAAGCTTATTCCTTTTAAACAAGAGAGGCAAGGCACAGTACATTTTTTATTCTGTGTTGAAAATGTACAAAATATCCCCACTTCCCTTGAGAAAGAGTATATCTAAAATACACTTTGATGAACACAGAATATTAAAACATTATATGCTATAGAAGTGAACACAAATACATTTTCTCCAAAATTTCAATAGTCTAAGGAATATATAAGCATTGATAATATGAAGGAAAATGTTTGGATTTATTTTTAAATTCAAAATTCTCCTGGTTGTAGAGGTGAAAAAGTAATCAGGTTACCACCAAAAGAAATGTGTCTGGCATGTTCTTGATGTCTCCTCTCCAGCTGAGTAAATGGATTACTGCAGTTTAGACCTGGCTGGAGAACAAATCCAGAGAAGTCAGTAAAGTATCCATCAAGAGTTTCACCAATTAATTCTTCAACATTCTATAGTGGATTAATTAATAACAAAAATAAACCGGGTGCGGTGGTGCACACCTGTAGTCCCAGCTACTCGGGAGGCTGAGGTGGTAGGATCACTTGAACCCAGGACTTCAAGACCAGCCCGAGCAACATAGCAAGATCCCACCTCAAAAACAAACAAACAAGAAACACGTAAACATTTTCCCTATATAACAATAAAATTATAAACAACAATGATTATGCTACTTTCCAGTAGATCTTATTTCAAATGTATATTACAGTTTTTTTTATTGGAAAGGTATATTCAGAATATATGTACAAAAATGTGAATAATATGTAAATGGACTCAAGCAGTGTATGCAGAATGAATAAAACTGAGGCTGTATCTTAAGCCACTTACATAGATTCCATAAATCCTAAACCATATAATAGCACTTAATAGACCTTTTAATACTGTGTGATCCTGCTGGGATCTTTTTACTCCCTCAAGCCCTGCTTCAAGTTCAAATTATGCTACTGGGGCAACCAATAATTTGGGTCTAAAATAGACATCTAAATACTAATATTTACAGAAGTGAAAAAAATATCAGACTAAATGATAAGGTATTAAGACTTAACAATGAGAACATATAAGATAATTGTGATGTACTCTTAATCACATTACTATTAAAATATTACGATTTGGTAATCTCTGGATTTACTTATAACAACATACATTCTCAGAATCAATCATTCAGGGTTCGATCTGGGAACAGGGTTAAATCAGGTTTACATAAGTTGGCTTTATGCTGAAAGCCCTGATCCTCTAGGTCTCAGTTTATGATTAAAGAAGGCTAAAACCAAGAAAGAATGGTACGTGGGTCACAGTAACACATTTCATTCTGCTCCTGAGACACAGGGCAGCCCAGAGCCTGACCACAAAAAAGGCAGCTTTGAAAAATAATGAAAGACAAGATATACAAGGGTCTTTAAGGAATTTGTGGCTTATGGAAGCTAAGTATTTGCCAGGTTTCATGAAGTTAACTAAAACTGTGGTTGTTTGATCCTATACTTGCTTTATGAATGAATTTCTCATATTCTGAGATTAAAGAAGAATAAAACCAAGACCGTTTTCTGATCTATTCTAGTAATTAGTCCTGGAAAATTCCAAGGTAAGGCTGTAACCACAGGTGTAAACCATAAGAATCACTTGATGAAGAAAAAAATGACAAATCCCTAACTCCAGATCATTGAAATAAAAATATCGGCCAGGCACGGTGGCTCACGCCTGTAATCCCAGCACTTTGAGAATCGGGGCGGGGGGGGGGCATCACCTGAGGTCAGAAGTTCGAGACCAGCCTGGCCAACATGGTGAAACCCCGCATCTCTACTAAAAAATACAAAAATTAGCCAGGTGTGGTGGCAAGCACCTGTAATCCCAGCTACTCAGGAGGCTGAGGCAGGAGAATCGCTTGAACCCAGGAGGCAGAGGTTACAGTGGGCCAAGATCACACCATTGTACCCCAGCCTGGGTGCAAGAGTGAAACTCTGTCTCAAAAAAAAAAAAAAAAAGTCTGGGATGGGGCTGAAACCAATGCTATATATATAAACAGCAGGAAAGAGAGCACTATTTAATTCGTGCCATAGTGCCAGTATCAAAGGTATGAATCAGACAGCTCTACCTAATGTGGAATTTACAGTTAATAAGGAATTTTATTCCTTAAGTTATATTTTTGGAATGCGTTCATATTATACCCTGAATAAGAGATGAAATGTAAACACTGTATGCCTATGTGCATCTGTACCTATATATAAATTAACATGAGAGAGATAAGAGCTTTTACAGAAGGCTTCACAAAAGGGCTGTTTGAACTAGATTTAGAGGCAAGAGGTCACCAGAAGTAAAAGCAGGGAAGTAGCCACTAAAATAGCAGGACATAAATAACCAATGATGACTGAAGGTGGGATAGATATTATTTCCCCAGAAGGGCAGAAACTTTGCCTTATATTTTTCTTGAATCACTTAGAAATATATTCAGATATTCAAGTACCCAGTTTGTCAGAGCAAATTTGATAGAAAAACCATATAGAAAAACATATCTTCAGGGTTAATATTAAAACATACTATATTTTAAAGTATATAAACACCAAATTTTTCTTCATTCTGTGAAAAATGAAGAGTGAGTAAGCAAAACAATGACAAGATATACATTTTAAGCCTTGTACACAAATAGAAAAGCAATATTCATTTTATAAAACAAATCTAGAATATAAAGGGACTTGTCAAGTTGGAAAACTTACTGAATCAAGAAGGTGGCATTCAGTAGTGAGACTTTTATTATCAAATAGTTCTGAAAAACAACAAAAAAAAACTTTTTAAAGAATATTCTCACATTCGAGGGCTGTTAGAAATGGACAAAGCCATGAAAAATATGAAAAGTTCCACATATCAAATGCTAAGACAAAAATATAGACCCCTATGCTATAATGTTTTTTGAAAGTAGTTAAATTCTTATCCTTAACTTTGGTATAAAAGCAGACTTCTGTAAACAAATCTCATGCTTGTAACATTAAAGGTACCCAGAAAATGCTGATGAAGAACAGCTGGAGGACATTAAATGTCTGGCCGAGGTTAAAACCTTTTGTTTTACCATAGGCCCCAGTTAGACCAGCTACAGACTAACTGATGAAAATGGCAGGTAAAACTGGCACACATTATAACAAAAATATAGGAGCCATTTCCTATTGCAGAACCATCACAACAATATAGGTAGAACTAGGCAGTAGGGAAGAAAAATAGGATATTTTGAAGAAAGACTTGGGGATATGTGTTGAAAAGGACAACTAAAAAAAAAGCCCAGGCTGGCCAATGTGGTGAAACTCTGTCTCTACTAAAAATAAAAAAATTAGCTAGGCGCGGTGGTACATGTGTAGGAGAATCGCCTCAACCTGGGAGGTGGAGGTTGCAGTGAGCTGAGATCACACGACTACACTCCAGCCTGGGCAACAGAGTGAGACTCCATCTCAAAAAAAAAAAAAATCTTGAGGGAATTGTTCTAATTCAGGGTCTTCACTAACAATGAAGGATCCTCAATAGTTAGATCTAATGTAAAATGGACCTTATAGGATAATTTATACCTTAATCCAAGTTCATTTCTTTAATAAAGGCTCGTTTAAATATATTTTAAATATCTCACCTGACTGAGAAATTTTAGTTTCCCCTTCTTCTAAGATGCTATTTTGTGAAGCTGTATTTTTTTCAGGGCTACTCATCAAAACATCCTGTGATGTAATTGAAGAATTCAGTTCCATTCCTTCCACAACATCTGAAATTCCTTCTT
Source organism: Homo sapiens (assembly GCF_000001405.40). Taxonomy (NCBI): domain Eukaryota; kingdom Metazoa; phylum Chordata; class Mammalia; order Primates; family Hominidae; genus Homo; species Homo sapiens. The sequence continues at coordinate 55,151,839 of NC_000014.9, forward strand.
TTTTGTTAGTATTAATATCATCTGCTACTCCACCAGCAAGAAGAGGCAAACTCATTCTCTCACTGGATAAACAATCCACCTTCAAGTCTGTCTTATTTACAACCTGGAAGTAAAAATGGCATTATATTTAATTATCAATTTAATTACTTGGAACAAATTTTAAAAGTCTTGTTGCTATTAAATACAAGAAAAACAGAAGGATGACATCCCGGACACAGTCTTAAGAACATTATAAATCCTACTATCCTGCTTCTTCAACAATTAGTTCAGATAATATTATAGAAATAGTATGATTGAAGGCAAGTTTCTCAGCAAGTACCTATACTCTAGCTCAGGGACTGGCAAACATTTTCTGTAAAAGATCAAATAGTAAATATTTTAGGTTTGTGAGTCACAGGGTCTCTGTCATAAGTACTCAACTCTACCACTGTATTGCAAAAGCAGCCAGATAGAATACATAAACAAATGTGTGGCTATTACAATAAAATATGATTTGTAAAAATAGGGGCCAAAGTTTGCTGATTTCTGCTCTAGTTCACTGGTTCCATATTCATTCTGATATGAGTTGAAGAATACAAAATGACACTATGGTTTTAAACAACCCAAATGTCATTGAAACAAGAACTACAATTCTACATGACTGATTTAGATTTCCAACGGAAATTCTGGGGATGCTTTACAAAGTTACTTTCTATAATGATATAAACATATGACATACTGGGCTATCTAACCACACTGGAATTGTACTTACATGATTTTCTTCAATTAAATCTGGTAATCCAGGACACTGAGCATCTTCTATGCTGCTCCTAAAGAAGAAAAAAAGCAGCATTACACTCATAAACATATTGTTATTGTTTCACTTGTATTTTGAGTCTTTCCTTTAATGATGGCAATTAGTTTAGGGAATGGATCAAACATGGAGCCTGGTGCAAGATCAGGCGTGATCCAGATAGATTAGTTTTGGACTATAGCTACTGCAGGATGGCCTTACAAACTAAATGCATTCTTCCCCAGAAAGCTCACAAGTCTGTTACCATGGTGGTCAGTCAGGGTCAGGTGGCTCTACCAGCAATACTCTGAATCTCAGCCAAATCCAGAGCTATATATTAAAGAAAAGTCAAAAAGAAGGTGACTTCTGGAGACAGAAGCAACAATTCAATTATTGTCTAGCTGGAGTTAGCTACATTTACTCGTTACTTGTTAATCCAGGTACCTGCTAAGAAACTTGACTTCAATCATACTATTTCTATAATTTTATCCGAAAGTTCAAAAAGCGGAACAGGAGTTACAATGTTCTTAAGTCTGCTGCTTGTTAACAAGTAAATGTAGCTAACTCCAGCTAGACAATAATTGAGTTAGAATACAAGGTATTCTAATCCTGAAGTTACTAGCTTGTATCTTATTAGAAATATCTGTTTTGGCCAGGCGCCTTGGCTCACGCCTGTAATCCCAGCACTTGGGAGGCAGCGGCGGGTGGATCACGAGGTCAGGAGATTGAGACCATCCTGGCTAACATGGTGAAACCCCGTCTCTACTAAAAATACAAAAAATTAGCTGGGCGTGGTGACATGCGCCTGTAGTCCCAGCTACTTGGGAGGCTGAGGCAGGAGAATCACTTGAACCTGGGAGGCGGAGGTTGCAGTGAGCCGAGGTAGTGCCACTGCACTCCAGCCTCAGCAACAGAGCGACACTCCGTCTCAAAAAAAAAAAAAAAATTTATCTCCACTTCTTTCAAGTTACTTTTTAAAAAAGATATGCTCTATTTTTCTAGTGTCCAGCTTTACTTTGCCTTTATTACACAAAGTTGCTTATTTGTATGATGCCCTTTGAGGATGTTTTGGGGAATCCAAAACATTTTTAAAGAGTACTTATGACTCAAATGCAATTATGAATCTTCTTAGCAAACAATAGTAAACTACAAGATATACAAAGTAGGCCGGGCATGGTGGCTCACGCCTGTAATCCCAGCACTTTGGGAGGCCAAGGCTGGCAGATCATGAGGTCAAGAGATCAAGACCATCCTGGCCAACATAGTGAAACCCCGTCTCTACTAAAAATACAAAAATTAGCTGGGCGTGGTGGCGCGTGTCTGTAGTCCTAGCTACTCGGGAGGCTGAGGCAGAAGAATCGCTTGAACCCAGGAGGCAGAGGTTGCAGTAAGCCGAAATCGTACCACTGCACTCCAGCCTAGGCAACAGAGTGAGACTCCACCTCCAAAAAACAAACAAAAAAATCTAGAAGCATATCTAGCCCATAACAGTTGTTCAGTACACATTAACTCCCCCCCCTTCAATATGCTCTGCCATCTGTCAAGAAAACAATCTCAAGGTACTTTCTACAAAGCCTGGTAAAAAGTGTCCATCTCTCAACCACCTTGGGGAGGCATTAGCACTGCTGCTTTGTAGATGATGAAAGTGAAGCTAAAGAGAATTAATTACTTGCCCCAAAGTTGCATAGCTAGTAAGTCACAGAGCTCTTCTCAGCTCAGAACTGTTGAGCACCAAAGTTGTAGTATGTTTAGCACCAAAGGATACCATATTGCTTCTTTTCTTCTTACTGCTGCAGAATTTACCCAACTAAACGTGACCATTTAGTATCCTGAAACCTTAAGCTTTAGTTTCCTCATTTATAAAAAGGGAGTACTGCCTATATGTTGCAGGGTCATTATGAAATTTATTAAAAATATATGTCTGGCACCTTTTACCATCTTAACAATCTGAAATGGTATTTAGTATCAGCAACTGTTAAACTCTTATTAACATGTTAAAGAAATACCTGCTTTCAGGAATACTCAAAAACAAAGTCTTCTTCACATGTTCACTTTTCGTATTCTGAGGACCGGCATTTTCTGGTGATGTAGTTTGTTGTGGAATGCCCATCTCATTTCTACTCTGAGATACAGCTTTGTTGACAGACTTAGGTGTTCCAAGTCTTTGAGAAGGGCCTTCAGAAGAGACAGAAAGTCCTAGAAGATGAGAGAAATCACCTCAATACCAAATAGTTCTTTTGCTTTTCATTATAACTAGGAATACGGTGAAAATCCTATCAATTAGCCTCTTTCTCCTGTCAAATAATGTCTGTTAAAGACAAATGCCTGGGACTTTCTGTTAAAGATAGTATTTAAATGCATATTAGATGCTGCTTCCTTTTGACATCCCACTACTTTTACATGAACAGAGATAATTTTTTTGTTGTTGTTGAGACAGAGTCTTACACTGTCACCCAGGCTGGAGTGCAGTGGTGTGATCTCTCGGCTCACTGCAACCTCCGCCTCCCAGCTTCAAGTGATTCTCTTGCCTCAGCCTCCCCAGTAGCTGGGACTACAGATGCATGCCACCACGCCTGGCTAATTTTTGTATTTTTAGTAGAGATGAGGTTTCACCATGTTGGCCAGGCTGGTCTCGAACTCCTGACCTCAGGTGATCCACCTGCCTCAGATTCCCAAAGTGCTGGGATTAGAGGTGTGAGCCACTGCGCCAGGCCTGAACAGAGATAACCTTTTTTTTTGTTTTTGTTTTTTTAGAGATGGAGTTTCATTCTTGTTGCCCAGGCTGGAGTGTAATGGCATGATCTTGGCTCACTGCAACCTCCGCCTCCTGGGTTCAAGTGATTCTCCTGCCTCAGCCTCCCGAGTAGCTGGGATTACAGGCACCCGCCACCACGCCTGGCTAATTTTTTGTATTTTTAGTAGAGATGAGGTTTCACCATGTTGGCCAGGCTGGTCTCGAACTCCTGACCTCAGGTGATCCACCTGCCTCAGCCTCCCAAAGTACTGGGATTACAGGTGTGAGCCACCGTGCCTGGACACAGATAATCTTAAAAAGCAGAACTCTACAAGGACAAAGGAAACTAAAGAAGAGATAGCAACAATAACAATATTTTGGAAGCTATAATGTAGATTGTTGAGTGGGACTTAGCAGACTCAAGAAAACTAATTCTAAGCCACCAATCAAGAAAAATGAATTGGCCGGGCGCGGTGGCTCATGCCTGTGATCCCAGCACTTTGGGAGGCTGAGGCAGGTGGATCACGGGGCCAGAAGATCGAGACCATCCTGGCTAACATGGTAAAACCCCGTCTCTACTAAAAAAATACCAAAAAATCAGCCGGGTGTGGTGGCAGGCGCCTGTAGTCCCAGCTACTTGGGAGGCTGAGGTAGGAGAATGGCGTGAACCCAGGAGGCGGAGCTTGCAGTGTGCTGAGATCGTGCCACTGCACTCCAGCCTGGGCAATAGAGTGAGACTCTGCCTCAAAAAAAAAAAAGAAAGAAAAATGAGAATCAACCCAATTTCTACCACATAACCCCTCAAAAGAACTGGTGGCTCCAAGTATCTCTGCAAGTGGAGATGAAAATGGAGCTAAACACAGAAGGAATGGCTCAAAGTCAGTTTAAACAAGAAGAGCTCAGATTCCTTTCCTCATTCTGCACAGCAAAGCAACTGTCATCACCCACCCCCATCACCAAAAACAGAAGGGTCTCTGGTTTAGAGGATACCAGATACAGTTGAGAGACAGGGTACTACATGGAAAATAAGGGAAATAAGTGAATATTTACACAAAGTGTTGAGACACTTAGCTTTCTTCCCCTACATGGCTCCTGAAAGACTGGCAGCCAGAATGATACCTTCCAGGAAGCAGATGGAAAGCATCTTCTCTGGGGAATCTGAGTAGACTATGAGAAAAGTCTTAAATGCAGTGATGTGTAGGTTCCCAGCATAATGGCCCCGCTAACAGAAGGGCCCCGAAAGTAAAGGTCCTACCCATGTGCAGAGAGTTTCCAGTCAGCTTTTTAGTGCCCTATTCTTAACCATGTGCAGGCAGTGAGAGATCACCAGATTCCCGAGGAAAGCCTCTAAATACAAGAGACAGAAACCAAAAACAACTAGATGAAAGTACCCTGAAACAAATACTGTCTATAGTGGATGAAGAAAACATAAAAGCTATCATTAATATCCTTGGAAAGATAAAACAATACACTGATGAAACAAGTGCAGAATGTTATAAAATGAACATTTGGAGAGTAAGAAAGGGCTCTTGGGAATTAAAAACATGATAGCCAGCATGAAAGTTGAGGAAATCTCCAGGAAGTAGAAGAAAACAGTAAGTACAGGAAAGAAAGATTAAAAAGTCTACCAGAAGAAAAATGTGTTTTTGAAAAAGATCAAACCTTGTCAAGAGAGATGGTGGTAAACAACAAAACTCCAGTAAGACTCCAGTAAGTCCAAAAGACTCCAGTAAGAATTGAAAGTAGTTGCTTCTAGGGATTGGCAAATGGAATGAGAAGGGCTTCTTCAGGGACTACTGTTTTGTAATTAGCCTCATATCAACTATGTGCTCTGTAACTAAAACTCAATTTTAAATGACCAATTTTTGCCATAAACCTTAATCTCCCTATCTATAAGGACTGAGTTGAGTATATGAAAGAACAGAATGATGAGCTTATAGCTGTAAAAACCACGAAGATCCTTGACAAGTAGTAGAATGGAGTCATGTTATTAGCAGTAGTGGGAGATTCCTGGGTATCCAGGGAGTGTAGCTGCTTAAAGGAAACAAAAGTACACCAGATTTGATACCTAAACTAACAAGAATATTATAATATACTTGAGGATCACTATAAATATCAGATAGCAGGTATTAGAGAACAATTTAGGTTTACTTTGAAAAAACTTCCTGGTGGACATCTATGGCTTATAAATAAATAATTTCAATTGAGATAAATTCAATTCAAGAAAAATAGTCTGTGGAAAAAAAAGCTATGACAAACACTGTGAGAAAATCACAAAAAAATGATTTCCTGAATATTAAAAACTGCTTTTACTGGAATATTTTTAAATTGGAAAATTAGTACGTTTACTACCTTTCAAAAAGATCTGAGCAAAAGTTTTAATACAAATGCAAATAAAACCAAATCCACTTTGCATAAACTTCCTTTTATTTTTTAGAGATGGAGTCTTGCTCTGTCACTCAGGCTAGAGTGCAGGGGCACAATCATAGCTCGCTGTAACCTTGAACTCCTGGGCTCAAGTGATCCTCCTGCCCCAGCCTCCCAAGTAGGTGGGACTACAGGCATGTACTGCCAGGCTCGGTTAATATTTTATTTTTTTGTAGAGAGGGGATCTCACTAAATTGCCCAGGCTGGTCTCAAACTCTTAGCTTCAAGTGATCCTCCTGCCTTGGTCTCTCAAAGTACTGGGATTATAGGCATGAACCAACACACACAGCACATAAGCTTCATTTTAAAGCACAGCTAGACAAGTGTGATAGCTGGATGCTCAAGTTTCCTTTGCATTATAAATTCTAACCAAACTTCTAACTGACCTGAAGAAAATCAGTTTACTTCTTCATGCTTCCGTCATTTCTCTTACCTCTTGGGATCCTGTGACCTTTCTCATAGACTGTAGGGTTACATGGTAATTACATTACAGATGTGAAATCACTTAGAAAGTAGAAAAGCAATCTTAGAAGACTTATCGCACTTAAACTAATCTGATCATACCCATCAAAATGTGATTTACAGTGTTTGTGAGCGAGCATAGTCTATTTTCTAAAAATCACAGAAAAACTTATGTCTCTTCATGTAAAAAACTATTTTTCACCTTACACAAGCCCCCATCTATCCCAAATATTTCTCTTAAGTAGTCTCAGGAAAAACAAAAAAAATAAAAAATCAAAAACAACTAACCTGAGAATAATTTAACAGGACTTTCAACTCTGAAAAATCCAGCATCGAACACTATTTTATCAACTTCCTTTGGTATCACAGAAACTGCTGTTTCAGCACATTCTTCCTGCCTAATTCTCTCTCTCATTGCATTTTTTATGGCAGCTAGGCGATTTCTCGCTGCAATTCTTCCAGCATCATCCTGTTTTGGTTTACTTGCTATACCTGAGACAACTTTTTTCTGCAAAGAGAAACTAACATAGTAAAGCTGCCCATTACCATCTTACAAGAAAAACACACAACAAACACAAATTCATCACTTAAAAATTTAATTTTTAAAAATAAAGTATACATAAAATATTTCACATTCATCATATATTTATCAAGTTCCTAGTATGTGCTAAAAGGTAAAAAGGTAAAGGACAGAGTTGCTGCCCTCAAGGAGTTTGCAGCTTAGTAGAAGATCTGGGAAGAATAGTAAGAAGGATAAATGTCCTGTTAGAAATAAATTTAGGGGACATCCTTTAGATTATAACCATGACACCCCCCCCCCATAAAAAAGAAAAAGCAAAAAAAGTAAATAAAAAAAAAGTAAAACATTAAAAGAAAATAAATAAGGATGACACCTAAACCAATCTTCAGGCATCAGGAAAGGTTGTAGGAAGTAGCACCTATGCTGAAACCATATTTCATCAAACTAAAAGATGGGGTGAGGCAAGTGCTAGAGAGATGTTTCCAAAGCCAGAAATGAAACAAAGAAAAGTGGATTTAAACAATAGCTAGATTATAATAAAAATCACCTGCATGTAATGGTCTTAAGAAAGTCACATTTACACAGAGGACAAGGGAACAGAGAGTTATTGGTAATTTTTAAGCAGAAGATTAACATCAAGCTGGTGTTTTAGAAAGATCACTCAGACTAAGGAGTAAGAGATGAAAAAAGTGGACAGATTCAAGAGATATTTGAAAGGTAGAATTGAGAGGACTTACTCATCTATTGGATGTGTGTGGGGTGGAGATGGTGAAATAAAGCAAGCAAAGGGTATCGCTCAAAAGGATATCTCAAAAGAGATATTGAGACTTCTATCTTGAACACCTGGTGGGATGGTAACAGCATTATGAGACAGGGCAACATTGGTGTGTGTGGAGATGCTGTCAGTTTGGGATATATTGATTTTTAAGGTATATTGAGTCATGATATATAGAATTAGAGCTTAGTAAGTGTGGTCTGCAATACAGACTTGAGAATCATCACAGGTTGGGTAAGATTGCACAGGAAAATTACGGAAGGAAAGAAGAGAGTAGAGGTAGGAATTCTAAATAACAAAAACATTTAAGGGATAAATGGAAAACAAATATGCAAATATGACTGAAGAATAGGCAAAGAAGAAGGAAATATAATTTCAAAAACAAGGAAGTAGGCCAGGTACAGTGGCTCACAACTGTAATCCCCGCACTTTGGGAGGCTGAGGCAGGAGGATCACTTGAGGCCAGGAGTTCCAGACCAGCCTGGCCAACATGGAGAAACACCAGCTCCACTAAAAATACAAAAAATTAGCTGGGCAAGGTGGCACATGCCTGTAGTCCCAGCTACTCAGGAGGCTGAGGTGGGAGATTGCTTGAACCTGGGAGGCTGAGGTTACAGTGAGCCAAGATTGTGCCACTGCACTCCAGCCTGGGCCACACACCTAGACTCTATCTCAAAAAATAAATAAAATACAAAAATAAAAATACAAGAAAAAAAGTTAGCTGGGCGTGGTGGCACACGCCTGTAATCCCAGCTACTTGGGAGGCTGAGACATGAGAACAGCTTGAACCTGGGAGGCAGAGGTTGCAGTGAGCCGAGATGGCGCCACTGTACTCCAGCCTGGGCAACACAGCAAGACTCTATATAAAAAAAAAAAAAAAGTAGACCATATTTAATACTGCAGAAAGGTTAGATTTATTTACTACTTTTTGTTATTTTTGAGAGAGTCTTGATGTGTCGCCCAGGCTGGAGTGCAGTGGCATGATCTCGGTTCAATGTAACCTCTGCCTCCCGGGTTCAAGTGATTCTCCTACCCCAGCCTCCTGAGTAGCTGGGATTACAGGCGCCCGCCACCATGCCTGGCTAATTTTTTATTTTTAGTAGAGACAGGGTACACCATGCTGGCCAGGCTGGTCTTGAACTGACCTCAGGTGATCTGCCTGCCTCAGCCTCCCAAAGTGCTGGGATTACAGGCTTAAGCCACCACGCCTGGCCTAGAAGAGTTAGAATTTAAAATTAAGTGCCTAATAACTTAAGCAACTAGTGGATTAATAATTTAGATAACTATTCTAAAGTTATAGGGGGGTAAAACTGAATTGCAATGAGTTGGAGAAATAAAGGAACAAAAATAATAGAGTATAGAAAACATTTTAGGATGCTTGTCAGTGACTGGATAGAAAGAAAAAATGGGGGTGTACAAGTAATTAAAGGGAGAAGCAGACACCACAGGTTTGTTTTAATGTAAACAATGATAAGACACTTAAACATGTTTAAAGACTGATGGAAAAAAGGGAGGAAAGGAAAACAAGACTAACTGATGGAATGAGGGATTAATAAATAAGAGGTAGTAGGGAGTGGTATCCAAGTATAGTATAAAAGATTAGCTTTGTTTGATAATCTTAAAGGTAGCCTATAAAATAAAGTAGGAGAGAGACACCTGGTGATAACAGGCAGAATTACAAATCTCTATAGGACATAGCCATGATCTGCATCACTGATGATATTAATATTTCCAGGACTAAATCCTTAATAAGAAATACCCACAGTAGCTTTAATAATGAAGTAGCATCCTTCACTATTTAGTAGTTTTGAAATCCATTCAATCAATTTAGTCACTGTCCTCAGGGTCCTTGTCATGAGACTTTATTAGTAAAAAAAAAATTTTTTTTTTTTTTTTTTTTGAGACTGAGTTTTGCTCGTTGCCCAGGCTGGAATGCAATGGCGTGATCTCAGCTCACCACAACCTCTGCCTCCCAGGATCAAGTGATTCTCCTGCCTCAGCCTCCTGAGTAGCTGGGATTACAGGCATGCGCCACCTCGCCCAGCTAATTTTTGTATTTTTAGTAGAGACGGGGTTTCTCCACGATGGTCAGGCTGGTCTCGAACTCCCGACCTCAGGTGATCTGCCCGCCTCAGCCGCCCAAAGTGCTGGGATTATAGACGTGAACCACTGTGCCTGGCCTAGTAAAATATTTTTTAAGGCCGAGCGCAGTGGCTCATGCCTGTAATCCCAGCACTTTGGAGGCTGAGGCAGGAGAATCACTTGAACTCAGGAGTCAGAGGTTGTGGTGAACCAAGGTCACGCCACTGCACTCCAGCCTGGGCAAAAAGAGCCAAACTCTGTCTCAAAAAAAAAAAAAAAAAAAAAAAAAAGAATTTTTTAAAAATAAGGTTTAAAAAACAATACTTTAACAAGTTAAACTCTTAAGATAGGATTTAAGACAGTTTTTATTTGGATTACATAGTATAATAAAATACCAATCTAGACAACCTGAGTTTATAACTACAGGCATTTTTCTCATATCATAAAGAAAAACTGACAATGCTTAGTTTGAAAAGTGTCCACCCAAACCAAAAACTTTGAATTCAAAAACATTACTAGAAAGATAATTACTAGAAACAAGAACAAAATCTGTCATGTTAACAAAGCACAAGAATAACAGCATCCATTTCATACGACTGTTGTAAGGATTAATATATATAAAGTAATTGGAATAATATTTGACACATACTAAGCATTATATAAGTTACCTACTACTATTACTATTATAACAAAATGTGTAAGTACAGTTTAAAGAATAAAACCTTTAGGCCGGGCACGGTGGCTCATGCCTGTAATCCCAGCACTTTGGGAGGCCGAGGTGGGTGGATCATGAGGTCAGCAGATGGAGACCATCCTGGCTAACACAGTGAAACCCCGTCTCTACTAAAAATACAAAAAATTAGCCGGGTGTGGTGGCTGGCGCCTGTATTCCCAGCTACTTGGGAGGCTGAGGCAGGAGAATGGCGTGAACCCGGGAGGCGGAGCTGGCAGTGAGCTGAGATCACGCCACTGTACTGCAGCCTTGGTGATAGAGCGGGATTCCATCTCAAAAAAAAAAAAAGAAGAAGAAGAATAAAACCAACACTCATATATCCAGTATGTGGTAACTTAGAAGCCCTCTGGGTACCCCAATTCAATCACAGCCCCTCCTTTCTTCTCTCTAGACATAACTATCCTAAATTTTATGTTGATCGATTTCCTTGCTCTTTCTTCAAAGGCAATCAAGTACACTCTAAGTAGTATAAAGACTTAACTTTGTAAAATAATGAGAAATCTAAACCTAAATGTTTTTAAAACTTAAAAACAAGAAGTAGAAGAATCTATATTAGAAATTTGGATGTATGTATAACAGTTCCTTAACTAAAAAAAAAAAAATTGGATATAAAACCCACAAACTTACCCTAAAGACATTTTTGTTCATATTATGATTCATATTATTATTGACTTGCCACCCAGATTCCTCAAGTTTGATCAGATTGTTGAATTTGTGGATTACATCTTCTATCTGTTAATAAAGCACAAGTTTACCAGATTAATGCTAGCCATATTAAAGTTATAAACGAATGAGCTGAAGACTAAAAAAAAATTAAAAATAGTGATTCAGAAATGATGAGTTATTAAAACTGGACTGAGTCATTCTCAATTTAGTGTTCAAATAATTTTTATGGTAAAGTTTTTCATTATCTTTCGTCTTACAAACCTCCAAAATCTACATAAAGAATATCATACATGAATAACTCTCCTAGATTATTTTTGACTAAAATGCTAAAATGGTAGAAAAGATATCCTAAATGTTGTTTCTTAAATTACACAATGTGAACACAATCTAATTTTTTTTTTATTTATCCATTCCTCCACTGAAGGACATCTTGGTTGCTTCCATGTTTTGGCAATTATGAATAAAGCTGCTATATTGCTAAAAACATCCGTGTGCAGGTTTTTATATGGACATAAGTTTTCAACTCATTTGGAGCGCAATTGCTAGATCGTATGGTAGGAGTATGTTTAGTTTTGCGAGTGACTGCCAAACTGTCTTCTAAAGTGGATATAACATTTTGCATTCCCATAGGCAATGAATGGAAAGTTCGTATTGCTCCATACCCTCCCCAGCACTTGCTGTTGGCAGTGTTTTGAATTTTCACTGTTCCCTAGTAGGTATGTGGTAGTATCTCACTGTTGTTTTGATTTGTAGTTCACTAATGACATATGATGTTGAGCATCTTTTCATATGCGTATTTGCCATCTGTATATCTTCTATGGTGAGGTAACTGTTCAGGTCTTTTGCCCATTTTTAATTGGGTTGTTCGTTTCCTTCTTGCTGGGTTTTAAGAGCTCTTTGTATCTTTTGGATAACAGTCTTTTATCAGATACATCTTTTGCAAATATTTCTCCGAATCTGTGCCTTGTCTTCTCATTTTCTTGACATAATCTCATTTTAAAAGATACAAGTGTATTTAATAGGATGGAAATATAATCCCCATCTTTCTGATACTTCCAGTCTCCTACGAAGAGTTACGCCACTGACAACAGTTTGGTAACCATGCTTTTAGTCTCCATGCTATGCACTTATACACACATATCCTCTTAGCTTTGCTCTCCCTCAAAAATATGTAAATGTCTCTGGGCACTGTGGCATATGCCTATAATCCAAGCTACTTGGTAGGCTGAGGCAGGGGGATTGCTTGAACCGAGAAGGTCGAGACTAGCCTGGGCAACAAGGCAAGACTCCATCTCAAAGGAAAAAAAAAAGTAAATGTCAAAATGACTCAGAATTACACTCATGACCAACTGATTTTCAACAAAGGTGCCAATACAATTCAGCGGGGAAAAGACAGTCTTTTCAACAAACAGTGCTGGGAAAATTGGTTATCCATAAGCAAAAAGATGAATTTAGACTCACAATCTCATACCATACACAAAAACTAACCAAATGGATCATAGACTTAACTGTAAGTACTAAAACCGTAAGACTGTTAGGAGAAAACACAGGAGAAAATCTTTGTGACTTGTGGTTAGGTAAGAGTTCTTAGATGTGGTGTCAAAATCACAACATAAAAGAAAAAAAAAATGGCCGGGTGCAGTGGCACACCCCTGTAATCCCAGGACTTTGGGAGGCAGAGGCAGGTGGATCACTTGAGGTCAGGAGTTCAAGACCAGCCCGGCCAACGTAGTGAAACCTCATCTCTACTAAAAATACAAAAATTAGCCAGGCATGGTGGCATGCACCTGTAATCCCAGCTATTCGGGAGGCTGAGGCATGAGAATTGCTTGAACCCGGAAGGCAGAGGCTGCAGTGAGCCGAGATCATGCCACTGCACTCTAGCCTGGGCGACAGAGTGAGACTCTGTCTCAAAAAAAAAAAAAAAAGAGAAATTTGATAAATTTAACTTTAAAATAAAAATATTTGCACTTCAAAACATGCCATTAAGAGGATTAAAAGTCAAGCTACAAACTCAAAGAATATTTGCAAATAATATTTCTCATAAGGGACTTTTATCCAGAATACATAAAGAATACTTAAAACTCAATAATAAAGACAATGAAATTTAAAAATGGGTGCAAAAGATTTACACAGACATCTCAGTAAAAGATACATGAATGGCGAATAAGCTCACAAAAAGATACTTAATATCATTACTCATTAGAGAAATTCAAATCAAAACTACAATGAGGTCAGGCATGGTGACACCTGTAATCCTAGCATTTTGGGAGGCTGAGAAGGGTGGATCGCTTGAGCTCAGGAGTAAGACCTGGCCACCTGGGTAACATGATGACACCCCACCTCTACAAAAAAATATAAAAATTAGCCAGTCGTGGTGGCACATGCCTGTAGTCTCAGCAACTTGGGAGGCTGAAGCAGGAGGGTTGTTTGAGCCCAGGAAGTGGAGGTTGCAGTGAGGTGAGATTGTGCCAATGCACTCCAGCCTGGGTTGACAGAGCGAGACCCTGACTTAAAAAACAAAAAAAAAAACCCCAAAAAAACCCTACAATGAGATACCTCATACCCACTAGGATGGCTATGCAACAATTCCCCCTTATCTTCAAAGAATCTGTTCCAAGACCCCCAGGGGATGCCTGAAATGCAGATAGTACTGAACCCTATATATATGTTTTTTCCTATTCATACATACCTATGATAAAGTTTCATTTATAAATTAAGCATAGACATCAATCAACAATAAAATAGAACAATTATAACAATATTCCGTAATAAGTTATATGAATGTGGTCTCTCCTCCCTGCCAAATATCTTATTGTACTATACCTCAGGTAACTAAAACCACAGAAAGCAAGACTGCTGATAAGGGGGGGCTACTATAATAAAAAAGACAATAAGTATTAGTGAGGATGTCGAAAAACAGAACACTCATACATTGTTGGTGGGACTGTAAAATGGTATAATCACTTTGGAAAATAGTTTGGGCAGTTTCTTAAAAAGTTAAACATAAATTTACAATATGACCTACCAATATCTAGGCATCTGCCCAAGAGAAATTTAAAAAGATACATCCACACTAAGATTTGTGTGGAAATATTCACAGGTTATTCATAATCACCAAAAAGTGGAAGCAATTTAAATGACCATCAATTGGTGAATAGTGATATATCCATACAATGGAAAACCACTCAGCAGTAAAAAGGTGTGAAGTACACAAGGCAAGCTACAATATGGATAAAACTCAGAAAGATGCTAAGTGAAAGAAGCCAGATGCAAAAGACCACCATAAGGTATGATTCTATTTATATGAAATATCCCAAAAAAAGGCAAATCTACAGAGACAGTAAGTAGATTAGTGGTTGCCTAGGTCTAGGAGTAGAAATGGGGATTGACTGCAAACAGGCAGGAGGCATCTTTTTATACTGATGAAAATGTTCTGGCTGGGTGTACTGGCTCACACCTGTAATCCCAGCACTTTGGGAGGCCGAGGCGGGTGGATCACTTGAGGTCAGGAGTTTAAGACCAGCCTGACCAACATGGTGAAACCCCGTCTCTACTAAAAATACAAAATTAGACAGGCACGGTGGCACATGACTGTAATCCCAGCTACTTGGGAGACTGAGGCAGGAGAATCGCTTGAACTCAGGAGGCACAGGTTGCAGTAAACTGAGATTGTGCCATTGCACTCCAGTCTGGGCAACAAGAGTGAAACTCCATCTCAAAAAAAAAAATACATATATATATTCTAAATTTGGATTGTGGTGATGGTTGCATAACTCTGTAAATTTACTAAAAATGATTGAACTGTACATTTCAAATGAATGAATTTTATCATATGTAAATTATACCTCATATAGCTCTTTTGTGTTTAAAAAAAAAAAAAAAAGTGCCCCAATGGCCAACTTGAAGTGGCTCCCACTAAGCCAAAGCTGGGAAATGAGCATCAGTCAAGATAATGACTATAGGCCAGGCACAGTGGCTCACACCTGTAATCCCAGCACTTTGGGGGCCGAGGCAGGCAGGTCACTTGAGGTCAGGAGTTTAAGACAAGCCTGACCAACATGGCGAACCCCATCTCTACTAAAAATACAAAAATTAGCCTGGCGTGGTGGTGGGCATCTGTAATCCCAGCTACTCGGGAGGCAGAGGCAGGAGAATCGCTTGAACCCAGGAGGCAGAGGTTACAGTGAGCCAAGATCACGCCACCGCTCTCCAGCCTGGGTGACAAAGCAAGACTCCATCTCAAAAAAAAAAAAAAAAGACTATAAACAATGTAAACATATCATACTTTTAAATCTGCAACTAATAATGATACAAAAATCACCACAGAATCTAACAATCAGAATTGAAGGGTGCTAGTGAACCAACTATTATGAAAACTGGTAAATATATAAAAACTCATCATAAAGTAATGCTTAATTATGACTAAACACTATTCATGTCTGGGCCATACAGCTGCTGAGATTCCATTTCCTTCCTCACAACGTTTTCTTTAGACTTAATAATTGTTTTGCTTTTTGTTTGCTCAGGGTTTTGGTTTGGTTGAGACAGGGTCTCGCCTCTTTCTGGGAATGGAGCCCACTCTCCTCTTTTCTTGGGTAACTCTCTCATCTTTGTGAAGGACATTCTCATTTTCCTGAGAAAGGGTACATGGAAGGAGGTGAACTTTGAGATCTTGTGTGTCTGAAAATTGCCTTTCCACCCTCATGCTTGATTGGTTCGGTATAGAAATCCAGGTTGGAAGTTAATTTCCCTCAGAATTTTCAGAGTATTGTTCTAGTTCATAATATTGCTGTTGAGAGATCAATGCTACTCTAACCATTGATGCTTTGTATAAAATTTGTTTTCTTTCCCTGGATGCTTTAGCCTACCCTCTTTATCCCAGAGTTACATAACAGTATCTAATTATGTAAGTTGCTGTGGGTCTACTCAGTGCTAAACACTCAACAGGCTCCTTCATTGTTCACTTGCTCCCCAATTTTTTTTTCTGTTCTCTTTTTCTGGAATTCCTATAATTTGGCTATATTTCCTGGACTGGTCCATGTAATTTTCTTATCTAATCTCTTCTGTCTTACAGCTTGTACTACAGGCATGTGCAACCATGCCTGGCTAAGTTTATTTTCTGTAGAGATGGGCTCTCACTATGTTGCGCAGGCTGGTCTTGAACTCCTGGGCTCAAGTGATCCTCCCATCTCAGCCTCCCAAAGTGCTAGGATTACAGGCTTGAGCCACTGTGCCTGGCTGAGATTTCCTTAACTTCATATTCTACCTATTGTATCTTACATTTCTGTTCTCATATTGCTTAACTTCAAAGAGCTATTTATTCTCTGAATGTTCTTTTTCTAACAGGTATTTTTACTTGACAGATGAAACGTCTGGTCTCTTTGAGAATATGAATACTTGCATTTAAAAGTCCATCCAAATAGCTCTCTTCCTAGATGTTTGCTTTGGCCTTTTTCTTTTAGGTTTGAAGCTTTTTTCAATGTCTATTGTTGGCTGTTGGTTCTTGAAATGCTATTTTATATGCTTATTTCTAAAATAAGTTCAAAACGCTAGAGTCATCTTCCCCCATACCTTTACTGATCTTCCTAGTAACTTCTTCTATCACAGCAATTTATATGTTAGAATTATATTTTGTATCTCAGTCACTAATCAAATTACAAACTCCTCTGGGACAGGGAATGCACTATTTTATCAACTCCTAATACAATACTCCTAACACAATAAGAGATTAATACAATACGGGCACACAACAGGAACTCAGTAACTGTTAGCTGAACTCAACTACCAAAGGCCAGTTGACTCATTTCTCACAGGTCGAATCATTATAGACTATTAAAGAGTTGAAAATAATTTCAGTTTTCAACCTATATAGAAATTATCCTGGCCGGGCGCGGTGGCTCATGCCTGTAATCCTAGCACTTTGGGAGGCCGAGGTGGGTGGATCACGAGGTCAGAAGATCGAGACCATCCTGGCTAACACGGTGAAACTCCGTCTCTACTAAAAATACAAAAAATTAGCCAGATGAGGTGGCAGGCGCCTGTAGTCCCAGCTACTCGGGAGGCTGAGGCAAGAGAATGGTGTGAACCTGGGGGGCAGAGACAGCAGTGAGCCGAGATCACACCACTGCACTCCAGCCTGGGTGACAGAGTGAGACTCCGTCTCAAAAAAAAAAAAAAAAAAAAAATTATCCTGAGAATATATGGGAGAAGAGGACATCAGTCATAAAATTTAGATCATGTTTTACAGTTTATCAAAGTGCTTTATAACATCTTATTTAATATTACAGGTACATAAGCAGCTACTATTACCCCATTTTACTCCTGCTACTTAAAAAAAAAAAAAAAAAAGCCCTAAGTTAATATATTTGAAATATTGAACCACATACCTGAAAACTAACCATATCCCAAAATCCATCCAGATCTGTACAGGTAGTCTCCTTTATACCTCGTTTATATTCACAATCATCAACCAGTCCTTCAAACTGTTTAAACCTTTCCTTCATAAGGAGTCTTGTTTGACCAACTGCTGTGCGAATAAGATCTTTAGCTGAAGGAAATAAGAGATTTTTTAAAATTAAAGGACAAAACGGGACATTCATTGCAAGTCAGCCCACTGATAAGACTTCACTCCAAACATCCTAGGGCCTACAGGTTGTTAAGCAAAACAAAAAATATCTACCACAAAACTTTGTCATACAAATACTGAGTACTAACTATTTGCTTCAATTCCTGCTCAAAATTAACAATATTTTCTCATACATATTGCTATATACTAAATAGCATTCTACTTCTTGTTGTACTTTATAAGAACTCAACGTCAGCCGGTGTGGTGGCTCATGCCTGCGGGCGCGGTGGCTCATGCCTACAATCCCAGCACTTTGGGAGGCCAAGGTGGGCGGCTCACCTGAGGTCAGGAGTTCGAGACCAGCCTGGCCAACATGGTGAAACCCCATCCCTACTAAAAATACAAAAATCAGCTGGGCCTGGTGGCAGGCACCTATAATCCCAGCCACTTGGGAGGCTGAGGCAGGAGAATCGCTTGAACCCAGGAGGCAGAGGTTGCAGGGAGCCGATATGGCGCCATTGCACTCCAGCCTGGGCAACAAGAGCAACACTCATCTTAAAATAATAATAATAATAAATAAATTAAAAAAAAAAAACTCAACGTCAAACAACTCACTGCAAATAATTATCTAAGAAGGACTTCATACTGACAGCACATAATTTTTTCTAAACAGCTTCCCAAATAAATCAGATTAAGAAACTCTTCAGAAAATCTTTTCCATATTGATTTAGGTAATTTTCATTCAGAGTATATTTTTGTGTAAACAATATCAGATATCAATTGATATCACCCATAAAGTCATATTTAAAAAGCTAATAATATTCACTGTTACTTGCTTGGTTGGTTAGAAAAATGTCTAAGTCAAAGGAACGACAGTCAATATTCTAATTACTTACATCTTTTAAGTTATATACCATTTTAGCACAGATGTTAGGGAACATATGTTGAGATATGAAAAACACTTGCTACTTTATTGTAGACATCAAGTTAAAAAAGAAAAAATTCTTGCTACTTTGAATGATAATGAAACAATAAAGTTAGGCAATGCTATATTTTTATGTTTCAGATAAACGTAACCATAGTAAAAGAAACAAAGCAAACAAAAAATACAAATGTTGCCTCACCATCATCTGGAATGTCCAATTCAAGTTTCCTGTCCCACTCGAAGCAATGTGAAGTTAATTTCTCAGTTTCTGACTGGAGGATATTTCTAAAATTATGACATACATTTCAGTTCTACAAGTGGTTTTTACACTAGTAGCTAAGTATTAGCATAACATCATGATACATAACATTAGGAAGTTATAAAAGGGAGCCACAATATTTTCCCAAAGTTGATACTGAATTATTTATAAACTGTGATATATTAAAATCCATAAATACAAGTTGATACCCTTTGTATGTACATCCTTTTATACCTAAAACTTATGTGGCTGGATAATACCAAGAACCTACTTTTTAAGCTAACATTTCTAGTTTGTTCTGTTCTTTTTCAGAGGTTGATCAAAGTCAGACATTCCTAAATGTGCATCAGATTCTCAGCATTGTCTATGAAACTAAAGCCAACTCAACTGTCAAGAGTAAATTAAAGCTAAAAACTGTTAATCCCAGGATTATAGTGATGGGGCCTCACAGATCCTAATTATTAGGCTTTGCTTGCTTAAAGGTAGTGGTTCTCAACTGGGTCAATTTTGCCCCATTCTAGGGAACATTTGGTGGTGTTTGGAAATATTTTTGATTGTCATGACTGGAGGAGTGCTACTGGCCAGGGATGCTACAAAACATCCTACGATGTATAGGATATATACCCACAACAAGTATACAATCTAAAATGTCAATAATGCTAAGATTGAGAAACCCAGGCCTAAAAGAAGTTTAATTTGTGTCTATGGAAAAAGTATCCTAGCATGTAGAGAAACTGGAACCCTTGTATGCTGTTGATGGGAATGTAAAACGGCAAAGCCACTGTAGAAAACAGTATGGCAGCTCCTCAAAAAATTAAAAATAGACTTACCACACAACCCAGCAATTCTACTTCTGGGTATACACCCAAGATAATTTAGAGCAGGGTCTCAAAGAGGTATTTGTACACCCATGTTCATAGCTGTTCACAACAGTTAAAACATGGAAGCAACCCAAGTGTCCACTGACAGACAAAGGGATAAGCAAAATGTGGTATATACATACAATGAAATATTATTCGGCCTTAAAAAGGAAAGTCTGACACATGCTACAATGAATGAACCTTGAGGACATTATGCTAAGTGAAATAAGCCAGTAAAACAAGACAAATACTACATAATTCTACTTAAATAAGATACTTAGCAGAGTCAAAATCAGAGACAGAAAGTAGAATGGTATTTACCAGGGGCTAGGAGGGAATGGCTGAGGAATGGGGAGTTATTTTTTAGTAGGTACAGAGTTTCAGGCACCTACCACCACGCCCAGATAATTTTTGTATTTTTAGTAGAGATGGGGTTTCACCAAGTTGGCCAGGCTACTAGTCCTGAACTCCTGACCTCAGGTGATCTGCAAGCCTCAGCCTCCCAAAGTGCTGGGATTACAGGTGGGAGCCACCGAACCCGGCAGGTTTTGTTTCTTTAAAAAAAAAAAAAAAAATTTAGGGCCAGACTCAGTGGCTCATGCCTGTAATTCCAGCCAGCACTTTGTGAGGCTGAGGCAGGCAGATCACTTGAGCCTAGGAGTTCCAGACCAGCCTGGGAAACATGGCGAAAACCAATCTCTACTTAAAAAAAAAAATACAAAAAAAAAAAAAAGTATTTAAAAGATAAATGAAAATCACCTAACATCAGTTTCCCTCCACTGTATTAAGGTTATAAATATTTTAGTTTTGGTTTTAAATGTCTAGATATTAGTACAAAATTCTTTATTTTTATTTTTTTTAAATACAAAATTCTTACGCTAGAAACAGACATAGTCCCAGCTCCTCAGGAGGCTGAGGTGGGAGGTCGGGAAGTCAAGGCTGCAGTGAGCCAAGAGCGAGACACTGCACTCCAGCCTGGGTGACAGAGTGAGACCCTGTCTCAAAAAACAGAAACAAAAACAAAAAATTTGAGTTGTTCATATTCAATGACACAACATGACGATTAATAAGGAGGCAGAGGGTCGGGCACGGTGGCTCTCGCCTGTAATACCAGCACTTTGGGAGGCTGAGGCAAGCGGATCACAAGGTCAGGAGTTCGAGACCAGCTTGACCAACATGGTGAAACCCCGTCTCTACTAAAAATATAAACATTAGCTGGGTGTGGTGGCACACGCCTGTAATCCTGGCTACTCAGGAGGCTGAGGCCTGAGAATTGCTTGAACCTGGGAGGCAGAGGTTGCAAAGAGCCAAGATCGCGCCATTGCACTCCGGCCTGGGCAACAGAGCGAGACTCCGTCTCAAAAAAAAAAAAAAAAAAAAAAAGAAGAGATAGCAGAAATGGTTTAGTTCTGACATTATCTAGTTAGGTAGATTGCTTAATATTTCAATAACTCAGTGGAATGACACAATGGATTAGCTACCTCTAAAATCCCTTATAATTCTAAAACCCAGTGCTCTAAAAAAGAAATTAAGCTGGACATAGTGGCTCATGCCTGTAATCCTAACAGTATGGGAGGCTGAGGCAAAAGGATCGCTTGAGCCTGTGAGTTCGAGACCAGCTTGGGCAATATCATAAGACCCCCGTCTCTACAAAAAAAAAAAAAAACAAAAAAAAAAACACACACACACCAAAATTAGCCACCCACTGGCAGGAGGATGGCTTGAGCTCAGGACAGAGAGGCTGCGGTGAGCTGAGATCACATCACTGTACTCCAGCCTGGGCAACAGAGTGCAACCATTTCAAAACAAAAGAAAAGAAAGAAATGAAGTCACTCTCAAAAAGTATATTTATAATAGAACAAATGAATAGTAAAACTATAATGAGATACTTACTTCTCATCTATTTGATTTGCAAACAGAATAGTGTGTATTGTATGATATTGTCTCTCTCTATAGATATATGTTGTCTCTCTCTCTCTCTCTATATATATATATACATGTTGCAGGAAGTCAGGGACCCCAAACGGAGGGACTGGCTGAAGCCATGGCAGAAGAACGTGGATTATGAAGATTTCATGGACATTTATTAGTTCCCCAAATTAATACTTTTGTAATATCTTATGCCTGTCTTTACTGCAATCTCTAAATATAAATTGTAAAGATTTCATGGACACTTATCACTTCCCCAGTCAATACCCTTGTGATTTCCTATGCCTGTCTTTACTTACTTTAATCTCTTAATCCTGTCAGCTGAGGAGGATGTATGTCACCTCAGGACCCTGTAATAACTGTATTAACTGCACAAATTGTACAGCATGTGTGTTTGAGCAATATGAAATGTGGGCACCTTGAAAAAACAGGATAACAGCGATTGTTCAGGGAATAAGAGAGATAACCTTAAACTCTGGCCGCCGGTGAGCCGGGCGGAACAGAGCCATATTTCTCTTCTTTCAAAAGCAAATGGGAGAAATATCACTGAATTCTTTTTCTCAGCAAGGAACATCCCTGAGAAAGAGAATGCGCACCTGGGGGTGGGTCTCTTAACTGGCCCCCTGGGCGTGGCCGTCTCTTACTGTCGAAACTGCAGGGGTGAAATAGACCCCAGTCTCCCATAGCGCTCCCAGGCTTATTAGGAAGAGGAAATTCCCGCCTAATAAATTTTGGTCAGACTGGTTGATCTCAAAACCCTGTCTCCTGATAAGATGTTATCAATGACAATGGTGCCCGAAACTTCATTTAGCAATTTTAATTTCGCCCTGGTCCCGTGATCTCACCCTGCCTCCACTTGCCTTGTGATATTCTATTACCTTGTAAAGTACTTGATGTCTGTGACCCACACCTATTCGCACACTCCCTCCCCTTTTGAAAATCCCTAATAAAAACTTGCTGGTTTTTGCAGCTTGTGGGGCATCACGGAACCTACCGACATGTGATGTCTCCCCCGGATGCCCAGCTTTAAAATTTCTTTTTGTACTCTGTCCCTTTACTTCTCAAGCTGGCCAATGCTTAAGGAAAACAGAAAAGAACCTACGTGAATATCAGGGCAGATTCCCCGATATATATATGTATATAGATATATATATATTTTGAGATGGAGTCTCACTCTGTTGCCAGGCTGGAGTGCAGTGGTGCAATCTTGGCTAACTGCAACCTCCGCCTCCCAGGTTCAAGCAATTCTCCTGCCTTAGCCTCATGAGTAGCTGGGACTACAGGCGTGCACCACCACGCCCGGATAATTTTTACAGTTTTAGTAGAGATGGGGTTTCACCATGTTAGACAGGATGGTCTCGATTTCTTGACCTTGTGATCCACCCACCTCGGCCTCCCAAAGTGCTGGGATTACAGGCGTGAGCCACCGCGCCCAGCCTATTGTCCATATTTTTTAAAAAAGAAAAAAATGTACATGTTATATTTGTCTACATATGCATGAACTATCCATGGAAGTATTCACAAGAAATGAGTAACACTTGCCTTCATGAAAGGTTCAAACTATGTGGTTGGGTCACAGTGCTGAGAAGAAGTCTTCTCACTTGTACCTTTTCCTACCCTTTGAATTAGGAACCACATGAATGTACTAGTTATCAAAAAAATAATTAAAATTTAAACGTGAAAATCACCTAACACCAGTTTTCCCCCACTATATTAAGGTTAAAAATTTTTAGTTTTGGTTTTAAATGTCTAGATATTAATACAAAATTCTTACACTAGAAACACACAGACATACCTGAAATATGGCACACCATGGTGGGGCTGAGCAATTCGACCTTCATTTCTTTCAAGTGATGGGACTTCTTTTATTGGAAGGCCATTTAAATTTTTAGTAGTAGCTTCATTTTTATTTAAAACATGTTCTATAAATTAAAGAAAATCTTACATATAAATTTCAAAGCAACAATTCCTAAAATGACAGCCCCTAAAAAGACATTTTAAAAATCCTTTTCAATGTTTAATTTTAAAATTTTATTTCTGCCTCAATCACTTCACATTTCCTCTAAAGTAGCTCTCAATATTTTTTCTTTAAATTTACATTTATTTCCCCTCTTCTGTCTGTATTCTTCATTCCAATATTCTCTTCAGATATCTTTACCCATGCTTTCCCGTCTTTTCTGACCCTGAGTTCACATCCCCAAATGATATGGTGAAAAAGAGCTCCAAACAAATCTGACAAGTAATAATCCAGAAAAGTAAAAATGTAATTACTATACCTGAAAGCAAAATATTTTTTGTATTAACATTATTCTAAAAAATGAATAAATTAATTAAATACTATACCTTCATGCCAAACAGTTAGAGGACCCAAAGGACATGGCAATTTATTTGAATCTTGCTGTATTGTCTTGGTAGAGTAAGTTTTACATTTTTGTGCCAAAATTTCTTTTGTTGCTTGAGACTCATCACTAAAAACAATAGCAAAAATATACTTCATGAAACATGAACTCCATATATCTAATATAAAGGGTTTCAAAATTGTGTCACTTGTAGATCTGGGCTAAAATAGAAATGTTTCTATTTTTTTAAAATGTGTATTCTGGAGGGGAGAAAATGTAAACACCTATAGTGTGAATGTCCATTTTTACTAATTAATTGTAATCAGATTCAAAGATTTTGAAGATTTCTTAATGGAACATAAACACTTAACAGTCTTAGATGCTGCTGAGCAGTTTTTAGTATATTTGCTGCCAGCCAGTCTTTGCAAAATGATCTTGCCTTTTCTTTTAAAGGTTCCAACTGATTTTTCCCTTGTTTTGCAAATTAATCATTTTTGTCTTCAGGGCCAGTTTTTCTAAATACTAAGCCAGAAGAAAATGAGGAAAAAGTCGTATCTGAGCTAAAGCAGTATAGCAATTTTCTTCTTTTGAAAAATGTATGTGTTATAATTAAGTCATTTATTAAAAACAAAAAACCCAAATTGTATAGTGAAAATAACAATGCATAGGAAATATAAAAACTGTCAATTACATTATTGTACCTTCTGAAGAATTTTTTTTAAAGAAAAAAATTGCATGATTCCTAATTAACACAGTTCACTAATAATAACTTTTTAAGAGCATAGACCAAATATAAGAAAGACATTTGGCCGGGCGCGGTGGCTCACGCCTGTAATCCCAGCACTTTGGGAGGCCGAGGCGGGCGGATCACGAGGTCAGGAGATCGAGACCATCCTGGCTAACATGGTGAAACCCCGTCTCTACTAAAGATACAAAAAATTAGCCGGGCGTGGTGACGGGCGCCTGTAGTCCCAGCTACTTGAGAGGCTGAGGCAGAAGAATGGCGTGAACCCGGGTGGCGGAGCTTACAGTGAGGGGAGATCACGCCACTGCACTCCAGCCTGGGCGACAGAGCGAACTCCGTCTGAAAAAAAAAAAAAAAAAAAAAAAAAAAAGAAAGGCATTTATTACCCATCTTAGCAAGAGACTTATTATTAAGATCATATTCTTACACTTCTGTTTTTAAAGGAGTCCAGGTGTAACTGGGTGTCAAAAAAGCATTGGCACTTCTGGGAGTCATAGGTGTTACTTGATAGGTCTTCAGACCATCCAGTGGCTGAAACATAAAATCCTTAGGTGCAAAGGAATTCTTCCCTTTTATTTTTGCAGTATTTATCTCAGGTAAGTTTTCCATTTTTGATAAGACTCCATCTGGATTCATTCCACTTGTTGCATTAGTTTGTGAATTCAAAGTATTTTCTTCACTATCGACTTTACAAGAAATACCCTAGGATGTGAGTTAACAAAGTAGAGTAAGATTTCTCTCTTCTGAGGATATATTCAACCAATTTTTATAGGTCTGAAAATATGACAACAGAAATATATGTTCTATGTACATAATTTGAGAGACAAAAACAGATACAATTAAGTGTATACATGGAATCAGAAGACCAGTTACGCTAAATCCATTGCTATTACCCGGGAATAGAATCTTTTTTTTTTTTTTGATACGGAGTAGCCCTCCGTCGCCCAGGCTGGAGTGCAGTCGCGCGATCTCGGCTCCCTGCAAGCTCCGCCTCCCGGGTTCACGCCATTCTCCTGCCTCAGCCTCCCAAGTAGCTGGGACTACAGACGCCCGCCACCACGCCCGGCTAATTTTTTGTATTTTTAGTGGAGACGGGGTTTCGCTGTGTTAGCCAGGATGGTCTCAATCTCCTGACCTCGTCATCCGCCCGCCTAGGCCTCCCAAAGTGCTGGGATTACAGGCGGGAGCCACCGCACCCACCCCGAACCAATTCTTATTTAAAGACTAACTAATACCTTTTGGGTATTACAACAAATTAAAAGATAATGGAAAATTAATATGGAAAAACTTATTCAACAAATACGTATCTTTTTACTTAAATTATGTTGATAATTACGGCCAGGCACGGTGGCTCATGCCTGTAATCCCAGCACTTTGGGAGGCTGAGGCGGGCGGATCACAAGGTCGGGAGATCGAGACCATCCTGGCTAACACAGCAAAACCCCGTCTTTGCTAAAAATACAAAAAATTATTGGGGCGTGGTGGCAGGCGCCTATAGTCCCAGCTACTTGGGAGGCTGAGGCAGGAGAATGGTGAGAAACCGGGAGGTGGAGCTTGCAGTGAGCCGAGATCGTGTCACTGCACTTCAGCCTGGGCGACAGAGCGAGACTCTGTCTCAAAAAAAAAATTATGTTGATAATTACAATGGTTTAAAATCAGAAATCTAACATTATGGAATGACTATCATTAAGGACCAAATTCTTAAGTTAAATAACCTTAGATTATAAATAACCTTAACACAAGAGCAATACTTTCAATGTGACACAAAAGATTAACCATATAAAATACAAAGCATATTTACTATTTCAAGTCAATTTGTTACTTGGTATTTAAATAATTTCTAGAGGTTTCCAGGTTTCTGATTTTTAATAAGATATGAACTCAAACCCAGGTATTTCAACCTGGACAAGAGTTTAAGTGGTAACACTGTTGAAGCCAGCATGGCAGTCAAAGCAAAAACTAGTGATAATCCTTAAGGGTTAATCTTAAGGGGGGACCTATAAGGTCCAGCTGCTTTATCTGTGAAGATTCACTGTGTGTTTCCTTTCTTGATCTGTGTTTGATTTTTTACTAAGAATCTAGCCAGGTTACTTAATCTTTGGTACTTTTTTTAAATTAAGAAATTATACTGGCCAGGCGTGGTGGCTCACGCCTGTAATCCCAGCACTTTGGGAGGCCGAAGTAGGTGGATCACCTGAGGTCGGGAGTTCAAGACCAGCCTGGCCAACATGGTGAAACCTCGTCTCTACTAAAAATACAAAAATCAGATGGGCGTGGTGGTGCACGTCTGTAATCCCAACTACTCGGGAGGCTGAGGCAGGAGAATCACTTGAACCCGGGGAGCGGAAGGTGCAGTGAGCCAAGATCGCGCCATTGCACTCGAGCCTGGGCGACAGAGTGAGACTCTGTCTCAAAAAATAAAATAAAAGAAAATAAACTATATCATAGATTATAGGCCAAGGGGTTGGGTCCTCAAATGGGGCATCTTTTTTGAAGACCTTATTAGAAACCATGCTAGATGCAGGCAGAAATTTTAGTTTATTTAATTCTTACAACTACTCTATGCAGGTATTCCATGTTAGGAATAAGAAAAGAAGCTCATAAACTACATAACTTGCCCAGGGTTATGCAACTAATTGGAAGCAGAGAGAGTATTCAAACCCAGGCCTAAATGAATCCAAAGTCAATGCATTTCACCCCACTTCACCCTATGTCTTGGCTAATTCCCACATACAGGTTTCTCTCAGCTGTGTTTTTATTATTTTTCTCCATCTTCTAACAAAATTATGCTTTCTCTACCTATAAAGCTCTGAAAATAAGATACCTGAAAAATAACAAGAGTAAATCCTCTTGATGCTTTCTTATGGTTCAGGAAGTTTTAACACACATGTAGGTTAACCTTTTGAAGCAGTTCTTTATGTTTAATTTCAACTTTATGAAAGTAGCAATGAGATTTTCAAAGCATCTAGAATTAAAAAGATGTTTATTCTCTACCTTGTCGGGTTTTGTTTCTACATTTTTGGCAGGTCTTCCTTTACTTGGCACCTTTCCTTCTGGTTCGTTTTCTAAAACAACAATAAAATATTTATTTTACTAGATAGAAATGCTACATGAAAATACTAGGTAACTTGGGAAAGGAAAAGAAGCAACAGTAGGAATATATGTCTTGAAGGATTTTTTTATTAAAAGCCATATTATAAAAAGGGTTATGGAATTTCCTGCCAAATACAAACCATCTCTTTTCAAAACCAGAGTGTTTTACCCTTTTCATCTGAATACCAAATACAGATTGAGTATCCCTTATCCAAAATGCTTGGGACCAGAGATATTTTAGATTCCAGATTTTGGAATATTTACATTATACTTACAGGTTCAGCATACTTGATACAAATATCTAAAATCTGAAATGCTCCAAGAGCATTTCCTTTGAGGATGACCTTTGAACTTCATGTCAATGCTCAGAATTTTGGATGTTTTGATTAGGGTTGCTCAGCCTGTACATATTTATTACAGACAATTAGAAAAATAACAGAAAACTACAAAGAACAATAATGACAAATCACCCAGGATTCCATTACTCAGCTGTCACTTCAGGGTATGGTTTTCCAGTCCTATGTCCACATATTCCCATAATGCTTTTTAGAACTGCGATCCTACTGTTCAGAGTTTGACCTGCTTTTCTTTGCCCACTTAATATATCATGAACCATGTCATTAAGTGTTCTTTAATAATATTATTCTTAATGGCTACGTTGTATTGCACCAAATAAATGAACTGTGATTTACTCGGACCATTAATTTTTCACTTTGAAACACTGCTTATACTAATTAAGGTCTTCAATGATTGGGCACCCATTGTGTGCTAACCAGATGTCAGGGCACAGAATCTATTTTCAGGTATTAGAATTTCCTGTTTCCTTCTCTCCTACTCAAAGAAGTACTTGTTGATTTTTGAAACGGAACACAAAAACCTCAAGGACCAAACATTCTAGTTCAGTCACTGATCAAGGAATAGTTCTCACCATTAGCAGCTCTTGTGACTGGCTTTCTTGCTGTGGTAGATGAGACTGTTCTGGGAACCTGCTTTGCTGCTTGAGTAGCTGATCGAGTCATTCTCAACGACGTGGGCATTACAGGCTGCACAACTGTGGGAAAAAAAAATAACTACATCAAATGTCCCTTGTAGTTATGAAATTATTGCTGTGAAGCCAGGCATGGTAGTGCAATGCCTGTAGTCCCAGCTACTTGGGAGGCAGGAGGATTACTTCAGCCCAGGAGTTCGAAACCAGCCTAGGCAACATAGTGAGACCCCGTCTCTACAAAAAATATAAAAATCAGCTGGGCATGGTGGCAAGTCTGTAGTTGCAGCTACTCAGGAGGCTGAGGTGGGAGGATCACTTGAGCCCAGGAGGTGGAGGCTCCAGTGAGCTATGATTGTGCCACTGCACTCCAACCTGGGCAACAGAGCAAGACTCTGTCACAAACAAACGAACAAATTCCAGTTGACCTTCAAGACACTTAAAAAAAATTATGGCTGTGGTAGCCTCAGAGGATTTATAGTAATTGCTAATATTCCTACCTTTTTTCTCTTTGTCTGACACTTTCTTTTCAGAAGTTTGTCTTGGACCAGGTCGGATTGCTCGAACATCACTCTCGTTATCAATCTATTTAAGAGATTAGGTGCTATGTGATTTAATTGCATAATGAATCAGACCATCATATTTTTAATCTGTAAATTGATTCCTCATATGAAATCTGATCATCGTAAATGACCCAACAACAACAACAAAAAACTACCCCAAATAAAATGAGATAAAGAAAAGCTTTCCATTAAGCTTCCAAAAAAGCTTACATCCTTTTTCACAATCACAGAATTTGGAAAATGCTAATAACCCAAGCTATTAAAAACAGCTCACTATAACTTGCCTTCTGAAGGTCCTTAAACACTCCTAGACATACTTTCACTTCAAGACCTTTTAATTTTGCCTAGAAAATACTTCTCCTGGATAAAAAGCGCTTTCCCATGGTTCTCTTCTCCACTTCCATAATGACTTCACTCAAAAGGCTTTCATCTCAGGGAGGCCTTCCTTAACTGCCCAATCAAAATTCTACCCCATACCTATTTCTAGTACACCCCATCTCCCCTTTTTAAAATCTCTTCCATAATACTTATCATCTTCTGGCATATTATGTATTTTTTTAAATGCCTTACATGTAAGTTCCACAAAGAGAATTTAGTTTATTATATCCAAAAGCCTACAACACCAGGAACATCATAGCAATGCAAAATATATATGCATACGTGGAACTTAGCTTCCTCACCTGATAAAGAGGCATATTATTTCCCTTCTTGCCCACTTCACTTTGTTTTAGTAACCCTCCTGATATCTCTATTACAGTATTTTGAAGACCCGTAAGTTTATAACACCTACCCTGTGTGCTTTCCTCCCCATATGCATTTCATGCAGGTAACTTGGAATGCATAATAGGAGCCCACTAAACAAAACAAGAGTGTGACACAAAGACAGTTTGCCATGGATCTCATACGGAATGTTGGAGCAAATATTTTAAGTGAAATTGCTCTACATCACCATACTAAAAACAGTGACTTTGGTACCTGTTAACTCTAGTAAATTAATCATTATGTTTGAATCTGATACTAGATTTAAAATGAATTTACTTACTAAAAAAGTGCAATTTATCATTTTAGTAACAATTATCTACTATCAACTATACCTTAGTCTGCTCCATTTGGTCTTTGGCCTTTGACCTTGTAATCCGTACAGAAGATGGAATAGCCTTAGAACAGTCAAAAGAAGATGAACTTAAAATATGAACTGGTAAAGGTTTACTTCCATATCTTATTACAAAATAAAGTTCCCATTTTAAAGTTAAATTTTATCCTTAATCTCTTATAGCAAAAAGATACTTAAATTCCTTTTTCTGGTTCTAGCTTGATTTAAATTAAGTTAGTAACTTCAAAAATTACTCACATTTCTCAGTGAGAAAGAAATTTCAAACCGTATTTTCCAGGTATTGGAATCATCATTAATATGAGCTTCTATCCTCTCTTAGTTCTCCTGCCTCTCTGACCAGTCCTCAGCCTGGTACCTGGCTTCTGCCTACCTAAAAGTGCTCTCTAGAGCCCACTTTTTCATAATTTTATATATCCTTATTGGAATGGTCTCATTTAGTCCTACAGCTTAAACACTCATCCATATTCCCAATATTATATCCTAAATCGACATCTTAGCACCAATTTCCATCCTTCTTTCCAAATTTTTACTAATATCTAGGTGGCCCACACAAGTTTAAGATTTTTAAAAAGGTTATTAACATGCACCCACTTAAGCTTGTTCCTTATCTTCCTTATCTCTTTTAGCAGCAGAGCTTCTCTCTGCTTTTTCAATTTCCTTTACCCCTCACCATCTACTTGGCCACCAGTCCTGTCAAATGCCTTTATTTAGATGTCTTACACCTATTTTTTCCTTTTAAAACCCACTGCCCCTTTCCATCTATTCTATTACAATAGTCTCACAATTGGTCTCCCTATCTATAAATGCTTCCCTTTCCAGACTAAAATCTTTAGGGCTATGGTATTTTCCTGAATTATTAATTTGACAACGGCACTACCCTTATTTATAAACTTCTCCTGATTCTGCAAAACCTACAGGATAAACACCAAATCCTTTGCATAACATTGTTCAGCCTGATTCTACCAATTTTCCTAGTTTTATCCTATCTCAACTTACCTACAGCTATCTTAAGAGACCTGATTTTCATTCTTCTGAGCTACTATTATGTCATTCCCACCTTCTACCAACCAGTTAATAATGAGACTAAGGGAAAGGGGTTAGTCACTTAATGTCTTGAAGAAAATACCAAATAAAAGAAACTATTCCTTTATATTAAGACACTAAATTTACCTTTTTTGGCTCAGCTTTCACAGCATTCTGGTTTGATAAAAGAAAACAAGGCATATCAGGTCTATAACGACCCACTTTAAATATTCCTCGTTTAGCTTTCTCTCTCTGCTCTTTCAATTTTTGAAGTTGCTTTTCTTCTTTGTATTTTTGGAGCATCTGTTTTCGTTGATCACCTAGAATAGTTTTCATTGCCCCTAGGCAGAAAAAAAACCAAAACCACACAGTATATAAAACATTTCAGATGAAAAGTTATGCAAATGTATAAACAATTATTTTTGTGTCATTTCAACTGCTGCTAAAAAATGCTTTCAGGCCAGGCACGGTGGCTCACGCCTGTAATCCCAGCACTTTGGGAGGCTGAGGAGGGCGGATCATCTGAGGTCAGGAGTTTGAGACCAGCCTGGCCAACGTGGTGAAATCCCATCTCTACTAAAAATTCAAAAATTAGCTGGGTGTGGTGGCGGTCACCTGTAATCCCAGCTATTCGGGAGGTTGAGGTAGGAGAATTGCTTGAACCCAGGAGATGGAGGTTGCAGTGAGCCAAGATTGCGCCCCTGCACTCCAGCCTAAGCAACAGAGCAAGACTCCGTCTCAAGAAAAAAAAAAAGGCTTTCAATAAGCCAGGCACAGTAACACACCTGTAGTCCCATCTACTGGGAAGGCTGAGGTGGAAGGATCATTTGAGCCCAGGAGTTCAAGTTCAGCTTGAGTAACAAAGCAAGACCTCTCCGCACAAAGGGAAATGCTTTTAATATTTCTTGTTAATTCTTTAGCACTCTAACCACAAGTTATTTCAACCCCTAGTCTTTTAAAATTTGTATTCATTTTGCCTTCATGTGTTCAAATATTAACTGCTTGCTATGTAATAGGCATTTATTACTTCACTTTTAAATTAATTAACTTGTATGATAGCCAGCATCCAAGCTGCCCTCTACTGATCCTCACTTCCTGGTAGTCTTGCCCTGTGTCATCCCCTCACACTGAATAGGGCTGACTTGTGTGACCAAGAGAGTATTACAGGAATAATGGAATATGACTTCTAAAACTAGGGTAGTGTTTGCCTTGCTCTCTCTTGAAGCGTCGCTTGCTCTGGGAGAAGCCAGGTGCCATGTGGGGCCTTAAGAAGACTCAAGCAGTCCTATGGAGATGTCCACATGACAAAGAACTACAGCCTCCTTCCAAAAGCCAGCATCAACTTGCTGTTCATGTGAGTCAGTCATCTTGGAGGCAGATCCTCCAGTCTCAGTTAAGGCTTCAGATATATCTCTGGATGACATCTTGGCTGCTATCTTCAGAATCACCCAGCTCAGCCATACCCAAGTTCCTGACCCACAAAAATTGTATGAAATAATCAATATTTATTGTTTTAAGCTGCTAAGTTTTGGGATAACTAATACAATTATAGGTGCTATTTATTATAATAGATGTACTCTATTTCTTCTCACCTACTCAAGGACATTCTTCCAGCAACTTATCCTCTTACTCATCTATTTTTTCCTCTACTGAATTGTTGCCATTATGAAGTTACAAGCATGCGGTAATTTCTCCCAACCTACATCCTCATCTAGCACTTATTTTTCTAGTCCCATTTAAGGCAAAATTCTTCAAGAGAGTTACCTGTATCTCTACTATCAACACTTTTATTTATTTATTTATTTGAGGCAGAGTCTCGCACTGTCGCCTTGGCTGGAATGCAGCGGCGTGATCTCGGCTCAATGCATCCTCGGCCTCCCGGGTTCAAGCGATTCTACTGCCTCAGCCTCCCGAGTAGCTGGGATTACAGGCGCCCACCACCATGCCCAGCTAATTTTTTGCATTTTTAGTAGAGACGGAGTTTCACCATTTTGGCCAGGGTGGTCTCGAACTCCTGACCTCATGATTCACCCACCTCGGCCTCCCAAAGTGCTGGGAGTACAGGTGTGAGCCACCACGCCTGGCCTTTTTTGAGACAGAGTCTCACTCTGTCGCCCAGGTTGGAGTGCAGTGGCGCAATCTTGGCTCACTGCAACCTCCACCTCCTGAGTTCAAGCAATTCTGCCTCAGCCTCCCTAGTAGCTAGGATTACAGGCATGCGCCACTGCGCCTGGCTAATTTTTGTATTTTGAGTAGAGATGGGGTTTCACCATGTTGGACAGGCTGGTCTTGAACTCCTGACCTCAGGTGATCCACCCACCTTGGCATCCCAAAGTGCTGGAATTACAGGTGTGAGCCACCAAGCCCAGCCTATTTCCAACACTCTTTACATTCCCTCTCTTTTCAAAATTATGAAAAACTTCTAATATACACACAATTATAATGAACCCCATATACCTATTACCAAGATTCAATAATTATGAACATTTTGCTGCAGTTGTTTAAAACAAATTATGCTTAGAAGATTTCATCTCTAAATACTTTAGTATATACTTCTAAAAAATAAAGACATTTCTGGAAGGGTGCGATAGCTCACGCCTGTACTCCTAGCACTTTGGGAGACTGAGGTGGGCGGTTCATCTGAGGTTGGGAGTTTGAGACCAGCCTGACCAACATGGAGAAACCCTGTCTCTACTAAAAATACAAAATTAGCCAGGCGTGGTGGTGCATGCCTGTAATCCCAGCTACTCAGGAAGGCTGAGGCAGGAGAATCACTTGAACCCGGGAGGCAGAGGTTGCGGTGAGCCGAGATCGTGCCATTGCACTCCAGCCTGGGCAAGAAGAGCAAAACTCCGTCTCAAAAAATAAAAATAAAATAAAATAAAGACATTTCCTTTCATAGCCACGATATCATCATCACACTTAACAAAATCAGCAGTAATTCCTTGTTATCTATTACAGGGTCCAGATTTAAACGTCTCTATTTGTTTCAAAGAGGTCTTTTAAACCATCTGTTTACTTAAATCAAGAACCAAGTAAGAGCAACACGTTTTATTTGAATGTCTTTTTAAATCTCTTCATCTAAAACAGATCCTCCTCCCCACTCTTCTTTTCATGCCATTGTCTTACTGACAAAAGGTAGTCAGTTTTCCTATTGAATGTCTTTGCAAGCTGTATTTGTTTATTTACTCATTCCTCCAGGCTCCATGTTTTCTACAGACTACAAATTATATCTAAGGGTTTGATTATACTCATCCATTCCAATCTTTCACTCCCTGAACCTCACTCCACCAAAACTATTCAAGATCACCAGTGACCTCCACAGTGGTGAAGTCCAAATTCTCACCTCTATTATACTTGATCTAACAAGCAGTACTGACTAACATAGTTAATCAGTCTCTCCTCGATATGCACTTTTCTACTCGGTTTCTAGGATAGCACGTTCTTCTGGTTATCCTCTTACATTACTTTGCATTGTTCCTTGGTTCTTTACTAGTTTTCCCTTGTCTTTTTTTTGAGACGGAGTCTCACTTTGTTGCCCAGGCTGGAGTGCAGTGGTGTGATTGGCTCACTGCAACCTCCACCTCCTGGGTTCAGGTGATTCTCCTGCCTCAGCCGCCCAAGTAGCTGGGACTACAGGCACGCGCCACACCCAGCTGATTTTTGTATTTTTAGTAGAGATGGGGTTTCACCATGTTGGCCAGAATGGTCTTGATCTCTTGACCTCGTGATCCACTCACCTTAGCCTGGGGTACTGGGATTATAGGTATGAGCCACCGCATCTGGCCCCTTGTCTTTTAATACTTTAGTATCAACTAAGTTATTGCAGTAGTCTACTTACTGCTCTCCCTGATGTCATACATACCACCCTATAATCTATTCTCAACACAGCAGCCAAAGTGATCCTTTTTTTTTTTTTTTTTTGAGATGGAGTCTCGCTCTGTTGCCCAGGCTGGAGTACAATAGCGTGATCTCAGCTAACTGCAACGTCCACCTCCTGGGTTCAAGCGATTCTCCTGCCTCGGCCTCCTGAGTAGGTGGGATTACAGGTGTGTGTCACCACACCCAGCTAATTTTTTTATTTTTAGTAGAGATGGGGTTTCACCATGTTGGTCAGGCTGGTTTCGAACTCTTGACCTCGCCATCCACCCGCCTTGGCCTCCCAAAGTGCTGGGATTACAGGCATGAGCCACTGTGCCCGACCTGATCCTTTTCTTTTTTTTTTTTTTAGGAGACAGGATCTCCATGTGTGGCCGAGGCCAGAGTGCAGTGACTTTTCACAGGCACCATTGTAGCACACTGAAGCTTCAAACTCCTGAGCTCAAGATTTCCTGCCTCAGCCTCTGGAGTAGCTAGGGCTACAGGCCTGACTCCAAAGCGATCCTTTTAAAACATGAATCAGATTACATAAACACCCATTAATGGCCTCTCATTTCAGAGTAAAAGCCAATGTCCTTATAATGATGGTCCTTAGGATTCTATGTAATCTATCTCCCTTGCTCATTCTTTTCTACCCAGTTACCTACTTGCATTCACTAAAACATATCAGGCACACTCCTACCTCTAAGCCTTTGCAAACGGGAAATAAAGGATATTTTAATAGCATACTGAGATAGTTAGACTTTAATTTGAAAGATTTTTGGTTAAGAAATGGAGCATTTGAGAGGACAAGATGAGAAAGGAACCACCCTTTCTCAGATAAAAAATGTTTGGTTCTTTCTGCCATTCCCTATTTATCCTAGCATTATTTCAATGCCATCTAGCTCCTAACGCCTGCTATATGAACACAACAAATAGGAGTAGGGTGACTCCTGACTAAACACAAGTCATTTCTCAGTTTGCTTTCTCTTTTCTGTAGCATCCTTTGCCTTCTAAGATGCTCTATTTTCATCTTTTTCTGAGATTATTCCTTTCTTCTTTAGTTGGTTCTTTCCATCCTAATGGTCCCAATCCTTCTGGGCAAACTGCAAGGATGAATTCTTTGCTCTTTTCTTACTAATGTTTCCATTGACAAAGTACTCTCATTTCATGGATTCTTTAATTATTCTATTTTTACATTTCTTATCAATTTATCTTGTCAACACTTATCCTACCCAAGCTCCGTAAGAACTTTAGGATTTCTATGAAGCAATATAGATAATAAAGTGTTATAATACTCCACAGGTAAAGGCTTTTGCCTTAAAGACAGTAGTTAGTTGTAGATAACAGGTTATTAAGGGGCCAGGCGCGGTGGCTCACACCTGTAATCCCCACACTTTGGGAGGCTGAGGCAAGATAATTCCTTGAGCCCAGGAATTTGAGGTTACAGTGAGCACACCACTGCACTCCCGCCTGGGTGACACAGTGAGACCCTGTCTCTTGTAATTTAAAAAAAAAAAAAAAAAAAAAAGGAAAAAGACCAAAAAGGAAAGTTATTTATAGAATGGTATTTCAAAACTCTTCTGGCCAGAGTTTTTTACTCACACAGGCATTAAACCAACTATTATTCACTCTTCAAAGTACTTAAAATTACAACAGACCTTTACTTACTTGGCTTAACATTGGTCTTTTCTGGAACAAGCCCTTGAGATGTCTCATCTAATTCAACAAGAATTCTACCTTCCAAGGTTGGAATGTTTACATCTTTCAAACCAAAGTGTCTATTTCGTTCGTATTCCTTATGTCTATTTTCTTTCTGAGACAGTGATTTCCTATGAGCAATTTTAGTTCTAATCATTTCAGTACTTATATCCTTCCTGTGTCGACTGGCAAAATGTGATGAAGACATCCTGTCAAGGAAAAGGACAAAACCCAACTTACATGAATTTTCATTATTTAAAAAATTAAGATTACAGTTCATTTCCTGTCCCACTTCAGGGCCTTCTGAAATAAAAATATAAAATGTGCAATGAAATAAATATGTAACACTGAAAAGTGAGAAGAAGATTATCAGAGAATAAGAAGCTACCTATTTGGGGGTTTTAAATAGGAACTTGCTTGACCAGTGAAGAGAAAGCCAGTAAGTGATAGTCCAGAATAAAAGAGGCTCTGGGCTTACCACAGAGAACACTGCAAAAAGAAAAGCGTGAAATAAAGGTGAAAATAGGTTAAGTGAAGGACCATGTACACAAGGGTTTCCTTACCCATGATGAGGAATGCAGGTAGTCTAACATTTCTTCTAAAGCCAAAAGAAAACCAAAAACAAACAAAAACCCCACACCAGGTACCTATTAGTCATATAGGGATAATCAATAGGCAACCGGATACAGATAGAGTTGGATAGAGAGGCACAGGGCAAAGTATGTGGAAAGGAACAAGGAGCTTCCATGCTCTCTCAGGTAGCACCACTGTTTAGGAACCTTCATGTATTCACCTAAGAAGCTCTCCAAACACAGGTGTTTTTTTTTGGTTTTTATGGCAGCTTCATTACATAAGCATGAGTGATTAAATCATTGACCACTGGTGATCAAGTCAACCTTCAGCTCCTCTCCCCTCCCCAGAGGTTGTGAGGTGGGGCTGAAAATGCCAACTCTCGAGAAATCCTGCCTTGGTCTGTCTAGTGACCAGCCCCAATCCTGAAGCTATTTAGAGGCATCCAGCTATCAGTCAATCATTAGCATACAAAAAGGTACCACTTTGAAGACTCCAAGGATTTTAGTAGTTGTTTGCCAGAAAACAGAACAAGACCAAATATATAGTTCACAATAACCCTATCAGTTTGCTCCATTATTTTCATCCATACAAGAAATCATACAGTTTAGGCCGGCACGGTGGCTTAGGCCTGTAATCCTACCACTTTGGGAGGTCGAGGCAGGACTGCTTGAGCCCAGGAGTTTGAGACCAGCCTGGGCAACATAACACGACCCCGTCTCTATAAATTTTAAAAAAGAAAAGCCATACACACACACACACACACACACACACGCACAAAATCATATAGTTTAATTGGCACATGCCTTTTTCTTGGAAAGATCTTTGAGAATGTATTCAAGCAAAACAAAAGAGGACAATAAAGACGACGTCAGTAGATCCAACTAGGGAGAACAAAGAAAATTAGAAAGTTTGAGGGGGTCACCTGTGTAGCTGGTATAGAGAACTACCAAGCCAAACTGGAGAAAGGATACTGATTCTCAGAAGTCTTGGCAGTTAAAAAACAAAAACAAAAAAAGGTAAGGGGGAGGCTCTGTGATAGACACACTATGGTATATTCTTCAACAAGAATTAACTAAATCCACTAGAAAACTCCAGATAATAGAAAAATTGGCACAAGTAATGCAATACATTGTTACATGATTCTAAGCAATCAACAAAATATAAAAAACGAGAATCTGTCTGACCTGCATGCTAATAACATTCTCCTCTAAGACCCAAGGAAAGTGACAATGGACTGTGCTTTTCATAAAGAACTGTCTTCTACTATTTATCTCCTGCAATATTAATTCGCTAAAGATTGAAGAAAAATTAAGACTTATGTATTAAATACAGGATAGCACTATCCACAGCAAGAGAAAGAGCGAGCGAGGACAACATTAAAGGTACAATTATCAGAATAACCCTGAAAGGTAGTTAACTATTATCGCTCTCATACAGATGAGGTCAATTAACTGCTCACATTAGCATATCTAAAAGGTGGTGAAGCTGGGATCCCAAGCAAGGCAGCCCTGGCTCCACACACACCTAAATTTTGTTTGGCTGAGTGGCGTTTCCTCCAGCTTGAAAGTCCAGAATGCGTTAATCTTGCTTGACTAGAGGTTCTCAACCGGGCGTTTTTAGTTGCCATGGGACCTGGGAAGAGCTACGGGAATTTAATGTCGGAGCTAGTGAAGAACAGTTTCACCCCAAAGGTCAATTACGCCCCGGTGGTGAAACGCTGACTATTACAGAGGTCAGGGCAAACATATGGACTCTTCTAAAGGCTCGCATTATCAGCTTCGGGAAGGGCAGGTAACACGGTCCTAAAGGAGCCTGCCTCTGACTTGCTCCCGCTCGCAGCCCCCGGTCCTCAGACCCTTCTAGACCTTCAACGGAAGCGGGCCAGTGTTCTCCGTCCAGCTCTCCAGCACCCACCTACCTGAGCCACCTTCTAGCGTGAAACCTCAACCAAACAAAAAGTAAAGAACACTCGGTCTGGACGACCACCGCCGACTCCGAAGCAGGAACCCTCACAACCCGAGCCTCCACGAAATTCAAACTTGCCGCACCGAGCCGCTGATTGGAGGGGCTTTAACCAACACTTCCGGGGAAGATCCCACCCCTTCCACTCAACGAGGCTTGCGATTGGTTTGCTCCGTGCGATATTTGAATTGATTGAAAGGTGAAGGGCCAGTTCAAAAGATGGGTGAGAGAGGGAAAATAGGCGGGACCGCGACGCGGGATGAGAAGGAGTGGAGCAGTCGGGGCGCTCACGTCAGGTGAAGGGCGGGAGTGGGCG
Source organism: Homo sapiens (assembly GCF_000001405.40). Taxonomy (NCBI): domain Eukaryota; kingdom Metazoa; phylum Chordata; class Mammalia; order Primates; family Hominidae; genus Homo; species Homo sapiens. The sequence continues at coordinate 55,191,823 of NC_000014.9, forward strand.
GTGGAGCCCGAGGGGTGAGGCTGGGTCCCTGGCAAAGCTGGGCTGCGGGAAATCTCCCCCAGAGCTCGCAAGGCTTTTTTTTTTTTTCTTTTTTCTTTTTTTTGAGACAAGGTCTCTGTCCCTTAGGCTGGAGTATAGTGGGCACCGACCACTGCTCACTGCAGCCTTGAGCTGCTGTGTTCAAACCATCCTCCCACCTCAGCCTCCCGAGTAGCTGGGACTATAGGCGCGCACCACTACGCCTGGCTAACTTTAAAAAAATTCCGTAGAGACAGGGCCTCACTACGTTGACCAAGCTGGATTCAGGGCTTTTTAATGTCCTTGTTTAGTCACAGAATCTAGCAGACCTTCTTGGAATGTTTTCTTTACTAGACGTTTTAAAGAAAAGGCTTACCCCAATTATCAAATCCTTACATAGTTTAGCGTTACTTTTCAACGTCGCCAGCCCCCCTCCCCTTTTTTTTCTTTTTTAGTTCATTTTTTGTTGAGGCGAAGTTTTCGTATACAGTGAAAATAATAGTTTTTCCCCCCCAGTGGACAATTTGATGAGTTTGGTAAATGTAAACAGCTGTGTAACTACCACCCAATCAGGACGTAGAGCATTTCCATCACTCAGAAGAGTGGCCTGTTTCTTTCCTGTCCATCTCCCACCACATCAGCAACCACTCCTCTTATTTCTAGCACTATAAAAATGAAGGTGATAGGTACTCTTTTGGGTCTGCGTGAACCAGAAGTTAGTAGTGTTTGTTATTGAGAGGCATTCCATTGAATACTTTATGCATTCACCAGTTGATGGATTTGTATTGCTTTCAATTTTTGGTGATGATGAGCAAAGTTGCTATAACCATTCTCGTACAAGTCCTTGTGGGCATATTTTATTTATCTTGAGGAAATACAGGAGTGGAATTTCTGGGTCATTCTGGGTATGTTTAACTTAAAATTTTTTTTTTTTTTTAGAAGCAGGGTCTCTCCGTCCCCCAGGCTAGAGAGCAGTGGCACAATCATAGCTCATTGCAGCCTTGGCCTCTTGAATAGCTGGGACTATAGGCGGGTGCCGTCACCCATGTCTAACTTTGTAAGGAATTGCCAAGCAGTTTTCCAAAGTGGTTGTACCATTTTACAATTCCCACCAGCCACATATAAGAGTTCCACTTGTTTCACATGCTTTCCAGCACGTGGGGTTGTCAGTCTCTAATGTTCACCCTTCTGGCCAGGCACTGTGGCTTGCGCTTGTAATCCCAGCACTTTGGGAGGTCAAGGCGGGGGGATCACGAGGTCAAGAGATCAAGATCACCCTGGCCAATATGGTGAAATGCCGTCTCTGCTAAAAATACAAAAATTAGCCGGGTGTGGTGGTGCGCGCCTGTAGTCCCAGCTACTCAGGAGGCTGAGGCAGGAGAATCGCTTGAATCCAGGAGGTGGAGGTTGCAGTGAGCTGAGATCGCACCACTCCACTCTGGCCTGGGTGACAGAGTGAGACTCCATCTCAAAAAAAAAAAAAAAAAAAAAGAGACTGAGAATGGTGGCTCATACCTGTAATTTCAGCACTTTGGGAGGCCAAGATGGGAGAATCAGTTGAGGCCAGGAGTTCAAGTCCAGCACTGGCAACATAGCAAGACCCCATCTCTACCAAATAATAATAATAATAATAATACAATATTAGCTGGGCATGGTGGCGCACATCTCTAGTCCCACTACTTGGGAGGCTGAAGTGGGAACATCACTGGAGCCCAGGAGTTTGAGGTTACAGTGAGCTATGATCGCACCACTGTACCCTAGCCTGGACAAAAAAGTAGGAACCTGTCTCAAAAAAAAAAAAAGAAAAGAAAACTATTCTGCTATTAAGAAACTCTGATGCATTCTTCAGCATGTCAATTATATTTTTTGACCCTAGAATTTCTGCTTCTTTTAAATTATTTCAGCTTCTTTGTTAAATTTATCTGATAGAATTCTGAATTCCTTCTCTGTGTTATGTTGATTTTCTTTGAGATTCCTCAAAACAGCTGCTTTGAATTCTCTGCCTGAAAGTTCCTATATCTATGTTTCTCCAGGATTGGTCCCTGGTTCCTTATTTAGTTCATTTCATGAGATCATGTTTCCTGGATGGTGTTAATGCTTGTAGATGTTCATTGGTGTGTGGGCATTGAAAAATTAAGTATTTATTGTAGTCTTCACAATCTGGGCTTGTTTTTGGCTGTCCTTCTTGGGAAGGCTTTCAGGGTGTTTGAAGGGACTTGTGCCCCAAGCCTAATAATGCTGTGGTTTTTTCAGACTTGTAGAGGTACCACCTTGATAGTCTTGGCAAAGATCTGGAAGAATTCTCTGAATTACAGGCAGAGACTCTTGTTCTTTTCACTCACTTGCTCCGAAATAAATGGAATGTCTCTCTCTGCTGAGCCAGCTGGAACTGAGGGTGGTGGCTCACTGTGGCCACCACCACTGGGACTGTGCTGGATCAGACCTTAAGCCAGCACCTATCATGGCAGTGAGTTCCCCTAGGCCCCGGCTGTTCCCAGAGCTGGGCTGTCTGGGAGCCAGGGATTGGAGTCAGAAATCTTAGCAATTTACCTGAAGTTCTTTTTATTATTATTATTATTATTTTTTTAAGGTGGAGTCTCTGCCGCCCAGGCTGGAGTACAATGGCGCAATCTCAGCTCACTACAACCTCTGCCTCCCAGATTCAAGTGATTCTCCAGCCTCAGTCTCCTGAGTAGCTGGGATTACAGGCGTCCGCCACCACACCCGGCTAATTTTTGTATTTTTATTAGAGACAGGGTTTCACTATGTTGGCCAGGCTGGTCTTGAACTCCTGACCTGGTGATCCACCCACCTCGGCCTCCCATAGTGCTGGGATTACAGGTGTGAGCCACTGCGCCTGGCCTACCTGATGTTCTATTCTACTGTAGCTAACCTGGCATTCAAACCATAATACAAGCCCTTTCAACTCTTCCCTTCCCTTTCCACAGGCAGAGGAGCCTCTCCTATAGCCACCACCACCACCTGTTCATGGGGGTTTCTGCCAGGCCACGGCTGATGATCACATAAAGCTCAAGCATTCTTCTGTCAGCTTGCGGTGAATGCTGCCAGGCCTAGAACTCACCCTTCAGGGCAGTGGGCTCCCCTCTGGCCCAGGGCAGATCCAGAAATGCTGTCAAGAGCCTAAGCCTGGACTCGAGGACTCCCCCAAGAACCCTCTTGGTGCTCTACCCCTCTGTGGCTGAACTGGTACCTAAGGTGCAAGACAAAGCCTCCTTTATGTTTCCCTCTGCTTTTCTCAAATAGAAGGAGTCTTCCATTGTAGCCACCACAGCTGGGAATGTGCTGGGTCACCCCTGAAGCCAGCATATCTCAGAGCCCAAGGCCCACAGCATACTCGCTGGTATTGCTGCTATTCAGGGCCCAAGGACTGATGAATCCTGCCAGGACTGAGTCCTTCCTTTCAAGGCAGTAGGTTCCCTTTTGGCCCAAGGTGTGTCTAGAAATGTTGTCTAGGAGCTAGGGCCTGGGATGGGAGCCTCATCACCCTGCTCAATGTCCTATCGTACTGTGGCTGAGCTGGTATCCCAGATACAAGACAAAGTCCTCTTTACTCTTTGCTCTCCTCTACTTAAGCAGAAGGAAAGAGTCACTTTGTTGCAGAGAGCTGCACTGCCTGGGGTTTGGGGAGGTATGGCACAAGGTGTGCCAGCTGGTGTCACTCTAGGTCACTTACCATGCTAGTTCACTGGCTGTAAGGCAAGCCTAGCATTAGGAATTGCCTAGGACTTGCAGTCCTTGTGTTCAGACTGCCTTTCAGGTTTACCTAGGACCCCAGAGCACTTCAGCCTGCTGTGGTGTGCCTTGCTGAGAAGCTCAAGTTCCAATTGCTAGGCTATTGCCCTCTGGCTAGGGATGGTCCAAATCCTCCCTCCATGCGTGGGTGCTGGCTGAACCCAGCACAGCTTTAACTCTGCTGTGACAAGGCAGCACTGAATATAATGTGAAGTCCATCAGTCACTGCGCTCTCCCTCCCCAAAGTGCACAGATTCTCTCTCCATACCACATGGCCACTGGTGGAGGATGCGGGAGGGGTGGTGTCAGCAATTCAAGACTATTTCTCTTGCCTTCCTCAATGCCTCTTTTGGAAATTTGAAGTCAAAACCAGGTACCATGATTGTTCACCTGATTTTTGGTTCTGTGTGCAGATAGTCATTAAAATTTGATGTTCCAGTAAGAGATGAATGGTGTGGGCTTCTATTTCGCCATCTTGCTTCCTTTCCCCTCATTACTTATTTATTTAATCATTTGCCTATATCAGGATGGATTCTTAGAATATTTATTTTATACTTTGGGTTATACTCCCATACTACTTTATTTTATTGCTCAAATTGTTCCAGCTATAGCCATTGGCAGCTCTTTCAGTTTGTTCCTCTATCACTTTGACATATTCCCATCATTGTATAGTTTTTTTTTGTTTCTGTTTATTTGTTTTAGCACTTCCTTACTCTTTGATACCACAAGATGCTCATAACTCATCTTATATGTTTTCCTGCCACAGTACTAAAATCAGCATTTTTCCAAGTAGCATTAATTTGTATTTATTTACTTACTTGTGTTTTTTAAATCAGAGAACCTGTGAAACTTAGATAAGTGGTTAAATCATTTAAATCATTCTGTGGAGCTTAATTCAACATGGCATTGAGCCCTACTACGTACCAAGTGCTGTATTTAAGCACAATTGAAGAAGATACAGTTCCTGCCCTCAAATAGTTCTAATGGTGAAGTTGAAAGCAATTTTTTTGTTTCAAGTCCAGAGGAGCCATGATAACCCCATTCACTGTTAATCAACTCTGTTACCTGAGCAGTCGCTTGATCAGCCAACTAGCAACTGCTTATTGAATGCCTAATATTAATGACAAACATAAAATTAGTGACATTTTAATGAACACTGATAACCTCTGAACGATGTACAATTTTCAGTCTTTCAAATCTTAGTCTTTTATATTGTATACTAAACATTTTAAAAATGAGTACAGTTTCACTAGGATGCCAGCAAATTGTATCCTCCATAAAAATCACCAAATAATTATTCCCAGAAAAGGATTCTGCTGCTATCTGGAACAATGGCAGTATTCATGAGTCATTTATTTATTTATTTATTGTTTGAGTCTTGCTCTGCTGCCCAGGCTGGAGTGTAGTGGCGTGATCTCGGCTCACTGCAACCTCTGCCTCCTGGGTTCAAGTGATTCTCCTGCCTCAGCCTCCAGAGTAGCTGGGACTACAGGTGCACACCACCAAGCCTGGCAAGTAACTTGCCTTAAAGCAACCTACTCAAGATCACACAAGGAAAGTGGACAAATAAAAAATATTTAATTAATTATTTGATCCAGAGAGTATAATTTTGTCATTTATATTTTCTTCTTATGGTTACGTGTTTTCCTAGTTTTTCCATATGCACCTAATATGTTTTGCAATTATAAAATTGTTTAACAATAAAACATCCAAGTTTTATGATCAGTAATATTGCTCAATAAAATAGGAGTAAATGGAGTGCTGTATGCCAGCGTATTTTGTTTCTTTTGTTTTGTTTTGTTTTGTTTTGTTTTGTTTGAGACGGAATCTTGCTGTGTCGCCCAGGCTGGAGTGCAGTGGCGCGATCTTGGCTCACTGCAAGCTCCGCCTCCTGGGTTCACGCCATTCTCCTGCCTCAGCCTCCAGAGTAGCTGGGACTGCAGGTGCCTGCCACCACACCTGGCTAATTTTTTGTATTTTTAGTAGAGACGGGGTTTCACCATGTTAGCCAGGATGGTCTTGATCTCCTGACCTCGTAATCCACCCGCCTCAGCCTCCCAAAGTGCCGGGATTACAGGTGTGAGCCACCATGCACATGCCAGCATATTTCAATATGAGCCTACGGTTCTTTACTGTTGAACATGCAAAGAGCCTTTGTATTGACTATTTGATGACATTTTCTTGCAGCTTTGAATAGGGAAATGAACTGACTTAGGAGGCACATTGATAAAGTTAGAATGTTCCTTTTTGAGTGTGAAAATCCTTGGGCTTGCATTTTTTTTCTCTTCATGGGAATACATGCTATATAAAAAAAGTAACTTTACACAAAAGTTCTACAGAATGAATCTAATATACACATATTAATCCAATCATAATCTAACAAAACAGTGCATTGCAGAGTCAGCAGTCCTGCTATAGTAGCTGGTTTTAAACTCCAACTCTCACTTTAAACAGTGGCCCTAGCTACATCTTGGTGTCTTGACTACTTGGCTCCTAATTTGAATCCACATCTCTCTGAGGAGAGATAACTCTTCATTGTTTATTTATGCTCTTTCTAGAACAACAAGCTCCCTTTTAAAATGATTATATCACTTTGCTTCTCTTTGATTTTTTTATTCTTAAAAAAAATTTTTTTTTGAGTCAGAGTCTTGCTCTGTTGCCCATGTTGGGAGTGCAGTGGTGCAATCCTGGCTCACTGAAACTTCTGTCTCCTAGGCTCAAGCAATCCTCCCACCTCAGCCTCCCAAGTAGCTGGGACTATAGGCATGCGCTACCATGCTCGGCTGATTTTTTTAAAACTTTTTTGTAGAGATGAGGTCCCACTACATTGCCTAGGCTGGTCTCAAACTCTTGGGCTCAAGAAATCCTCCTGCCTTGGCCTCCCAAAGTGCTGGGATTACAGGTGTGAGCCACTGTGCCTGGCCAGATTTCTTTTATTCTATAGATTAAAAATTCTCTCACAATACTGAAGCAAGTATCAGTGTATACCTTGGAAAACATACTGATTTAAATTATTTACCCATTGATTCATAATTAGTTAATGGCAGAACTGAATCATGAATATGGGTACACTTTTCCCTTTGTTAGATCATCATTGGGCACAAGCATGTTTTGTCTCTGGAACTGGGCACACGGAACCCTATTTTAAAGTATCGATGCAGGCAGGAGCATTGTCTGTAGTCTGCCAAAGTTCTTTACTGTTAACTTGAGGAACCTTGTAATTTTTGTATCAGGAAACTTGTAATGTATCTTACTTGTCATGGCATCTGGTTTCAGGGAAGAGCTCTGAAAAACTATAATTCCTTTGTGCCATTATGTATGTACTTGGAAGTCGTAGAAGATTATATGCTTGTTTCGCAATGATGATACAATCCCTTGACAGGGGAGTGGACAGGGCTGGACAGCAGCCCTGAGCTTCAAGCTGAAAAGAAAAAATGAAATATAATAAAATTGAGAGTTCATGTAATGTGGCAGAGAATTTATGGCTACAAAAAAGGTAAGGTAGGAGAAAGAGAACTAAAGATAGTATGGACCTGCAAAGTCTGGTTTTTAGACATCAAGGGCAGTTGATGAGAAAACTTGTTCTCTCAAATCACAGACCTGAGCCATCCAACATGGTTGCCACCAGCCACATAGCTATTGAGCACCTGAATTGTGCCTAGAGTGACTGAGGAACTGAATTTTACATTTTACTTTCAGTACAGTTGACCTTGAACCACACGAAGATGAGGTGTGTTTCAGGCAGTAGAAAATTCGAGTATAACTAGTGACTTCCCTAAAACTTAACTACTAATAGCCTACTGTTGACCAGAAGCCTTACTGATAAACAGTGAATTGACACATATTTCCTATGTTTTATTTGTTTACTTATTTATTTATTTTAAAGACAGAGTCTCGCTCCATAGCCCAGGCTGCAATGCAGTGATGTGATCATAGCTTGCTGCAGCCTTAATCTCCTGGGCTCAACCGATCATGCTGCCTTAGCCTCCCCTGTTACAGGTATTATTTGCTATATTCTTGCAGTTAAGTAAGCTAGAGAAAGAAAATGTTATTAAGAAAATATGTTTACTATTCATTAAGTGAAAGTGGGTCATCGTAAAGATCTTCATCCTTTTCATCTTCACATTGAGTAGGCTGAAGAGGAGGGATTGGTCTTGCTGTCCAGAGGTGCCAAAGCAGAAGACAATCCATGTATAAGGGGATGGGGCAGTTCAAACCCATGTTATTTGAGGGTCAGCTGTCATTTAAATTTAAATATAAAACTGGTATGTGTTTTAAATTCAGTTATTGGAAAACTCTTGAATATGTTGGAACAACTGGAGTATGTAAATCTACCTTTCCAACTGTAAATTCACTTTTTCAACTGCAAATTTTCTAAATACAAAGCAAGTATTTCCAATGAAAATCTAAAGCCCAAATTGATATCTGCTATACTGGATTTATTTTTTTTTTCTTTTTCTTTTTTTCTTTTTTTAGAGACAAGGTCATACTATGTTGCGCAGGCTGGTCTCGAACTCCTAGCCTTGATCCTCCTGCTTCAGCTTCCCAAAGTGCTGGGATTACAAGCATGAGCCACTGTGCCCAGCTGTATACTGGATATCTGAGACTTGGTACCAAAAAAAAAAATAATTAAGAAAGTAAGTTAATATTTTCATATTGATTTCATGTTGAATATTGGGAATATATTGAGTTAAAATGTATTACTAAAATTAATTTCACCTGTTTCTATTTACTTTTTAATGTGTCTATTAGAAACATTTAAATTACGTGGATGGTTCACATTACATTTCCATTGGAAAACATCATAATTTATGAGAAACTTTGCTGTTTGAAATTTTATCAATGAGAATGAAATATCTCACTCCTACTTGAAAGATCTGAGCCATATGGGTCACTTTGACATAGGAGAGTTGCCTCAATTTCCAACCCAGAGCTTCAGATAAAAGGTTTTTAAACTGTAATTTCCAAGGAAACAGGCAATCAGGCTAGCATGTTCCTAACAGAACCTAAAAAAAAAAATGTTTCTAATGAGAGGAGGCCAAGGCCATGTAAAGAATGTTTCTTCTTGGGCTATACAGCCCCTCTCCTTTTGAGTGATTACTGCTCTTTTACCAGTGACATCCCCAGTTCTGCTTTGTTCCTGTCAGCTCCAGAACAAAGATTATTGAGAACTCTCAATTGCTAAACTGCCCCTGCTTCATGACAGCACCATTCCAGAGCTGACCCCTACTTCTCCCCGTCCCTCGTCAGAATCATTCGGCACAAGCCCAAACCCCATGATAAGCCTCTCCCAAGTCTCTCTTGCCCAGAAACCCCAGGACAGCAAATAAACAAACCAAACATTAACTACAAGTGTGTTCCTGGTGGTCTTCATCTGATGGGTTCTATCTGTAAACATACTGAAATGGAGTAAAATTGGTACTTGTCTTAAAATCTTGAAGTTGGAGCCAAAAGTATAACTGAGTACCCCCATTTGCTAAGAGATACAAAATGAGTTATTTTTTAATTATTTTTTTCTGTTTCCTTCTTTTCCCCTGTGCTCCACTTCCTACATAGCTCTTTATACATGTAATTATAATTTTTTACCTCCCCTGCACCAGATGCTCCCTACAGGGCAAGGTCATCTAACTACGTCCTTAGAAGCTTCAGAGCAGAACTCCCACCAGGAGATTCCCTCAAGAGACAACAGTCAATCTACAATCCAAAGTATGCCTACTATGAAACTCTCTCCCACCTGGAGAGTTTCAGCCATTTTACAACCTAGTTCTGCCCACAAAAGGCACCAGCTCCACTGCCCACAGCAGTGGAGGCACCAAATCAAGCTATGCAGATTCCCATCTGCATTTTCCTCTCTGCATGCCATTCATGCCAAGTCCCCCTTTAAAAGTGCCTGCTTCCGGCCGGGGGCAGTGGCTCACGCCTGTAATCACAGCACTTTGGGAGGCCAAAGCAGGCAGATCACCTGACGTCAGGAGTTTGAGACCAGCCTGACTAATATGGTGAAACCCCATCTCTACTAAAAATACAATAATTAGCTGGGCGTGGTAGTGGGCACCTATAGTCCCAGCTACTCGGGAGGCGGAGACAGGAGAACTGCTTGAACCCGGGCAGCGGAGGGTGCCGTGAGCCGAGATCGTGCCATTGCACTCCAGCCTGGGTGACAAAAGCGAGACTCCATCTCAAAAAAAAAAAAAAAAGTGCGGCTTTCTGCTCCAAAAGCAAAGCGGTACCCTTAAAAGCAAGAGCCTGTACTTCTTCCACTAAGCTAGCTTTGGAACAAAGGTCACTTTCTTTATAACAGGCCTCACTCTTAATTGGACTCAGCAAGTGGTGAGTGACTGAGTCTGTCTTTTGGTTACAAAAGGAGCAAAAGGAATCATTCATTCATTCATTCAAGAAATACTGATAACATAAAGGTTGAGAGTGGAGTTTTAGTTTGTCCACCCTGAGCTATAGTCGTGGAGCTGCTCAAATCTTGTTCTCAAACTTCATCTGTAAGGTGGAGATCATATCAACATCTACTTTATCAGATTGTTGTGAAAATTAGTGTGGAGAGGGTGTGGGCTTGGGCCCCACAGACTGGTTCAAATACCAATCTTGCCACGTTTTAATCTATGTGGCCTTGGGCAGGTGACTTAATCTTTCCTGAGCTTTGGTTTCCTCATCTGGAAAATAAAGATTTTCAACAACAACAATAACAACAATGTCCTTGAATTATTACCAGTAGAAACTCTACGTTGTTTTGTGAGTTAACAGGAGAGTAGAAAGAGAAAAAAAAAGAAGAAAGAAAGAAAGAAAAAGAAAAGAAACTATATGCATTTTAATTAAAATGTTGAAAAATAAAGAGCAAGAAGTTTTGCTGTCAACAATTAGTAAGAATGGCCGGGCACAGTGGTGCATCCCTGTAATCCTAGCACTTTGGGAGGCCAAGGCAGGAGGATCACTTGAGCTCAGGGGTTCAAGACCAGCCCAGGCAACATGGCAAAATGCCATCTCTCTACACACACACACACACACACACACACACACAAACAAACACACACACACAATTAGTATGAATGAAAAATTTTAATGTAATTGATCACAACTATAAACTGGTGGAGTCTATGAAGAAAACAAAACATGTTTCCCATCAGGTGTGGTGGCTCATGCCTATAATCCCGGCACTTTGGGAGCTCAAGGCAGCAGACTGCTTGAGTCAGGAGTTCAAGACCAGTCTGGGCAACATGGCAAAACCTCGTCTCTACCAAAAAAAGTGCAAAAAACTTAGTCAGGCATGTCGGTGTGCATCTATAGTCCCAGCCACTCAGGAGGCTGAAGTGGGAGGATGGCTTGAGCCCAGGAGGTTGAGGGTGGAGAGAGCCATGATTGCACCACTGCACTCCAGCCTGGGTGATAAAGCGAGATCCTGTCTCAAAAAAAAAAAAAAAAAAAGATGTTTCCTAATCAGTACCACTTGCTTAAAACATGGATAAGATTTCACTTAATTCACAACATTGTGAGCCATTGCTTTGAATCAGCCTTTTTCCCCACTACATGTTCCTTTTGAGATTTTAACAAAGTAGAACTCATCCAAAGTTTTCTTTATTCATCCATTTATTGCTGCTTTCTTCCACCAATCATCAAAGGCTGTTAATAATTCTTCCCTTAGGAACCATCTGAGAAAGCATAGCAGAAATGCAATAAATATGCTGATTGATATTTTTATTATGTAGATGTTTTACATAGTGACAAATATTTTTATGATGCTGTAAACTCACATAATATGATTAAAAACACTTCTTAATTGAAAATCTCTAAAATTTAAGCTCACACCTCCTAAAACACCTCTGAAAATATGTAAGCACAAAGTTGTTAAATGACAATTATTTAAAAGTTATGTGCACGTGCTGACAAAGCCTGGAACTTACCGTGTGATGTGACACAACTGTATGAACCTTTCTTGTATTTTAATTTCTACTTTGTGTTCTAATAATGGTTTTTGTACAATAAATAATAGCTTAAAAATGACTGCAAATAGCTGAATCTAATTATAAGTCCTCAATGAACGAATTAAATGTTACATTTTCCAGTTATTAAAAAAATATTTTGTTAACATCATTTTCTTTAACATCTGTCCAATTTGTTGTTTTAAACATATTATATATTACAAATCAATCTCTTTTTGTTAGCTATTTTACATTTTCCTATTATAAATAATCCTCTAATTAACATACTTTAAAATGTTGATTTTTGTTGAGGCTGCTTTTTTATATCACTAAAGTATTTCCTCATTTTTAAAGTCTTTATAATGAGGGAGGGGAGTACTGTAATTTTTTAAAAAACTATTTTTAGGCTGGGCATGGTGGGTTACACCTATAATCCCGCAGTTTGGGAGGCCAAGGCGGGAGGATTGCTTGAGCCTCGGAGTTCGAGGCCAGCCTGGCAACATGGCAAAATCCTCTCTCTACAAAAAATACAAAACTTAGCCAGACATGGTGGCATGCACCTGTAGTCCCAGCTACTCAGGAGGCTGAGGTGGGAGGATCACTTGAGTCAGAAAGTTGAGGCTGCAGTGAGCTGTGATCAAGCCACTGCATTCCAGCCTAGGTGATGGGAGTGAGACCCTGTCTCAAAAAACAAACAAACAAAAAATAACAACAAAAAACCAAACAATTTTTAAAAACGGAAAGAAGTAAAAACACCTGGCAAACAATGCAAAATGTATACGTTAGAAAGTGAATCCCCACTTCCCTCCTCACCACTACCATCTCCACCTAACTGTGATCCCTTTCAGGGTGTCCAAGTTTCTGATCATTTTTCAAGAGAGAACCCCAGATGGGGAATTACTGAGTAATAAGGAATCAGATAATTTAGAAATTATAAAAACATTAAAGAAAATCATTGACAACAAAATAGAAAAATTCAAGCTATATATAAATTTATATAAAATAAGAAAAATGGCCAGACGTGGTGGCTCATGCCTGTAATCCCAGCATTTGAGAGGCTGAGGTGGGAGGATCACTTGAGGTCAGGAGTTTGAGACCATCCTGGCCAACATGGTGAAAACCCGTCTCTACAAAAAACACAAAAATTAGGTGTGTTGGCACACGCCTGTAATCTCAGCTACTCCAGAGGCTGAGGCAGGAGAATCACTTGAACCCAGGAGGCAGAGATTGCAGTGAGCTGAGATCATGCCACTGCACTCCAGCCTGGGCAACAGAGTGAGACTCTCTGTCTCAAAAAAAAAAAAAGAGGGAAACATTTGCACAAAAGAAAGATAAAAAAGAACACCAACGGAGTGGGGAAATGAGAGAGCACAGTTAATATTACAGATGGAAGTTTGGTATCTAATATAGATAACTGAAGATACATTTCTCTGGAACATAACTAGTATTCAATGGATAAGTAAATATTTTACAAGGGAGAAGAATGAGAGCTAGGGATGAAATTTATCCTGCCATAAGTCTGCTAGGCCTATGTGATTAATGATTATAGTATCTTATACATTCTTTTATTCAAGATTTATGATTTACGCAAATTTGCTACATAAAGTTTAGATTACATGTAATATACATTAATAGAGATTACATATAGGAACTGTGATTTATTTTAGCAAAATGTTGGAATATATTATTGTTATTATTTTCAAGACAGGGTCTCACTCTCTTATCTGGGCTGAGTGCAGTGGTGCAATCATAGCTCACTGCAGCCTCAAACCTCTGGGCTCAAGTGATCCTCCCACCTCAGCCCTCCTGAGTAGCGGAGACCATGGGCAAGTGCCACCACTCCTGGCTAATTAAAAAAAAAAATTCTATAGAGATGGGGTCTCACTATGTTGCCCAGACTGGTCTCAAACTCCTGGGCTCAAGTGATCTTCCCACCTTGACATCCAAAAATGCTGGGATTATAGGTATGAACCACTGTGCCCAGCCTGGAATATATTCCTAAAAATAGTTTTACTAGATCAAATGACATGATTATTTTTGTGATTCTGATAATGAAAGGTTTGAATAATTTCATTTTCTGAAAAAAATCGTGCTCGTTACTATTGCTTCATCAGGCCAGGTACAGTGGCTCATACTTGTAATCACAGAACCTTGGGAGGCTGAGGCAGGAGGATCACTTGAGCCCAGGAGTTCAAGACCAGTCTGGGCAATGTAGTGAGACCCCATCTCTATGAAAATTAAAATTTAGCCAGTTTTGCTGGAGGGAGAATCACTTGAGCCCAGGAGATTGAGGCTGCAGTGATCCAGCATGAATGACAGAGTGAGGCCCTGTCTCAAAAAAAAAAAAAAAAAAAAGAGTGACAAAATAATATATATGTTGCTTTGTCACTAGTTATTTTTTGTTACTGTTTCCTTCTAGTTATTTTCCAAGTGTTTCTTCTTGGGTAAATTACTTGTTCATCTGTATAAAGTTAAGGATTTATTTAAAATGTGAACATTTTAGCAGATGCTTACATTATGGAAAGGAATTTAATAGTAAATTTTAAAATTGTAAAATTAAGACAAATCAGACCTTTAAAGAGTTACAGTCAGTTTTATTCAGAAGTCTCACTGAGGATTATAACCCGGGAGAGTTTCCTAGAGAATGTCTGTCATACTACTCCAATGCAGCACTTCAGTTCAGTTTTTATACAAGCAGTAAAAATACAGTGTAAAAAAAATTGCAGTAAAGCTTGAATGCAAGAGTACCTTTGGTTCCAGTTTGCAGGGGCATAATCTTGCAACACCTTGGCAGGCTTTGTCTTATGTGTCAGAAAAGGCAAGGACCAAGGTCATTTATCTTTTAAGGAGTGTAGTATCTCAGGCAAGAGACTGGGGAGCTATGTGCTGTATCCCATTTATCATCTTTAAGGCATTCTTTGGAGAGCTGCATTTTTAACAGAGTCAGGGTGACTGCAAAATTATGCTGGCAAGCAAACATGGCTTCTTATGTTTGCTACTCTGTTTCACGAAAGCCAAGATCTACTGCCCGTGGGCATATTTTAACATGAAATGTTTATTAACTATATCTTATAAATATTTATGAGGTAGTGTGTTGAAAAGGAGGTAGTGTTATTTATTTTTAATTAAACTAACTGTTGTTAGAAAAGTATTACATTTGCATAATATCAAGATAAGGATAAAAAACTTGAAGTGAAAAATAAAATCTCCCTCCTCTGCTCAACTATCTCCTCCCCAATCCTTAATTCACTTCCCAGAAATCACCCCTGCTAAGTTTCTGCTTTTAGTTTAACCATACTTACCTACTTCAAGATTTATCAAGTTTACGCAAAATCTATTGATTTTCTACTATGAAAGATTAAGAATTTATCATGACCTACCTACCCCTCCACCTCTGGGCTTATTTGTAGTTTATATTTTTCTTCTTCTTCTTCTTCTTTTTTTTTTTCAGAGACAGGGTCTTGCTTCGTCACCCAGGCTGAAGTGCAGTGGCACAACCATGGCTCACTGCAGCTTCAAACTCCTGGGCTCAAGTGATCCTTCCAACTCAACCTCCTAAGTAGCTGGGACTACAGGTGCGTACCACCACACCCAGCTAATTTTTAATTTTTTCGTAGAGACAGAGTCTTACTATGTTGCCTGGGCTGGTCTCAAACTCCTGGCCCCAGCAATCCTGCCTCAGCCTCCCAAAGTGCTGGGATTACAGATGTGAGCCATTGTATGTGGCTTTATTCACTTTAAACAATGTATTTAAATGTTTAAATGTTGCTTTATTCACTTTAAACAATGTATTTAAATGTTTAAATGTTGCTTTATTCACTTTAAACAATGTGTTAAAATGTTTAATTCTTTATTTATCAAATTTAATATGGATTGAATAACCACAATGAAAGATAAAAATACTTTCTTTCTACTTCTCTTCCATCTGCTTCTCAATTTTTTTAGTTATATTAATATGTGTCTGAATAATATTTATGATATTTGTATTTCTCCCTTTCCACTTCTCCATTCAAGCAAGTAACAGCCTCTGAATTTTATCATATCAGGTAGGTATGGGACAGGGAGGAAAGTGGAATTAGTCTGTGCAATTTTTCCTGGATTTTGTTTTCTGTAAAACTAAATTCACTGAGAAGTGCAGGATTGAAGGGAAGCAGCGTGGTGACTGGGAGATACAGGAGGTGGGGAGAGGCTTCTCCCCTAGAGATTCCATGAGGGTGGGTGGTGGTGAAAAGGTATACAGGATTCAAACATTGCTCCATGGTGGAGCTCCAAGGAGGAGGCTCAGAAGGGTTAGATGTGTTAGATATCTGGGGAAGGAAGGACCCTAGTACAGGGTTCCCAAGCTTAGCTAAGACTCTCATGCCTCACATAGGGCCACAAAAGTCCCAAAAGAGCAAAGATTTGCAGCATGGGAAACAATCATTCGTTGAGGCTCTGTTACCTGGGTACAGAGATCACTCATGATGGGAGGGTCTCCCTTTTCTCTGATGCTTTTGTAACTGTGTGCCATTGACCAGACCAAGGGAGGGCAGAGTAACCCCAGGAATGTCTGTGATTACATTTCCCATCAAGCAGGACCTATGAGGGAGGTATGGGGAGAAAGAGGACATTTCCTAGATGCAGAAATTAAGTTGAAGTATAAAAAATAAGGTGGTATTTCTTGCACACTTGAATTTGTTGAGATTTTACATGCGATTCTTTAATATAATTATTAAATATCCTGAGCTTTGGGTATTGTTATACCTGAAATTGAAAATCAGTAGATAGCACTTATGATAATATGATTGCATAAGTATTATTCACTATAAACAAATATCGTGATTGGACTAAGCTAGAAGGAAACTTAATCTTATGACATTAAAACTTTGCTGCTGAAATCTTTCCTTCGTTTCTGGTTCTACTTAGCTGCCAGCATAATCGCATAACCTGATACCTTAGATTCCTTCTTTTGCACTGAAGAACTTCCTCAAGTCATGCTTTTTCATATCGGGAGCTTAAATGGTATCTTTTTTTACTTCCGAAATGTCTTTGTCTTGTCCTCATGCTTAGTTAATAATAATGCTGAGTTCCAAAAATTTTTTCCTTAGACCTTTGAAGATATTACTCTTTTTTTTCCTATATTCTCACCTACTTTTTGTCCACTGCTGTAACATTGATTAAGGGGGGTTAATTGAAGTCTACCTCTAGGGTATTTCTAGTTCTCCTTGTAACTCCTACAGTTTTTGCTCTGAGTGTTGATGCTGTTATTTGGTGTATAGATTTTTTTTTTTTTTTTGAGACGGAGTCTTGCTCTGTCGCTCAGGCTAGAGTGCAGTGGCGCGATCTCAGCTCACTGCAAGCTCCGCCTCCCGGGTTGACGCCATTCTCCTGCCTCAGCCTCCCGAGTAGCTGGGACTACAGGCACCCACCACCACGCCCGCCTAATTTTTTGTATTTTTAGTAGAGAAGGAGTTTCACCGTGTTAGCCAGGATGGTCTCGATCTCCTGACGTTGTGATCCGCCCGCCTCAGCCTCCCAAAGTGTTGGGATTACAGGCGTGAGCCACCGCGCCTGGCCGGTGTATAGATGTTATAACTTCATTGTGACTATCTAGTTTAATGCTTTTTTCTTTTTTCCTTTCTTTTTTTTTTTTTTTTTTTTTTTTTTTTTTTTTTTTTTTGAGATGGAGTCTCCCTCTGTTGCCCAGGCTGGAGTGCAGTGGCGCAATCTCAGCTCACTGCAACCTCTGCCTCCGGATTCAAACGATTCTTGCGCCTCAGCCTCCTGAGTAGCTGGGACTACAGGCCCGCACCACCATGCCTGGCTAATTTCTTGTATTTTTAGTAGAGACAGGGTTTCACCATGTTGGCCAGGCTGGTCTTGAATTCCTGACCTCAAGTGATCCGCCTGCCTTGGCCTCCCAAAGTGCTGGGATTACGGATGTGAGCCACTGTGCCTGGCCTCTAGTTTAATTCTTTCTTTCTTTTTTTTTTTGGCCCAGATTCTGCAATTATTCTAAGTCTGGCTTTCATTTTTCTCTCAGGCCCCAATTCTCTTATAGCCCACTTCTCCCTTTGAATTTGCTGATGCTGAACCTGGAGCTTATCTGAGGCTTTCTTGGAAAGAACCTGGCTTGTCTTTGGTGTTCTGAGATGCAATTTTTTCTCTTTTGATTTTTCTGGAAATTCAAACCTATCTGTGTTTTTCTTTCCACATAGTTATCAACATTTCTGATATATTGATGATACTCTAATTGTTTTCCACTGTTATGTGTCTGTGCTTTTAAAAAAAATTGTCTTGGTTATTTAATGTGACTTTTAACGCTTAAAAAAGTGGAGATGTATACATTTGTTAACAATGCCATGAAAGCATTTTCTTTCTCCTGAGGAAAAGTGAATTTCTTACCAGAATATCTGGCTGATCCTGTAATTTAAATTAAAATAAAATTTTGGAGAAACAGCAAAACAAATCAACAAACAAAAAACTGTCTTGACGTTTCCGTGGGAGGTATAGAATTAATCATGTGTGTACAGTCTACTGCAGCTTGACCTAGAACCTTTCCTATGAGAGATTCTTAATAATAAGCTCTGCATCTATAGGAATAAAACTTAATTTAGTGGCCCATCCATTTATTTCTTCCCTCTCTGGGTCTTCAACATGCATTATATGTGCACACTAAATCATTTATTCCTTTTTATAATTTTCCTTAGTATTCATTAAGCTGGCGGGGCACGGTGGCGCACATCTGTAATCTCAGCACTTTGGGAGGCCAAAGAGGGTGGATCATGAGGTCAGGAGATTGAGACCATCCTGGCTAACACGGTGAAACACTGTCTCTACTAAAAAAAAAAAAATACAAAAAATTGGCCAGGAGTGGTGGCATGCACCTGTAGTCCCAGCTACTTGGGAGGCTGAGGCAGAAGAATCGCTTAAACTGGGGAGGTGGACATTGCAGTGAGCTGACATCGCACCATTGTACTCCAGCCTGGGCAAAAGAGCGAAACTCCATCTCAAAGAAAAAAAAATTTATTTATATGTATATATATATATAATGAATATATATATATATATAATGAATATATATATATAATGAATATATATATAATGAATATATATAATGAATATATATATAATGAATATATATAATGAATATATATATAATGAATATATATAATGAATATATATATAATGAATATATATAATGAATATATATATAATGAATATATATATAATGAATATATATATAATGAATATATATAATGAATATATATAATATATATATAGTGAATATATATATAATGAATATATATATAATGAATATATATATATATAATGAATATATATATATATATATATATATATATATATTCATTAAGCTATCAATGCTTGGGTTCTCTTTTTTCCCTATCCTGAAAATGTAAAATACTGGAAAGACGTATTTGAATAATGTATCCCCAATGAGCATTAAAAAATTTCAGCATACAGCCAGGCGCGGTGGCTCATGCCTGTAATCCCAGCACTTTGGGAGGCCGAGGTGGGTGGATCACGAGATCAGGAGATCGAGACCATCCTGACTAACATGGTGAAACCACATCTGTACTAAAAATACAAAAAATTAGGTGGGCGTGGTGGCGGGCGCCTGTAGTCCCAGCTACTCGGGAGGCTGAGGCAGGAGAATGGTGTGAACCCAGGAGGCAGAGCTTGCAGTGAGCTGAGATCGCGCCACTGTACTCCAGCCTGGGCTACACAGCAAGACTCCGTCTCAAAAAAAAAAAAAAAAAAATCCAGTGTACAATTTAAGATATATTGTTATTGTTATGTAGCTGTTATAGATTGCCATAATTCTAAAGGGAATTACAGTAATTTATAGTCAGAATACAGTTTATAATGAAAATATACCAGTAAGTTCAAAGATTTGAATAAACTAGTTGCATGTAATTTTATTCTTTCTTTCTTTCTTTCTTTCTTTCTTTCTTTCTTTCTTTCTTTCTTTCTTTCTTTCTTTCTCTTTCCTCCTTTCTTCCTTTCTTTCTCCCTTTTATTTTTTTCGGGGTTTTGCCATGTTGCCCAGGCTGATCTTGAACTCCTGAGCTCGGGCAATCCACCTACCTTGGCCTCCCAGAGTGATGGGGCTACAGGCATGAGCGAGCCCATCAGGCCTATTCTCATGCTTTCTATACATTACCAGCCTCAAGACATTTTACAGCTAGTGGCTAATAATACTTGAAATATCTGCCAACCTAAAATGCAAGGAAAATTAACATAGGCTGTTGTATAGTAGACCATGACATATAAATGGAGATGCAAACCCAGTGCTGAAGCTGTGTCTAAAACAGAATAATAAGATACTCCTGGATTTCTGAAGCTATTTAACTACCCCATTCTCTTCACAAAGCAGAAAGGAAAATAACACTGACAGATGGTACCCAGTGCTACAAAAGACAACAATACTGTCTATTCTAAACAGATACAAAGTAGTGATTTCACGTTTTAAAAAAGACACCAAGAACAGTTTTCACCATTGCTTTTGACCAACTCCTTCTTATCTGCCCTTCAGATAAGGACCCCTTTTATCTGCCCTTCAGAGTGATACCCAAATTCCAGCTCATGGAAAGCCGGTAGTAATCTGGACTCCATCTTCCTCTGAAGCTTTATTTCCTAGTAGTTACTCTCCTGTTGGCCATGTTCTAACCACATTGAGCTTCTTTCTGTCTGCTTATGGACAAGTCAAGTTTCCATTCCCCATACCTTTCTCATGATGTTCATTCTACTTGAAGAGTCATTCCTCCCTCTTGTTGCCTTACACACACTTACTCTTTTTCAAGACTGAATCCGAATAATATCTTTTTGGGGAAAGTCTTACACAAAGAATCAACATTGACCTTTCCAATGTTTAAGAAATATGTTGTGCCTTTATTACCATTGGATTGTGCCATATTTCAGAGATTAAAGTTGGCCTGCTGGGCTTGAACACCATGACTTTTACAAAAATCCTGTGTTTAAATAAAATTCATATTGATGTAGGATTTTTTACTCCTTAGCTCAGCTAGATCCGAGTTATTGTCTCATGACCAGGAAAAATTAGGCACGGGAACATCAAAGAGTGAGTGGAATAGAATTTATTAAGCGAAAAGGAATGATCTCAGCAAAAAGAGCGGTCCTGAAAGCAGGTTGCTGGTTGTCTTCCTTCATAGTTGAACACAAGGGCTTCTATATCCGCTGATGGGGCTGGGTTCCCTATTTGCATAGGGCATCAATTCTTGGTTGGCTCCACCCCATCTTTCCAGTGCGCGTGCGGGTCCTTAGTCTGAGCCACTCCACATTGATTTATTTCCTTACTGCGCATGTGTTAAGGGACGGAATTTTTCATTGCGGGCATGTTTGGGCAAGCCTTCTGTGCACAATGAGCTTGGCGGGTCGGGGGTTCTCCAGGGACCCTCCCCTATCTGCCTAGGAGAGTTCTCTGCCTCCTGCCTCTATCAGTATTCTCATGTCAATGCCAGGCTGCAATCATTTTTTTCTTTATATGCTAAATATACAAGTAGAAAATTATAGAATCAATTTAACTGTAAACATGTAATGTCATTATGTACATGATCTTAAATTATCCTTTTGGAAGATAAGTCTTTTTCTTTTTTAGTAGAAATATTAGGTCCTCTGTTTTCATTGTTAACCACATCAGAATCTGTATTATTACTTTTTATTTTGGAAATCAATTGCAGTACAGCAGGCTTACCATATGGTGGCACCCAAAAGCCCAGAAACCAACATCATGCGGCCCAGTATTAGACATGTGTTCAAAAATGTAGGCAGTCAGCTTTCTAGTAGGTAGCAACAGGAAATAAAGCGTCGTAAGACAGTCATCTTAAGAGGGTGCTGGAAATGTTCTACATTTTTATCTGGGTGGTGATTACATAGGTGTATATGTAAAAATTCATAAAGCTGTATTTTTATTTGTTCATTTTATTATTTGTATGTTGCACAACAATAAAAAAATTTAGGCTGGGCACAGTGGTTCACTCCTGCAATCCCAGCACTTTGGGAGGCCGAAGCGGGCGGATCACTTGAGTCAGGAGTTTGAGACCAGCCTGGCCAACATGGTGAAACCCCGTCTCCACTAAAAATACAAAAATTAGCCGGACGTGGTGGCGCGTGCCTGTAATCCCAGCTAGTCAGTAGGCTGAGGCACTAGGATCGCTTGAACCCGGGAGGCAGAGGTTGCAGTGAGCCGAGATCATGCCATTGCAGTCCAGCCTGGGCGACAGAGCAAGACTCTGTCTCAAAAAAAAAAAAAAAAAAAAAAAAAAAAATTAAATGACTATAAATGAGAACCATTTTATATAAGCCATCTTAAATTTTTCCCTATTAATGAAAACAATAACAACAGATTTTAGAGAGTACTAAATATTAGCAATTTTCCTGCATAGTATGAAACTATTTTATGATAGTTATTTTATTATTTTATTTTTTCTTTTATTATTCCCATTTTACACATGATATAGTTATTTGGGCTCATTTCTATACATTTAAAACATTAAAAAATTGTCAGTTTAAGTTAAAACTGTACCATCAGCGCATAACAGTACAATGGATGAATAAATTATGGGCACAATCACATATTGGAACATTTTTATACAAAAGAAGAATTAAAGAACCACAGCTGCATGCATTGACATGGATAAACTGCCAGGCACGGTAGCCCATGCATGTAATCCCAACACTTTGGGTGGCTGAGGTGGGAGGATTGCTTGAGCCCAGGAGTTTAAGACCACCCTGGGCAACCTAGTGAGACCCTGTCTCTAAAAAAAAAAAAAAAAATTAGCCAGGTGTGGTGGCATGTGCCTGTGGTTCCAGCTACTCTGCAGGTTGAGATAGTAGGATCACTTGAGCCTGGGAGGTTGAGGCTGCAGTAAGCGGTAATCATACTGCAGTACTCCAGCCTGCGCAACAGAGTGAAACCACGTCTCAAAAAAAAAGGACACGTTTTATAAACACAGTGTTGGGTGAAAGAAACAAGTCACAAAGATCACTTACATAGAAACTTTTGTATAAAGTTCAAAAATAGTCAAAATGAACTATATTGTTTATGGATGCATATATAGGTGGCAAGCCTAAAGAAACACCAGACAGAATGATTATCATAAAAGTCAGGATAGTGGTTACCCCTTAAGGGGAAGGAGAATGATGCCATCCGAGGAGAGGAACACAGATGGCTTCTAAGGTACTCGCATAGTCCTTCTATTGCTATATTTCTGGCCTGGCGCGGTGGCTCATGCCTGTAATCCCAGTACTTTGGGAGGCCAAGGCAGGTGGATCACAAGGTCAGGAGTTCGAGAACAGCCTGGCCAATATGGTGAAACCCCGTCTCTACTAAATATACAAAAATTAGCTGGGCATGGTAGTACATGCCTGTAGTCCCAGCTACTTGGGAGGCTGAGGCAGAAGAATCGCTTGAACTGAGGAGGCGGAGGTTGCAGTGAGCCGAGATCATGCCACTGCACTCCAGCCTGGGTGACAGAGTGAGACTCTGTCTCAAAAAAAAAAAAATAAAAATAAAATAAAATAAAAATATACATATTTCTTAACTTGAGTGGTGGTTACACGGGGTCTTACTTTATAATTGCTCTTTAAGTATAAAAGAGGCAGATCTAAAAGTAAAATTCCAACAGTCAGGTATTTTGTAGTCTGGAAAGTCCGTGGTATTACCCTTTAGCCAACTAAAAATTGTCATAGGCCCTTAGAATTATGTGTAAGGTTGCCAGATTTAGCAAATAAAAATACAGAACTACAGTTAATAAATATTCAGGGTTGTGAGTTGAATGTTAACTTCAGATAAAGAACAAGTTTCTAGTATAAGCATATCCTCATGCAATATCTGAGACATACTTATAATAAAAAACAAATCATTGTTTACCTGAAATTCACATGTTACTGGGCATCCTGTATTTTATCTGGTGACCCTAGTTATATGGCAAGTTGCACAAGCAGAAGCAGTTCATGGTGGCCCAGTGTAAGGAGTACCCAGAGGAGGCTCAGGGAAAGGGAAGAGAAGGAAGAAAAATCTTTAAGTAAATTAGCCTGACCCTAAGTTCCTATCTGAATAATTGTGTAAATGAATTTGCTGGCCAGGTGTGGTGGCTCATGCCTGTAATCCCAGCACTTTGAGAGGCCGAGGCAGGCAGATCACCTGAGGTCAGGAGTTCGAGACCAGCCTGACCAACATGGAGAAACCCTGTCTCTACTAAAATACAAAATTAGCAGGGTGTGGTGGCGCATGGCTGTAATCCCAGCTACTTGGGAGGCTGAGGTAGAAGAATCGCTTGAACTCGGGGGGCGGAGGTTGCGGTGAGCTGAGATTGTGCCATTGCGCTCCAGCCTGGGCAACAACAGCGAAACTTCATCTCAAAAAAAAAAAAAAAAAAGAATTTGCTGAGTTCAACCATTATTGCAGTAGTTCATAGTAATGAATCTCCATGATGCATTGAATAATTTATATCAACAAAAAGCAAATGTTTGAAAGAGCCATCAGTGTTTCTCCTTAAAAAAAAACTCTCTCACTGCATCAGCCTCTCTTCTATTTACTTTGGATGAAGATATTGTAGATGATAGTCTTGATGATACTTTTCTATAACTAATTTTTTTTGTAATTTGTAGCCAATGCTTAGAAGTGAAGTTGCAAGGTAGGTTGTTTTGTTTTTCTTCTGCTAATACATGTATTCTCCTGATCATGTACCAGGAACTGACTTAGGCCCAAAGGACAGGATAATGTATGATACCGACACAGTCCCTTCCTATGGAGCTCAGAATCTAGGCCCTAGAAGACTGTAACGTGTGTGTGTGTGTGTGTGTGTGTGTGTGTGTGTGTGTGTGATGCACTTGGTAAAGCATTATCTAGCAACAGTGAATATCTGTTGTTTGTTGCATAGCATCCCACCTTCTTTTGGGAAACCATCCAGACTCCATTCTGTTATTTGGTTTAGGTGAAATTGACCACAAATCAATCACTACCATTGATGAAGATTGATTCAAGAATGGTCGTATAATCCAGTAAGAACTGATGAATGCCTGAGAGCCAATAAATAAAGACTTCTGGAAAAGAGAGGCATTCATTCTTGCCTTTGAGCTTTGCAAGGTGGTAAAGCTTGGTAATAGTCGCCATATAGCTAACTTGAGTGGAGCCATCAAGGTAACCAAGGCTGTCAGACACCCCCAGAGAGAATCATTCACATGTGCAAAGGATGAACTCAACACCCAGAAGAAGCATCCTAGTGACATTGGGCAGCTCTGATTCAAGAGGAACCTGAAACTACTCACAGAATTCATTGAAATTGAGCCAATAAATTCATTCATTTCTTAGGGCGGCTTCAGTTTTCTGTCATTTGCAGCATAAAGATCTGGTGTAATAAAAGTCTAGGAGGAAATAAAAGATTTCTTTCCTATTCTCAACCTCCGGTTTCATCTCCTAGAGATAATCACTGTTTCTTACAGACATATGTTTGCAAACATGTATCTAATGTATGCCTTTTAATGCAAATAGGATTGTATTAAATATATAGTTCCACCACTTGCTCTTTTAAACTTATGTTGTATTATGGGCATCTTCCTTTGTCAACATATAGATCTACCACTTTTTCTTTATAGTTGCATACAATTCTATAAATTAGATGTATCATCAATTTAATCTCTTCCTTTGATAGAAATTTAGTTTTTCCTCAATTTTTTACTTTGACAAACATTACCTTTATACGTATATCTTTGTGCACTTGTGCAGCTATAAAAGGAAAAAAAAATCCTAAAAGTGAAAGTGCTCAAAGAGAATGTGCACTTAAAATTTTTGGCCTCCAGAATTATTACAGCAATTTATACTCTTTTCAGAAACATGAGGCTACGTTTCCTAGTGCTGGTAAAACTGTGTTTGATAAACTTCAGAAAAGTTTGCCAGTACGATAATGAAAAGCAGTATTGTTTTCTTGATTTGCATTTGTTTAGTGAGTGCATATATATATATACACGTGGAGACATACATGGAGCGACACATACATATTTAGGCTATTTTATAACTTCATTAACTATTTTAATGTAAATTTTTTATTCATATCCTTAGTTGATTTTTCTGTTGGGTCATTTATCTTTTCCTCATTTATTTGTCTTTATATATTAAGAAAATAGATTCTTTTCTCATACGTATTTTGAATATTCTTTTCAGTTTTGTTGTTTGTCTTTTTGGTAATTTATTTCTGAATTTCTTTTTCTATTAAATGTTCTAAGTAGAGAAAAAACAGGAGAGGATTATATAATGAGCACTCATACAGCCACTACCTAGTTTTAACATGTTGTCATTTTGTAATATTTGCTTCAGCGTTTTTTTTAAAAGAAAAAATGTTGCAGATACAACTGAAGTTCTTTCATACCCTCTCCAATTCCATTCCTTTCCACCCCTCCCCAGAATAACTAGCATCCTGAAGGAAATGTGCCTGTGTTTTTGGAAACCCTTTATACCCCTCAAATACCCCTCACATGAACTATTTAAATATTTTCCTTTGTCTTTCAGGAAAAAAAAAAAGAAAATGTTAAAAAGACAGAAATAACAAATGGGGCCAGGTGCAGTGGCTTATGCCTGTAATCCCAGCACTTTGGGAGGCTGAGGTGGGAGGATCATCTAAGGTCAGGAGTTCAAGACCAGCCTGGCCAACATGGTGAAACCCCATCTTTACTAAAAAATACAAAAATTAGCCAGGTGTGAGAAGCTATTCTCAAACTGTGCGAGCCTCTTGACAGATGTTGCTAATAAAGAACAGAGAAGAATCTGCCCATCAAACTTTCCTCAAATGAGGTCACTGAGTTATGATCAGATGGCATCATTATAATTTATTTCAACCTCAGAAGAGGTTATTTTTTTAAGGTCATAGTATCTCTTTCTGTCCACTTTGAAGCATATATTAGTTGGCATCAAAGCCCTCCATGTCTGCTTCTGTAAAAGGTCATGGTTGAGGGAGTTGGGGGTGTTCAGGCCTGCTTGGACACATGAAAAATGAAGAAACTTCATAAGCACTGTGATGAAACCAACGTGGTCATGTCTGAACATTTTTGAAGAATGAATTTTAAAACAGTTTTTAAAAAACCCACAAGCCTTTTGAATGGTCTCCAGTTATTTGGTATGCTGAAACTTCTACCTCATTGCTTTTTCTTTTCTATTAAAGTTTTGTTTGTTTGTTTGTTTAGAGCTAGTGTCTCACCCTGATGCCCAGGCTGATCTCAAAACCTTTTGAATGGTCTCCAGTTATTTGGTATGCTGAAACTTCTACCTCATTGCTTTTTTTTTCTGTTAAAGTTTTGTTTGTTTGTTTGTTTGTTTAGAGCTAGGGTCTCACCCTGATGCCCAGGCTGATCTCAAACTCCTGGGCTCAAGCAGTTCTCCTCCCGAAGTGCTTGGATTATAGGCATGAGCCACCATGTCCAGCAACTTTTTTTTTTAAAGGACCCAAAATAGGCCTAGTGTAAACAAGTGAGTCACCTCCAGTTTTGACAAGTACCTTAAGCATTATAGGAAGGGTCTTCAAAAAGTTTTTGGAAAGTGCCTTTTATGAAAAAAAATAAGAATGGATTTCAAAATTTTTTGGCACCAAAGGAAACTCACACTATCTTGTCATAACATGTCTGAACAGAATCTAGTTTAAGACACTAAGAAGAATAAGACATCAGTTTGAAAAGAGCCCCTCTTGGAGCAACATAAATTCTGCTAAAATTGAAGCAAAAACAAACATCATATTTATGGTGAAGTGAAGCTTGAGTGGAAGAATGGTTAAATCACTGATGCTTTATGAAAAGACTATGGGGACAATGTCCCAAAGAAATCAGCAGTTTACAACTGGATAGATCATTTTAAGAAAGGACGAGACAGTGTTGAATATGAAGCTTGCAGTGGCAGACCATCCACATCAATTTGCAAGGAAAAAATTATACTTTAAGAGCACCAGTGATGAACAACAGAAACAAAAACCAACACCACAGACATCTCAATTGGTTCAGTATACACAATGCTGACTGAAAAATTAAAGTTGAGCAGTCTTTCCACTTGATGGGTGCCAATACCATTGCTCCCAGATCAGCTGCAGACAAGAGCAGAGCTTTCAGTGGAGATTTTAAGTAAATGGGATCAAGATCCTCATGCCTTTCTTTGAAGAATTGTAACAGGAGATGAAACATGGCTTTAGCAGTATGATCCTGAAGACAAAGCACAATCAAAACAATGGATACCAAGAGGTGGAAGTGGCCAGACAAAGCAAAAGTGAACTGGTCAAGAGCAAAGGTCATGGTAACAGTTTGCGGGGATACTCAAGGCATTTTGCTGGTTGACTTTCTGCTTATCGTGAGAGTATTTTCAGAAAGTTAGGAAAGCTTTGGCAGAAAAATGGCTGGGAAAGCTTCACCAGAGAGTCTTTCTCCACCAAAACAATGCTCCTGCTCATTCCTCGTTCAAACAATGCAATCTTGTCATTGTTTCCATGGGAAACCATTAGACATCCACCTCACAGTCCTCACTTGGCTCTTTCTGACTTTTTTTGTTTCCTAATCTTAAAAAAAATCTTTAATGGGCACCCGTTTTTCTTCAGTTAATAATGTAAAAAAGACTGCATAAATTTCCAGAACCCTCAGTTCTTTAGGGATGGACTAAATGGCTAGTATTATCTCTTACAAAAGTGTTTTGAACTTAACGGAACTTATGTTGAGAAATAAAGTTTATATTTTTTATTTTATATTTTAATTCCATTGTTTTCATGAACTATTTGAAGTCCTCCAATACTTCTATGGTTTTATGCTTCTTCCACAGATCCATGTTTTTTAAATTTTGAATTATTTATTACTTGAGACAAGGTCTTGCTCTGTCATCCAAGCTGGAGTGCAGTGGCATCATCATGACTCACTGCAGCCTTGACTCCCAGGCTCAAGGGATCCTCCCACCTCAGCCTCCAAAGTAGCTGGGACTACAGATGCACACCATCACACCCAGCTAATTATTTTTATTTTTGTAGATATGGAGTCTCACCATGTTGCCCAGGCTGGTCTCAAACATCTAGGCTCGAGTGATCCTCCTGCTTCAACTTCCCAAAGTGCTGGGGTTCCAGGTGTGAGTCACGATGGCTGACCCTAACATTTTTAAATAATATATTTTTGTAAAATGTTAACATTTATATAAATTGCATCTACTTTGCCTGTCATTCTGGACTTCACCGTTGTTATTCAACGTGACCTCAAAACTTATCTTTGGTGATACATGTAGATGGAGTTTATTTATTTTAACTAATGAATATTATTACATTTTATGAATTTATTTTTCTATTCTAAAATTAATAAACATTTAGATTATTTCTCCTTTTTTATTAGTAAAAACAATGCTGCTTTGAACGTACCTCCTTATGCAAATGTCTGATTTCTCTAGGTTATCTATTTACAAATGAAACCGATGGGTTATAAGGTTTGCACACCTCTTTACTGGATATTGCCAAATTGCTCTTCAAAACAGTTACATCAGGCCTGGTGCGGTGGCTCATGCCTGTAATCCCAGGACTTTGAAAGGTCAAGGTGGGCGGATCACTTGAGGTCAGGAGTTCGAGACCAGCCTGGCTAACGTGGTGAAAAACTGTCTCTACTAAAAATAAAAAAATTAGCCAGGCATGGTGGTGCCCGCCTGTAATCCCAGCTACTCGGGAGGCTGAGACACAAGAGTTGCTTGAACCCGGGAGGCAGAGGTTGCAGTGAGCTGAGATCACAACAGCCTGGCTGACAGAAGGAAACTCCGTCTCCAAAAAAAAAAAAAAAAAAAAAAGGCTACATCATATAATTCCTACTCAGTCAGCAGTGAAGATTACTCACATCCTTTCTGCCTCTGGTATTTTTGTTTTGAGGTTGTGTGTTTTTGATAGTAGTGTAATTTATCAAACTTTGCTTTATGACTCCTAGTCTGTGTGTGTTGTGGGGTGTGTGTGTGTGTGTGTGTGGTCATGTTTAGAGATTATTTTTGTCTTGTTTAGTTTTGGTAGTATATTTACTACTGGCATTTGGTAGCCATTTACTAATGGCTATTCTAGTTTAAGTTGCAAGTACTGTTTGTTTCACAATGATGAAAAGAAAAGAGAATAGTGCTAATAGCCCACAAATCTGGTAATCCTACAACAGGATTTTATTTTTATTGTACAATGCTTTGCCTGCCAAGTATTAAGAGGGGACAAAAGTTAAATCAAATTAAATTCAGAAAACCATGTTTGGGAAACTGCACTAAATACTGTATGTAATAGCCAGACATTTTTCATTGACAGTTTTTGCTCATTGCACAGAACTGGGTTATCTAATGGAGCATTAATTATCGTATCAGGTCCAGGGTACACAGTTAATCTGGTAGGTCCCAAACTATTGTTTCTTTCCTCCATCTTCCTCCTCCTCCTTTTGAAATAGTGTTGACTTTTTCTTCCTTATCAGGTCAGTCTCAAAGTCTCAGGAAAATCTTAGATGTAGCATAGTTCAAGATAAAAATGTTTGCAGCATAAGCTTATCCAAGGCATTAAACTCTGTCATGCCATCCAGCTAAAAACAAACTAAAACTCCAACCTGTAGGATACCTAGATGTGACATCTGCTGAGCTGTCCTGTATTTAAAAAAACAATAAATTACAGAGTAAGGCAGGAATGTAGCAGGTGTGGTAAATCAGGAATGGCTTCTTGACATAAACTGATGATGTGCTTACTTCTGAAACAAAGAGGTGTTTTATCTTACACATTCAACCCTTTTTGTAAAAGATATTTCATAACACTATAAGATCTAACAACAGTTTTCTATACTATTCCTGACTGTGAGGGTAATGATTACTTTACTTCATCATGTATATGTGCCTAAATGAAGAATTTTTGCCTTGAGATGAGTATTCCCCCAATTTATGTGTGAATTTTCTTCTTTTTTTAAAAGAAGAATAAAGAAGGAAAAAAGTTTTCTTTAGAAAACTTTTAGAAAAAGTTTGTCCTGCATAGGGATAGTGATTTTGTTTTTCAGTTTTCACAATTTTTAGAAGATAGGAAAATCTTTAAACCCTTTTGGCCAGACCTTGGTTTTTAAATAAAAAGCATTTAAAGAAAACACATAAGTCTTCACTCAAGACACATGGAGAGACATCCCTAGTTGATGAAGCCTTCTCAGACCCTTATGATAAAGTATTTATATCCTGTTCTTTCCAAGGAAACTCCAAGGCACTCTTGGTTACAACTTGTGCTGCAACATCTCTCATTTGTGTTTTGTTCTTTAATTATTGGCACTCGCTGTTCCAGAAATCGGTGTGTGCCATTTAGCCTCTACCTGACTCGCTGATCCCTGATTCCTGCCTTCCTCCGACTTCAGCTCTCAGGTGAAATGGGTAAACTCATGTCTGAAGCAGGAAATGGCCGCTGATTTTGATGATGGAGATGTTGGATTTAAAGCAGCTGCTTGGGAAGCAGGCATTTGTGCTAGATAAGAAGGCTAAGGTTCTTCAAGGCCATTACTGTCTCGGCCTAGAAATAACATTCTACAGGACACTTGGTTTGTTTCAGGATTGACTTCACAAGCTTTCTTTCTTACTATTTAAGTCTCATCATTAATGGTCCATTGTTTTTTGTCTCTTTTATTATATTCTGACACAGAACTAGTCAAAGCTTTGCAAATCTTTTCAGAGGATATGAAGGTACATGTAATTTTTCATTCAATTGCTGAGTTTGACTATTATAATAGGATATCACCTATAAGTAGTGAGGCCTAAGACCAAAGATCTAGATACAAAGAATAATAATTAGTATATTAATATACCTTGTTTGTATTTCCTACAAGATATTAAGTGGTAAATTTATTAGCTTAAGAAAAACACTTCATTGTATTATAATTGTCAAGGAGTGAAAATCTTTGCTAAAAGCATTGGCAAAGTTATGCTTTGTAAAATCATTTATGTATGAAATGTAAACATACATCATATCCCAATAGGCATAGGCCTTTTAGGAAATCCTAAGTGATCAAGGACAAAAAATATTTATTTATTTATTTATTTATTTATTTATTTATTTACTTTCTTAGAGATGGGGTCTTGCTTTGTTGCCCAGGCTGGAGTGTAGTGGTACAATCACAGCTCACTGCAGCCTTGACCTCCCAGGTTCAAGCAATCCTCCCACCTCAGTATCCTAAGTAGCTGGGACTACAGGCAAGCACAAGCATACCTGGCTAATTAAAAAAAAAAAAAAAGAATTGTAGATATTAGGTCTCACTATGTTGGCTAGGCTGGTCTCAAATTCCTGGGTTTAAGTAATTCTCCTGACTTGGCCTTTTAAAGTGCTGGGATTCCAGGTGTGAGCCACTGCATCTGGCCAAAAGTCATTTAATTTTACAATAGATGTATTAACAAGATTCAAGTATGAGTTAATTATTCATCCCAGTTTCAGATGTTATCCTCGTAAACAAAAATTTTCTCAGCACTTATTGACTATATTTTGAAGGAAAAGGAAGATAATGAAAGCTTTTAGTCCTGCAAAGAGCAATTTCAGTCAATGAATTTAATAGCGTAAATTATTTTTACTATCGTCTTTGATGGTATACGGAAAAAAGTTAATAGATCCTCTCTTTTCACATCTGGAACTTATAAATCAATCCTCGTTAGTAGCGTGCTTTCTCCATGCTTGATGATAACTCATAGCAGCTGGGGGTTGGTATTAATCTCTTCCTAATTAGAGAAGCAGATGCCACAAATTCATCATTCTACATGAGAGCAAAGGTGTTAAATCCATTCCTCTGATTCTTCTCATCTTATTCTCCATAAAGCAATCCATAATAACTTTACTGTTCATCATACGAAGTGAGGGCTGATAGAAGATTGAGATTTTGAGGTGGAGAGCTGGATTTGAATCCAGCCTCTAACTGGCTGTGTGATCCTAGTCATGCAACTTAATCTCTCTGAGCCTTAGATTATTAGTCTGCACACAGTCATTCTAGTTACCTCACAAGACAGTAGTTATGATTAAATGATGTAATTCATGGGAAAAGCATCACGCAAATACCTTTTGAAAAAAACTTTTAATTATTGAAAATTTCAATTCTTAGGTCAAGAGAAAATTATGTTGTACCGTCATGTGCCCATCACCCAGCCTCAACAATCATCCATTCATGGCCAATCCTGTTAGATCTATACTCCACCCAGTTTCCCTTCCTTTCTCAAAAGGAATATAAAACAAATTCCAGACATCATGTCATTTCCCTGCTTAAATATTTTAGTATGTGTTTCTAAAAGGTAAAGTTTTTTTTAGGCATAACTATAAAACCATTATCACACTTTAAAAATTCAACAAATATCCAGTAAGTGTCTATTTCCCTAATTGTCTCACAAAATTTTTTAAATAATTATTTACTTCCAGCCTGGAAACATGTGAGACCCAGTCGCTACAGTTTTTTTTTTGTTTTTTTTTTTTTTCCAATTCACCACAGTTGAGGCACTCTGGCTCATGCCTATAATCCAAGCACCTTGGGAGGCCAAGGCAGGAAGATCGCTTGAGCTCAGGAGTTTGAAACCAGCCTGGGCAATACAGTGAGACCTCATCTCTACTAAAACAATTTAAAAAAAAATTAGCCAAGGGTCATGGCATGCACCTGTAGTCCCAGCTGCTTAGGAGACTGAGGTGGGAGAATTGCTTGAGCCCAGGAGGTTGAGGCTGCAGTGAGCTGTGATCGCGCCACTGCACTCCAGCCTGGGTGAGAGAGCAAGATCCTGTCTCAAAAATAAATAAATAAATAAATAAAAATTATCTGGGCATGGTGGTGTGTTCCCATAGTCCCAGCTACTCTGGAGGCTGTGGCAGGAGGATCACTTGAGCCTAGGAGTTGAGGCTGCAGTGAGCTATGATTATGCCACTGCATTCCAGCCTGGACAACAGAGCGAGACCCTACCTCAAAAAAACAAAAGAGAAAAATTATTTTGTTTGTCTCAGGATTTAAATAAGGTCTACATGTAGCTTTTGGCCTATTTTGTCTTTTTAGTCTAATTTAATCTGTAACTGCACTGTCCAACATTGTAGCCACTAGCCACATGTAATGATTTAAATTCAAGCATTAATTAAAATTAAATCAAATTAGAAATTCCATTTCTCAGTTGCAGTAGCCATGTTTCTAGTGCCAAATAGCCACATGGATAGTACAGATACAGAACATCTCTATCATTGCAGAAAGCACTGTAGGACAGTGCTACTCTACAAGTCTCTCCCTTCCTCTATTTTATTCCCTTCAATTTAATTGTTGAAAAAACCAAGTCATTTGTCTTACAAAGTTTCCCACATTCTGGATTTTACTGATTGATTCCTGTGGTGTCATTAAATATGTTCTTCTGCCCCATGCATTTTCTATAAACTGGTGGTTAGAGTTAGAGACTAAAAAGCTTCACCCTTTTTGTGATCTCAAGTTCAACCATGTGATCTTGAGTGTGTAACTTGGAGTATCAGTTCTCTCATATGTAAAATGGGAATAATAGCATACCTATTTGTTGTAAAAACTAAATGATATAATTGATACAAGTGCTTAGCTTTGCACATAGATTCAGTATATATTAGTTATCATTTGCATCATTATAATTGTTATCAGGCAGTGATTCTCAAATCCCAGTCCAATGATATTTTCTGGATACATAAAAAATTAAGTTTTCTGGAGACTCTAATTCAGTAGGTTTGTGGCCCCCCCAAAATCTACCTACCAGGTGAAGTAGCATGAGTTGTAGCTACTCAGGAGGCTGAGGCAGGAGGATGGCTTGAACCTAGGAGTTGAAAGCCTGCTTGGGTAACACAGAGAGACTCTGCCTCTTAAAAAAAGAATTCTTAGATAATTCTAATGCATTTGTGGGTTTGGAAATTGATGGCTTTGCGATGTATAAACTTGACTAGGCTGAACTACAGTCCCCAGAAGTCCATTTCTAGTATATTTCCCATTTGAGTGAATGGCAACAGATCTCTTGCAAGAGTTGGAAGATGAAAGGGAGGCAGCAGATGTTTTGTATTATAGTATATACATTCTTTCAGTTATTCAATCAAACATAATCTGAGTGTTATCATGAAGGGATTTTGCAGTTGTAGTTAAAGTCCCTAATTAGTTGACTTTAAGTTGATAAAAGGGAGATTATCCAGGGTGGCCCTGATTTAATCAGTTAGAAGGCCTTTAAAATAGGGCTTTTCCCAGGCCAGGGCTTACTAGTGAACTCTGTCAAATGTTTAAAGAAGAACCAATTCTTCACAAATTCTTCCAAAATGTAAAAGAGGAGAAAACACTTCCCAAATTATTCTATAAGGCCTGATGCCAAAATCAAAGACAACACAAGAAAAAAACAAGACTATTATGTGTTTTGAATATAAATGCAACAGTTCTCAATAAAATATTAGCAAACTGGATCCAGCAGCATAATAAAAAAAGGATTATACACCAAGACCAAGTAAAATGTATCCCAGGAATGCAAGGTTGGTTTAACACCTGAAATCAATTAATGTAATACACTATATAGTAGAATAAGGGACAAACCCACATGATCATTTCAATAGATGACGAAAAAGTATTTGACAAAATTCAGCAACTCTTCATAATAAAAGAAATCAACAAACAAGAAATAGAAGGAAACTTCCTCAACCTAATAAAAAGCATTTATGAAAAACCATGCCAGGTGCGGTGGCTCATGCCTGTAATCCCAGCACTTTGGGAGGCTGAGGCGGGCAGATCATGAGGTAAGAGATCGAGACCATCCTGGCCAACATGGTGAAACCCCATCTCTACTAAAAAAAAACAAAAATTAGCTGGGCATGGTGGTGCACACCTGTAGTCTCAGCTACTTGGCAGGCTGAGGCAGGAGAATTGCTTGAACTTGGGATGCAGAGGTTGCAGTGAGCTGAGATCGTGCCACTGCACTCTAGCCTGGTGACAGAGTGAGACTCAGTCTAAAAAAAAAAAAGAAAAGAAAAACCAACAGCTAACAGCATACTTAGTGGTAAAAGGTTGAATGTTTTCTTCCTAAGATTAGGAACAAGACAAGAATGTCTTGTCTCACCACTTCTAATCAACATTTTACTGGAGGTTATATCTAGGGCAATTGGACAAGAACATTAAATAAAAGGCATCCAGACTGAATAGAAACGAGTAAAAATTGGCCAGGCATTGTGGCTCATACCTGTAATCCCAGCACTTTGGGAGGTTGAGGCAGGCGGATCACCTGAGGTCAGGAGTTCAAGACCAGCCTGGCCAACATAGAGAAATCCTGTCTCTACTAAAAATACAAAAATTAGCTGGGCATGGTGGTGTGTGCCTGTATTCCCAGCTACTTGGGAGGCTGAGGCAGGAGAATCGCTTGAGCCTGGGAGGTGGAGGTTGCAGTGAGCTGAGATCGTGCTTTTGCACTCCAGTCTGGGCGACAAGAGCGAGACTCCTTCTCAAAAAACAAACAAACAAACAAAAAACCTCTAGCTGCCTTTGTTACAGAAATTAACAAACTAGTCCTAAAACTTATATGAAAAGGTAAGGGACCCAGAATAATAAAAACAATCTTTAAAAAGAACAAAGTTGGGGAACTTACACTTCCTGATTGCAAAACTTACTACAAAGCTGAAGTAATAAAGATTGTAGTGCTGACAGAAGACAGATATATACATCAATGGAATAGAATTGAGAGTCCAGAAGTAAACCCTCTTACATTTATGGTCAACTGATTTTCAATAAGGGTGCCAAGATAATTAACGAGGGAAAGAATACTCTTTCCAACACGTGTGATTGAGACAACTGGATATTCACATATAAAAGAATGAAGTTAAACCTTCAATCTCACATTGTACACAAAAGTTATTTCTAAGGGGATTATGGATCTAAATATAAAAGCTAAACCTATAAAACACATAGAAGAAAACATAGGAGTAAATCTTCTTGA
Organism: Homo sapiens; assembly: GCF_000001405.40. Lineage (NCBI taxonomy): Eukaryota > Metazoa > Chordata > Mammalia > Primates > Hominidae > Homo > Homo sapiens. The sequence goes on from NC_000014.9 coordinate 55,228,450, forward strand.
TCTAGGATTAAGGAATGATTTGTTAAATACAACACTAACAACCAAAGTGACAAAAGAAGAATGTACCTATATAAATTGGACTTCACCAAAATTTAACATGTTTGTGCTTCAAAGAATATCATCCAGATAGTGAAAAGACAGCTTACTAAATGGGAGAAAATATTTGCAAATTATGTGGTTGATAAGGGACTTGTATTTACAATATATAAATAACTCTTACAATTCGACAATAAAAGGACAACCCCACTTACAAAATGAACAAAGGATTTGAAAAGACATTTTCCAAAAAAGAGATATGAATGGCCAGTTAGCACATGAAAACGTATTCAACATCATTAGTCATTAGGGAAATGCAAATCAAAACCACAATGAGATACCATTTCACATCCATTAGGATGGCTAAAAAAATTTGTTTAAATATACAGTAACAAGCCCGGCATGGTGGCTTACACCTGTAATCCTAGCACTTTGGGAGGCTGAGGCGGGCAGATCACTTGAGGTCAAGAGTTCGAGACCAGCCTCGCCAATATGGTGAAACCCGTTTCTACTAAAAATATTTAAAAAATTAGCCAGGCGTGGTGGCAATCACCTGTAATCTCAGTTACTCGGGAGGCTGAGACAGGAGAATTGCTTGAACTCAAGAGGCAGAGGTTGCAGTGAGCCAAGATTGAGCCACTACACCCCAGCCTGGGTAACACAGGGAGACTCCATCTCAAAAATAAAATAAAATAAAATAAACAGGAGGAAGGAGCAGCACCAAATCCAAGATGGCGGCCAGCAGGAGGCTGATGAAGGAGCTTGAAGAAATCCGCAAATGTGGGATGAAAAACTTCTGTAACATCCAGGTTGATGAAGCTAATTTATTGACTTGGCAAGGGCTTATTGTTCCTGACAACCCTCCATATGATAAGGGGGCCTTCAGAATAGAAATCAACTTTCCAGCAGAGTACCCATTCAAACCACCGAAGATCACATTTAAAACAAAGATCTATCACCCAAACATCGACGAAAAGGGGCAGGTCTGTCTGCCAGTAATTAGTGCTGAAAACTGGAAGCCAGCAACCAAAACCGACCAAGTAATCCAGTCCCTCATAGCACTGGTGAATGACCCCCAGCCCAAGCACCCGCTTCGGGCTGACCTAGCTGAAGAATACTCTAAGGACCGTAAAAAATTCTGTAAGAATGCTGAAGAGTTTACAAAGAAATATGGGGAAAAGCGACCTGTGGACTAAAATCTGCCACGATTGGTTCCAGCAAGTGTGAGCAGAGACCCCGTGCAGTGCATTCAGACACCCCGCAAAGCAGGACTCTGTGGAAATTGACACGTGCCACCGCCTGGCGTTCGCTTGTGGCAGTTACTAACTTTCTACAGTTTTCTTAATCAAAAGTGGTCTAGGTAACCTGTAAAGAAAGGATTAAAAATTTAAGATGTTCTAGTTCTGCTCTCTTTGTTTTAAAAATCACTGCTTCAATCTACTTCAAAAGAAAAAAAAAACAATAAAAAGTGTTGATGAAGATGTGAAGAAACTGGAATCCTTATTAGTTGCTGGTGGGAATGTAAAATAGTGTTGCTACTTTGGAAAACAGATTGGCACTTCCTCAAAAATTAAACATAGAGTTACCATATGACCCAGCAATTCCACTCCTCGGTATACACCCAAGAGACATGAAAATGTATGTCCACACAAAAACCTTTACACAAAAGTTCAGAGCAGCATTATTTATAACAGTCCAGAAGTGAAAACAACTCAAATATCTATCAAATGATGAATAAATACCATTTTAAATGTGATATATTTACACAATAGAATATTCAACAATGAAAAGGAATGAAGCACTGATACATGCTACATCATAGATGAACCTTGAAAACATTTTGCTAAGTAAAAGAAGTCAGATGCAAAAGACCACATGTTCTATGAGTCCATTTATATGAGTTGTCCAGAACAGGCAAATCTACAGAGACAGAAAGTAGTTGTCTATGGCCGGAGGTGTGGGGGTTGGAGGATGCTGATAGGAAATGGGGACTATATGCTAATGGATATAGGATTTTTTCCTGGGGTGATGAAAATGTTCTAAAATTGATTGTCATGATGGTTGCACAACTTTTGTAATAGACTGCAATCAACTGAATACTTTAAATAGGTGCATTGTATGATATGTGAATTATATCCTAATAAAGCCATTATTTAAAAAGCAGGGAGGGAAGGGTTACATCTCCCCTGAACTCAGAGACTCCAAACAGCAGCTGGGCTTGCAATTGCACTCCCTTCCTCCTGGATCTTCCTTCCTGACTGCCTGCGCACAACAGGCTTTAGCCCGTTCCCATAGGGTTCCAGCTTGCTTATGATCTTCCCTTGCTGACTGCGTGCTCTGTGGATTTCAGGCTTGCTTAGCCAGCCCCACAATTGTGTAAGCCAATTCCTTGTAACAAACAAACTTGTTCTGCTTACTGGTTGAAACCTGTTATGGAAACCAGTGTTCAAGAGTTTCTCTAAATATTTATCTCAAGAACCTGGGGTAGGTATCTGGTTGAGGATTTAGGGGTCATGGATTCTGCCAAATATCAAAGCACCACTCACTTTTAGAATGATTGTTGACGAGGCTTTGGTCAGAGGGAATAGCAGTAGTTGGGATTGGAAGAGCAGCCTCTAGTGAAATCATATTGATTCTTCCTCCAAGGCGAAGAGCTCGCTCTCTTCTTGACCATGAGCTTAATTTTTAAGCTCAATGGGTAAAGCGAATAAAAAGCTGAGTATTTTGGGGGGCCAGAGAACATTTATTGACTAACTTGATGTTTCCCCTGCTGTGGAGAATCATGCATTATTTTAACACCCTTGGTTCTATGCATGCTCTCACTCCTCTCACACACCGTAATTGATTAATGAGTTTGGAGAAGATAGCGGGCAGGCATAGCCTAGCCACATCCTTTCTTTCTTTCTCTGGGAACTGAGCTTTCTGCAGGGAGCCCACACTTTCCTTTGTGCTTCCATTCTATAAATTTTACTTATACAGTAAGTCCTCCCATAACATTGTTGATAAGTTCTTGGAAACTGACTTTAAGCAAAATGATACATGAAACCAGTTTTACCATGGGCTAATAGATATAACAGGAGTTAAGTTTCTTGGCATATTTCTATCACAAAACATCACTAAACTTCTAAATAAAGACCCAAAACACTTCTAACATTAAACATTAAAATAAATGTGAGGTTACCATATATTAAAGAAAGATTAATAAAGACAAGCAAGGTAATTATTTACCCAATTTTTGATGAATCAGTGAGTGATGGCAGTCATTGTGGTGGAGGTGAAATCTAGGAATAAATGTTTACAAAGTGGAAATTTTACGGAGCACCTACTACCGCCACAAAGTTCAAAAACATTAGGCCAGGCACCGTGGCTCATGACAGTAACCCCAGCACTTTGGGAGGCTGAGGCGGGTGGATCGCCTGAGGCCAGGAGTTAGAGGCCAGCCTGGCTAACATGGAGAAATCTCGTCCTACTAAAAATACAAAAATTAGCCAGGTGTGGTGGCACGCACCTGTAATCCCAGCTACTCGAGTGGCTGAGGCATGAGAATCGCCCGAACCCAGGAGGCAGAGGTTGCAGTGAGCTGAGATCGCCCTACTGTACTCCAGCCTGCCTCAAAATAAGTAAATAAATAACAGACATGGTGGGCTTGCCAAGTGCTTTTATATGGCATTATTGTCAGGAATTTGTATGATTGCATGACAATCATACAAATTTGCAGACTTTACAGATTTTTACTTGACAATGATTTGTATTATTCATTAATTCCTTTTCCAACCGTCTTATTCCAGTTCAGGGTAATGAGTGGCTGGAACCTCTCCCGGTAGCTCAGGGCACCAGGCAGAAACCCACCCTGGCCAGGATGCCATCCAATCGCAGGGCGCGCTTACACACACCCAAACTCACTGAGATTGGGACCATGTAGCACGCCAATGAACTTTACACTCACATCTTTGCGATGCAGGAGAAAACCCATGCAGGTGTGGGGAGAACATACAAACTCCACACAGAGAGTGGCCCCACTAGGAATTGATTTTTTTTCATAATCAACTTTACAACAAAATGATATTGAATGAAAGGACATTATTCAAGGACCTGCTGTACTTGACTCCATGGGAAGAGGGCTGGGTTAGGCCAGAAATATCTGAACCTACACAGGCAAGACAGTCTTGTAAGTGTGAAGTTGTTTTAAGAAGTCGATCTGCCTACAGGTAAATGTCATATTATCTGTTCAAGTCTTTATTAATAATAAAGATGATATGTGGCCTCCATTCAATCCCTAATGTCTTAGACTTTATTTTTTTTGCAGGGGGTTGGGGGGATGGCAGGACAGAGTCTTGCAGCTAGAGTGCGGTGGTGTGACCATAGCTAACGGCAACCTCAAACTCCTGGGCTCAAGTGATCCTCCTGCCTCAGCCTCCCAAGTAGCTGGGACTACAGGTGCACACCACCATGCCTGGCTAATTTTTAAATTAGTAAATTTTTGGTACTGACAGGGTCTCACTAGGTTTCCCAGGTTGGTCTTGAGCTCTTGGCCTCAAGCGATCCTTCCACCTCAGCCTCCCAAAGTGTTGAGATTATAGGCATGAAACACTGCATCCAGGCTATATTTTATCTCATACTTTATCGTTTGATTCAGAATTTGAAAGGCATGGTAGTTATTGGCCCCCTCAAAGACTTCAGCATGGGACAGGAGAAGCAGCAATTTACAAAAAAGTTTTGGACATGTGCAATAGTAATGGCTAAAGTAATAATTACATTCTTAGACTTTTTTAAGAGTCAGAAGGGATCCTGGAGATAATCTAGCAGCTAGATTCTAACTCATAGAGGTTAAGTAATGTGTCCAAAGCTACCCAGCCTTCTAGTGACATATCAGAACTACAATCCAAATTTTCTTTTGGCCCACTGCACTTTTCACCATGCCCTGCTGCTTCCTTAATATGCTGAGATGTTTAAAATATCACATTCTGCTATTTTGTTCTCATTTTATCTGTTTCCCTGAGTATCAGACTTTTGTCATTGTTATAAACAAAGAAATAAATGCACTTCAGGTTAAATAAGTTTCCCATGGCAATAGGACTTATCAGAGGTAGCGCTGGAAGTGAAATATAGTACTCTAATTTTAGTCCAAGGTTGTACTCATGAGATTTATTTTTTCTGTCAAAATGCCAAATTGAAATAAATAGAAGAGTTGGGCACCATGGAAGTAGAGTTGCTGTGGTGGAGGCTGTGGTTCATATATTAATTCAGCCAACGATCTCTGGTTCCTTTTCTGCCATGAAGTCACAGTATGTTGTGGGATTAAAATTTCCTCCAAAAGAATAGAAGGAAATAAGTAGAATGGGGTGTCACTGCCTAACTCCCAAAGCCTGTGATCTTAATTAACTCTGACGTTGACTGCCTTCTCAGATCTGTAAGGTGCAAAGGTAAACTTTCAGACAGTACAATAAAAGTTTAAGCGAATTTCTAGAAGCAGTTAATTTATACATTATTCATCAAAGTAATATTAATTTAGCACTTGTATAGTATAGGTTTCTTTAAATAACCGTCCCTGCAGTTTTATTGCTGGAAATGCATTAATGTGAAAGATACACATTAGGCTGCAATTAGGACAGCATGGAGAATTACTTTACAGACTGGCAATCTGTTAATGAAGCCATTACTCCGAGTTTCTACAAAACCTACAACTGAATTTCATTTGATTTCTGACCAACGGTCTTTAATCTTACCTGCTTTCCATGTTGAGAATTAAATCATTCATTCATTCACAAAATAGCTTTTAAGCTGCTGTGAATCTGGCACTGTTTTAGGCATTGGGAATAGGGTAATAAGTAGAACAAAGTTTCTGACCTCATTGAACAGAATGTGTTACAAAATAATAAGCATAATAGAACCCTTTTTTTGCTGCTGTTAAAGATAGGCATACATCCTGTTTAATAAAGATATTACACTTGTGTCCTTAAAAAAGAAAAAACTATGGTCAAATAAATTTGAGAAATAATGCAATTATAGTCCCTTTTTAATGCTTCAAAATACACACTAGCTTATTAAAGACCTTAAGATATTACACAATAAAGGAATCTGTTTGACTTCTTTGACTACTTAAACTTAATGTTTCTCTTTTGGAATAGTTCTTCTTCTTCTTCTTCTTCTTCTTCTTCTTCTTCTTTCTTCTTCTTCTTCTGGAATAGTGCTTCTTCTTCTTCTTCTTCCTCTTCTTCTTCTTCTTTTGGAATAGTGCTTCTTCTTCCTCCTCTTCTTCTTCTTCCTCTTCTTCTTCTTGCTCTTCTTCTTCTTCTGGAATAGTGCTTCTTCTTCCTCTTCTTCTTCTTCTTTTGGAATAGTGCTTCTTCTTCCTCTTCTTCTTCTTCCTCTTCTTCTTTTGGAATAGTTCTTCCTCTTCTTCTTCTTCTTCCTCTTCCTCTTCCTCTTCCTCTTCCTCTTCCTCTTCTTCTTCTTCTTCTTCTTCTTCTTCTTCTTCTTCTTCTTCTTTTCTCTTTTTTCGAGACAGAGTCTCGCTCTGTCACCCAGGCTGGAGTGCAGTGGTGCGATCTCAGCCCACTGGAACTTCTGCCTCCCAGGTTCAAGCAATTCTCTGCCACAGCCTTCCGAGTAGCTGGGACTACAGATGCCCGCCACCACGCCCAGCTAGTTTTTGTATGTTTAGTAGAGACAGGGTTTCACCGTGTTGGCCAGGCTGGTCTTGAACTCCTGACCTCGTGATCCACCTGCCTCGGACTCCCAAAGTGCTGGGATTAGAGGTGTGAGCTACTATGCCTGGCCGGAATAGTGCTTCTTAACCTCCTGTGAATGAATGTTTCAAGAAGTCATTTTTAGAAAATACTAAGCTGTAAGAACTCATTATTATACACGAGATAAGGAGCTAATATCCAAAATATACACAGACCCCAGACTATTCGATAACAAGAAATCAAGTAACCCTATTAAAAATGGGCAAAGGACTTGAATAGTTACTTCTCAAAAGAAGACATACAAATGGCCAATAGATATATGAGAAGATGTTTAACATCTCTAATTATCAGAGCAATGCAAATGAAAACTACAATGAGATGTCACCTCACACCTGTTAGACTGTATATTATCGAAAAGATGAAAGATAGCAAGTGTTGGTGAGGATGCGCAGTAAAAGGAAACTTGTACACTGTCGGTAGGAATGTAAATTACTACAGCCATTTTGGAAAACAGTATAGAGGTTCCTCAAAAAACTAAAAATATAATTACCACAAAATCCAGCAATCCCACTATGGGGTGTGTGCACAAAAGGAATGAAATCAGTATGCTGAAAGAATATCTATACTCCCACGTCCATTGCAGCAGTATGCATGTTAGCCAAGGTATAGAAACAATCTAAATGTTCATCAACAGATGAATGGGTTTTTAAAATTTGATGTATATACACAATGGAGTACTATTCAGCCTTTAAAAAAATAGGGAATTCTATCATTTGTGACAAGGATGAACCTAGCAGATATTATGTTAAGTGAAATAAGCCAGGCACAGAGAGACAAATACAGTATGATCCACTTATATGTGGAATCTAAAAAAGTTGAACTTCTAGAAGTAGAGGGTAAAATCGTGGTTACCACAGTCTTGGGGAAGGGGCGGGGGGTGAACCAGAAAGGAGGGATAATTTATCAATGGGTACGAAGTTACAGCTAGATAGGAGGAGTAAGTCCTGGTGTTCTACTGCACGGCAAGGTGACTATAGCTAATAATAATGTGTTGTATACTTCAAAAGAGCTAAAAGAGAGGGTTTTTAATGTTCTCACCACAGAGAAACAATAAATATTTGAGATGGTGGATATGCTAATTACTCTGATGTGATCATCCCACAATTTTTACATGTATTGAAATATCACTTTGGGGCCAGGCATGGTGGCTCATGCCTGTAATCCCAGCACTTTTGGAGGCCGAGGTAGGCAGATCATGAGGCCAGGAGTTGGAGACCAGCCTGATCAACATGGTGAAACCCCATCTCTACTAAAAATACAAAGATTAGCCTGGCATGGTGGCACATGCCTGTAATCCCAGCTACTCAGGAGGCTGAGGCAAGAGAATTGCTTGAACCTGGGAGGCGGAGGTTGCAGTGAGCAGAGATCAGGCCACGGCACTCCAGCCTGGGCAAGAGAGCTAACCTCTTGCTGAGGCATGAGAATCACTTGAACCTGGGAGATTGAGGCTGCAGTGAGCTGAGATGGTGCCACTGCACTGCAGCCTGGGTGACAGAGCAAGACTCAAAAAAAAAAAAAAGGGAATATCACTTTGTGTTCCATAAATATATACAATTATTACTTGTCAGTTAAAAGTTAAATAAAATTAAAACCAACAACCAAAAACCAAACCTTGGAATTTTGGAATCAGCCATTTCTCCAAGAAACCCTGGTTTCTTCTAATGGGAAATGATATTTCAAGACCACAATGGAGTCACTGTTTCTAAGTCTTTTCAGTGGAAAGAACTACATATAATAGGTATAATGCCTTATGAGTTGTGAACTCCAAAAATCTGAGGCAGTTCTCAGTTAATTTAGAAAGTGTATTTTGCCAAGGCTGAGGACCCACACCCATGACACAGCCTCAGGAGTCCTGATGACATGGGCCCAAGCTGGTAGGAGCACAGCTTGCTTTTGTACTTTTTTTGAGACTTGCTCTGTCACCCAGGCTGGAGTGCAGTGGCGCCATCTCGGCTTACTGAAACCTCCGCCTCCTGGGTTCAAACGATTCTCCTGCCTCAGCCTCCCAAGTAGCTGGGATTACTGGCATGTGCCACCACGCCAGGCTAATCTTTGTATTTTTAGTAGAGATGGGGTTTCACCATGTTGATCAGGCTGGTCTCCAACTCCTGGCCTCATGATCCGCCTGCCTCGGCCTCCCAAAGTGCTGGGATTACAGGCTTGAGCCACCGTGCCCGGCCTGGTTTTGTACATCGTAGGGAGACATGAGACATCAATGTGTGTAAGATGTACATTGGTTCAGTCTGGAAAGGTGGGACAACTTGAGGCAAAAGCAGGACAACTCTAAGCAGGGAGGCGGCTTCCAGGTCACAGGTAGATAAGATTCAAATGGTTGCATTCTTTTGAACTTCTGATTAGCTTCTCCAAATGAGGCAATCAGATATGTATATATTTATCACAGGGAGCAGAGGGGGGTGACTTTGAATAGAAGGGGAGGCAGATTTGCCCTAAGCAGTTCCCAGCTTGAGTGATTTTGGGGCCCAGAGATTTATTTTCCTTTCCAGAGTTTATACTAACATTTGCATTTTAAATTATAACTACAAGGTTTTTAGTTAACTTCTATATTAAATCTATATCTCCTTTCCTCCATGCCAAGAACCCTAGTTCTCAAGGTAACAGGGGATGATAGAATTTGAAAATTTCATGACTTTCATTTACTTTTTCCCACATAAAACCAGCAATCTCAGAATAATAATAGTAGTTATTTTAGAATAACAACTTTACTACTGGCAATTAATATTCATAATACAATCACCACCAACTACTGAAAATGGTAAATAATTTTTTATATGTTATCCCCATTCTTACCCCAGTTTTAAATTGTTGTATCATAGCTACCCTGTCAGAGCATATAACCTTTATATTCTATCATCTGCCTCCCTTTTAAATTTTATTTTGTCTTAGTTCTACAGGCAACTTCCTCCTTTCATCTACTACTTCTCTTAAAGCATTTTGTGTGTGTGTGTGTGAGTGTGTTTCCCTTTTTTCTTCTAGTTTAGTGTTAATCGTTACTATAATTTTTTTTTCTTTTTTCCTCTTTTTTAGAGATGGGGTTTCCCTATGTTGCCCAGGTTGCTCTCGAACTGCTGGGCTCAAGCGATCCTCCTGGCTCAGCCCCGCGAGTAGCTGGAACCACAGACGTGCACCACCACACCCAACTAATTTTTTGTAGAGACGGGGTTTCGCCATGTTGCCCAGGCTGTTCTGGAATTCCTGGGCTCAAATGATCCACCCACTTTGGCCTCCCAAAGTGCTGGGATTATAGGCATGAGCCATATGAGTCATTGCGTCTGGCCACATTATAGTTTTTAGTCTTTTTTTTCGCATTATCGTTTTGATCTGCTTCTTGAATATGTCTTTATGGTGTACTTTCATTTTTTGCAGGAATGTTATTCTGCTCCGTATTCTCTTTTTTTCTTTTAGTAAATTTGGAATTTGACCTTAGTATTTTTCTATTGTTCGTTCTTAAGTAAAATTAGTTTTTCTGAACTTCTAATGGTGGCTAGGTTCAGATAGATTTTGCTAACATCACTGAGGTACTTCTTCGCTTTTGTGTAAAGTTTTAAATATATAACTGTCTGCAGTTTTGAGATTTCCTGGCTCTGCTCTCCTTATTTACTTTTTATCTGGATCTCCTTTTTTTTTTGAGATGGAGTCTCACTCTTGTTGCCCAGGCTGGAGTGCACTGGCGCGATCTCGGCTCACTGCAACCTCCGGGCCTCCTGGGTTCAAGTGATTCTTCTGCCTCAGCCTCCCGAGTAGCTGGGATTACAGGCATGCGCCACCATGCCTGGCTAATTTTGTATTTTTAGTAGAGACGGGGTTTCTCCATGTTTATCAGGCTGGTCTCGAACTCCCCACCTCAGGTGATCCACCCGCCTCGGCCTCCCAAAATCCTGGGATTACAGGTGTGAGCCACCATGCCCGGCCTGGATCTCCTTTTTATGTGTTGTCCCTATCTTGATCAATTTTGATCCCACACCCAGCAGTTTCTCTCAGAGCTGTGTCCTGGAAGTGAGATTTGGACATTCAGTATTGTAAATTCAGAGGGGTTAGAATGTCCCCACCCCTTTAGGTCTTACTGAGTTTCCTTGTGCTCTTCTGCAATTAAAATGGGCAAAACCCCTACCAGTTTCAGTTGCCACTCATGGATTGACCCATTGTGCTTTCCAGTGAATGCTGTTGCTCTTTGGATTCTCCTGTTCTCACTCTATCAAATGTCTCATGGGCTCCCTTTCCTGTCTCTTACACACACTCCAACATCATGCAGGTCTTGTGGTTGACGATGGTGTGTCCCCATATGCTTCTATTCTGTGGTTTGTGGGGATGCCTTGCCATCTTCTTTAGCTGTAAATGTTATCCTTGAGTTTTAATTTTGTTGTCTAGTTTCTCTGTTCATATGCAGGGGGTTTGAGAAGATCCAAAACCATGCTCTCACTGTCATGTTTCTAGAAGCCCTATAACTTTCAGGGAACTGAAATTTAATATATTTTATATGATACATTATGCTTTTAAAAAATAATTCTAAAATAATTTCAATCTTACAGCAAATTGCAGGAATAATTCAGAGACTTCTCTTTATCCTTTACTTAGATTCCCTAATCAATTAATATTTTACCATATTATCTTTTTCTCTCTCATTTTGTATATAAAACATATAAAAGTCCAGTAAAATCATTATAATCAATAAATTAAAATTAATACAATACTAACATCCAATCTGCAGACTAGATTCAAATTTCACTGATTGTCTCCATAATGTGCTTTATAATCACCCTTTCCTTTCTGACCCAGGAACCAATAGAAGATCATGTGTTGAATTTAATTGTTATGTCTTCTTAACCTCCTTCAACTTGGAGATTCCTCAGTTTTTCCATGTCTTTCATGTTGACCGTTTAAAAGAGAACAGGCAATTAATTTGTAGACTGTCCCTACGCTTGAGTTTGCCTTAAGTTTCTCATGGTTAGATTCAGGTTATTTGTTGGTAGTGGGTTTTTATGGAGGCGTACCACAGAAGTGATGCTATGTTCTTCTCAGTGCAGCATCAGAAGGCAACAACGTAATTTGTTCTATTTCTATCAGGGTTGACTTTTATCACTTGGTTAAGATGGTGTCTGCTGAATTTCTTCACTGTAAAATTAATTAATAAGTATTTTGTACTTACTAGGTTAAAAGTTATTAATAGGTATTTTGTGGAGAGCTACTTTTTTTTTTTCAGTTCAAACTCATTTCCCTTTTATTAAAGTCCAGGTTACCATTACATGGGTTGGTACTCAATAAAGGAAAACTTGTTCAAATAAGGTATATATTATCATCAGTATTTCCAGGTAACTGTTTACACACAAGTAGCAATATCAATAAATCCTTGCAAAGCCCATCCATGGGGTTTACACCTTGTCAAGGCCCAGATCCTCCGGAGTGGAGATTCCCAGTTCATTTAAAGTTGGTCTGAGTTCCTGTATGACATAGGGGTAGATTTCCTTATGAGGTCCTGCTTTGTCCTTAACAGCCTCTAGGATGCCAACTGCACTAGCAAAATCGTTTAACCGTCTGCATGCCCGCAAAGCAGCATCAACAATTTTGGGCTCTGGAACCGGATCATAGCTAACAAGTGTGTTCATCCCTTTACGCAATTGCCAGGCATCTATATCTGGCTTGTTGAAGTATGTTACTCAGAGAGCATCAAACTCCTCATCTGTCTCGTGACCCATGGGAATAGCAGTGAACTGACTGGATAGCCGCGGCGGGGCCGGGGGTTGGGGCGGAATGCAGGAGGCCTCGAGGGCCGGCCCGGGCGGTTGCAGTCACCGCGCAGCGGTGGAGAGCGGCCCCAGCACGACGGCGATGGTGGCGCGCAAGCTGAGGATGGAGAGAAACCGGTGTGAGCTCGCTCGCGGGTTGCTCCGCAGCTGGCGGGGGCCGGCGAGAGCTACTTTTATGTTATATGAATATCGTGTTCTTCATCACATTCCCCAGCACCCCCGCCACTGGCTTTAGCATCCATTATTGGTTCTTACCTAAATCAATTATTACTATAATGGTTGACAAACGATGCTATTCTAATTACATTATTATTTCTACATTTATTAGTTGGCATTCTATTATAAGGTAAAGTTTTCCTTGGCCTGCCTCAGTGGCTTATGCCCGTAATTCCAGCACTTTGGGAGGCAAAGGCAGGTGCGCTTGAGGCCAGGAGTTCAAAACTAGCCTGGTCAACATAGTGAGACCTCATCTCTACAAAAGAAAACAAATCAAAAGATTAACTGGGAATGGTGGTGCATACCCGTAGTCTTACCTACAGGGGAGGGTGAGGCAGGAGAATCACTTGAGCCCAGGAGTTCGAGGCTGCAGTGAGCCATACTTGTGCCACTGCACTCCAGCCTGGGTGACAGAGTGAGACTGTCTCTTAAAGAAAAAAAAAAACAAAACAAAACCTTTCCCTTCTCCCTTATCTGTTTTATTCAATGGACGATAATCTGTTGCTATCATTTATTTTGATATTCAAATTTTTCCAGATTTAGCTAATGAGAGCCCTTCAAACTAGGACTTCTCCTTCTAACATGTCCTCATCATTCTTTCATTGCTTTCCTACTTTCGTGACAAACAAGATGTTCCAGGAACATTTTGTACTGTCCTTGTTCCAGTCCTAAAATCAACCATTTCTTCGAGGACTTCTGGATTCTGTTAGTGGAGAATGGTATTCAGAAGCCTCCATCTGGGTGCTGGGTGTGATCATTGCTACTAGGAGATCACTGCTTCCAGGTTTAGTTTTCACCCTTTCCGAACTGTTAATTCCCTTCTGTGACAGAGAAAAACCTGGCTCTGGCTCTCATCTCAATACACTCACTTAATTAATCTCCCTGTATGTAACCAATCTCCTGACCTTATGGCTGCCTTGCAGACCAAGACATCACCTTACATGGAGGCCATTGTGTAGTAGAAATGAGACTAGCCCCTTTGCTTTTCCCACTATAACTTGTAAATGCACTACACAAAGCCAATGAGACCCTTTTCTAAACTAATTCCTATTCTTTATGCAAAAGAGATTATGTATGAAATTTGGGACTCCATTGATTTAATTTATCATAATTTTGTGAAATTTATTTTGCTATAGAATGAATGTATATTATAATATTGGAATTAAAATTTCTTTTTAATCTGAAGTTTCTGGCTTTGTGTTTCATGAGTTTGTTATGATACAGTGAGAATATTTGCTCAACTGCTTTTTGGATATACAATTTAACAAATGAGGCCTGACCAGCAGGAAAAAAATTAGTGAGAATTTAAAAAAATTAACTACAAGTTCAGTTATGTTTTTAAAAAGTGATTTTAAAAGATAACAAAAGTCTCATATCACTTTTAACTCAATCAGTGTTTTCTAAAATATTTACTACATCATTGTAAGCTTTGTTATTACTAATAATAACTTTGATCTGTATGAGCATTATTGTTTACAAAGAACCTAATATTATCTCAATCTTTTCCCAGCTTTGTGGAGTAGATGATGTTATCTCCATTTTACACACAGATCGTAGGCTTATTGAAGCTATGCAACTTGTTAAAGATTGCCCAACTGTTAGGTGGCAGAAACGGTATATAAACAGAGTTATTTTAACTTACCATTTATTCTTCCCTTTTCATTGTTTCATTCCTCTGAATTGGGATTTTTTCTCATCTCGCCTGTCCTGTTTGACAGATTATAAATGAATAACTACTCTCCTATGTAATTTACTAATTTTGTCACCTAGGTTTAGATCAATCAATTCTAATAGGTTCATTTATTCAAGTTGCTGAAAGTGCCTATTGTCCCCCAGTATTTATATCCCCTGCATTGCACAGTAATAGAATGTTTAGCCAGACAAATGGCCACCTCAGAAAAAAGTTCATTTCCGGCCGAGAGCAGTGGCTCACACCTGTAATCCCAGCACTTTGGGAGGCTGAGGCAGGTGAATCACTTGAGGCCAGGAGTTCAAGAAAAGCCTGGCCAACATGGTGAAACCCTGTCTCTACTAAAAATACAAAAATTAGCCAGGTGGTAGTGGTGCATACCTGTAATCCCAGCTATTTGGGAGGCTGAGGCAGGAGAATCACTTGAACCTAGGAGGCAGAGGTTGCAGTGAGCTGAAATTGCGCCACTGTACCCCAGCCTGGGCGAGAGAATGAGACTCTGTCTCAAAAAAAGAAAAAAAAGAAAAAAAGAGAAAAGTTCATTTCCTAGCCTACTTGTCAGGTGGGTATGGCCATGTGATAAAGGGTAGTGATGCTGACAGCTCCTGGGAACCTTCCTTCAAATGTGCCCCCTGTACTCCTTTTTTGTCACTTCCTCCATCCTGCTTCCTGGAGCAGAAATCCTGCCTTGCATAATGAGAATTAGGCTCTACCCAAGGAATGTCATCAGGGTGGTGAGCTAGAAGGAGGCTCCTGGGTCCAAATAACTTTATGGGGCAGGGCTACCATATCTATCCGGACTGCAAAATTCCAGACTTCAGAAAACTCAAAAGCCACTGGATGTTTTTAAGAGATGGCATGTCGCTTTGTCACCCAGGCTGGAGAGCAGTGACTATTCACAGGCACAATCTTAGTGCTTTGCAGCCTCCACCTCCCAAGAGATCTCACCTAATCCTCTGGAGTAGCTGGAACCACAGGTGCAGGCCACCATGCCCAGCTAAGCCACTGATATTTTGACTTGGCCAATCACAACCTAATGTATACATTCAGTATCTATCTGCAGATCCTACCTAACCAGTCTCAAAGTTGAGTGAGACTGGCCATTCACCCCACATCCAGAGGCAGTTCCTGATTGCTTTAGTGCCCTTCAGGGTGATTTCAATGTACGGGGTAGGGCCGTAGTAGTCGGTTCAGTAATGAGCGCCTAAGCCAGTCAGCTTATAGCCTTCCCCTAGCCCCAGTGGCTGGTTCCCTAAGATACAAATCATGGTAGGTTTGGAAGAGGCGCCCTCTCTTAGGGAAGGATGTAGCCCAGCTATAAACACGGAAGCATGTAGCTTTAGAGAAATCAGGCTGAGGATGTGGCTGGCTGGTGGAGGAAGGTAGAAATAAAAGAATTGTGGGTGTTTTCCTTTAGATTCGATCAACCCTAAAACCTGCCTAACTTGTGGTCTTTTCAGAGAATGAGCCAACAATCATCCAGTTATATTGTTTAAGCCAATTTCAATTGAGTTTTCTGTTCATTGTAACCAAGGTCGTATAACTGATATACCTTCCAGTGTCTTCAGGATTACATCAATGTTTAATAATGTAGATTGACATTTTTAGGTAGTATTTTTAAATTTTTTTGACCAGTTTGAACACAACTGTAGTGGATTCCTATTTTATTCAGTATGTGATCACCTTTTGCTATCTTTTTTTTGTGTGTGCGTGTGTGAGTGGGGTCTCACTCTGTCATCCAGGCTGGAGTGCGGTGGTATAATCACGGCTCACTGCAGCCTCAACCTCCTAGACTCAAGGGCCCATCTCAGCCACCCAAGTAGCTGGGACTACAGGCATGTGCCACCATGTCTGGCTAATTTTTTAAATAATTTTTTGTAGAGATGGGGGTCTCACTGTGTCGTCCAGGCTGGTCTTGAACTTCTGGGCTCAAGTGATCCTCCCGCCTTGGCCTCCCAAAGTGCTGGGATTGCAGGTGTGAGCCACCACACCCAGTCTTATTTATTTTCATGTTCAAATTGTCCCAATTTAACACAACTTTTTCACACAGTTTGTCCCATTGCTTTATTCTCTGATTTTATTTTTTAAATCTTGAAGGATGGTTTTGTAAAGGCTGCGATGGCTGTGTTAAAATTCAAATGTGAAGCTTACCCTTTCTGAAAAATCACTCCTTGGTTTTCTTATGCTGTCTCATTTCTCTACTGTCTCATTTCTCTACCTTTTTCTTTGCCCATTTTTCAAATTGTTTCTGTACTGACTCCCTTCACAAATCTGTTTTCTTCTCCATCTCCTGAAAGGTGGTAGTTTTTTGGTTTTGTTTTTTACATCTTATTTTTTAAATTCATTTTTTAAAAATCTTGTATGTTCTTCCAATGAAAAAATTATTTCTTTAATTGACAAATTAAAATTGTATATATTTATGGTGTACAGTATGATGTTTTGAAATATGTATACATTGTGGAATGGCTAAATTGGGCTAATTAATACATGCATTACCTCATACACATCATTCTCTTGTGGTAAGAACGCTGAAAATCTACTTTCTTAGCAATATTCAATTATGCAATTCAGTTTTGTTAATTATAGTCATTGTGCTCTACAGTAGATTCCCCAAACTTTTTTACCTTGCAGTTGAAAGTTTGTGTCCTCTGACCAACATCTCCCCATTTCCCTTCCCAGCTCTGGCAATCATCAGTCTACACTCTTGCTTTTCGGTATTCCAAATTTTTAGAATCCACATATGAATGTGATCATGTGGTATTTCTTTTTGTGCCTGGCGTATTTCACTTAATATAATGTCCTCCAGGTAAATCCATGCCGTTGCAAATGACGAAGCTTAGTTCTTGACCCACAGATTTAATGTGAAGTCTTTCTCAGAGGTGTCACTCACTCATAACTTCAAATAATCACCTTTGCAATTGTCTCCAATCCTTACTGTGTTTCAGGCCTCCATTTCCAACTCCACTAGGAGGCACTGTAGTGATCTAAAGGCAGTACACCTCAAACTGAAATCTTTCATCCAAAACTATTAATAGCTGTCTCTAAGTTTTTCTATTCTTACCTAAGCATGTTATTCTCTCAATCTTTCAATTTTAAAACTTTGAGGTCATTCTTATCTTCTACTTTTCCTTTTCTACCACATTTAGCCCATAAGCAAAGTGTAGTTTCTTCTATAAAGTTTTCAAGGACCACTACTAGGACATAGCCCTTCACAATCTCACATCTGAATAACTGTGTTTATTTTTTAACTTGTCATTTTATCTACCCTTACAACTCATTTTATATGTGAATTATGAAAAACCGCCCTGCTAAGAACCTTTAAAGACTTCTTAAATCTCTTATCCTAGCACTTAAGGCCCCCAAATTGGTTCTTTACTTAGATCTCCAAACCCATCTCCCCCTACTTGTTTACATCAACTGGACAAAGTGGTGTACCAATTTCTTCCCAAATGCTATATTTGCCCACCTTCTTTGCTCCCTCTTTGTGAAATGCCCTCTGTCCTCTTACATGTTTAATCTTATCTGTTTTTCAATTATTATTATATTTTGAGACAGGGTCTCATGTCTCACTCTGTCACCCAGGCTGGAGTGCAGTTACATGATCTCAGCTGACTGTAACCTCTGCTTCCCAGGCTCAAGCCATCTTTCCACCTCAGCCTCTTGAGTAGCTGGGACAACAGGACTGTGCCATGCTAATTTTCATGCCTGGCTAATTTTTGTGTTTTTTGTAGAAATGGAATTTCACCATGTTGCCCAGGCTGGTCTCAAACTCCTGAACTCAAGTGATCCACCCATCCCAGCCTCCCAAAGTGCTGGAATTACAGATGTGAGCCACCACACCCAGCCTAATTTTATCTCTTTTTCAAAGCTCAGCCCGAGTCAGTTTCTTTGTTTTTCCTTTGGCTTTTTGTTTTCTTTTCTGAGATAGAGTCTCACTGCCATGCCCAGGCTGGAGTGCAATGGTGCGATCTGGCTCACTGCAACCTCTGCTTCCCGGTTCAAGCGATTCTCCTGCCTCAGCCTCCCAAATAGCTGGGATTACAGGTGCATGCCACCACGTCCAGTCAATTTTTGTATTTTTAGTAGAGGCAGGGTTTCACCACATTGGCAAGGCTGATCTCGAACTCCTGACCTTGTGATCTGCCCGCCTCAGCCTCCCAAAGTGCTGGGATTATAGGCATGAGCCACCGCACCCAGCCTCAAAGAAATAGTTCCTAAGGTGGTAAGATGGGGGTCCGCTCTCCACTTTTTCCCTTTCTCTTCCTAGAGTCAACCTAATCAAAGACACCCAGCTGTCTCGCACACCTTCCAGCAAATGCAGGAAATACCTACAGGATGTTTAATCTTACCTGTTAAAACCATCTGATTATTTTATAGACACCACAATCTGAGGGCAGACCACCAAGAAGGCCTCTTTTTTATCCTTCTACCTTGAGCTTCCAGTGTTGGAAACCCCAACCCCATCTGGAAAAACCAGACCAGGTCCAAAGACTGACAGTCAGCACCAGGAGTAGTGGGTCCCTGGAGTCAAGAGAAAGAGAGATTAAAGAGAGAGAGAGAGGAGGGAGGGGGAGAGAGAGAGAGAGAGGGAGATTACAGGGGAGGAGGCTTCTCTGCGAAGGGGATGGGAGAAGGAGAGACTGAGACCTGGCCTCAGTGAGAGAATCTGGGGGAGTAGAAACTACTAGAAGAAACAGGAGTTTCCTGTATCTCCAGTGCTAGAAGTAAAAGGCTGTTTTGTACATTCTTTCAGACTGTGTGAACTTGCCCTAATTGGTAAGGTCAGGCAGTAAGACTACTTGGGGACAAGTACAGAACTATTCCCTCCTTTTTGGAATATGAATACAATGTATCAGTCAGGGTGCTGGCTAGAAATAGATGACACACTTAATGGGTTTCACTGAAGAGTTTAATAGAGGGACTCTTTTCAGAGGGGTGGACAGGATTGAGAGACCCATCAAAGGCTAGTAAAGTACCCAGGGATTAATGACAGCTAAAATCTATTACCACTGCAGGCCTGAAGAGACAAGGGAAAGGCACGGTGTCACCAGAGACTGGGCAGCTACAGCTGTGGAAAAGAGACAACCTGGCAGTACCTGTGGCCATAGAGGGTGGTAGGAAACCAATTCCTCTTTCCCTCTTCCCATTACCAGGAGCAGTGCTTCTCTTTGGCCATTCCCAATAAGAAGCCACAGAATAAGGGAGGACAGGGCATGCAGACCTTGGAAATCATCCTTGTAAGATACAGAGGAGGGCAGAGGAAAGGCAGATTATGGATCTGTGGTGAGAGGATAAACCCAGCATATGTAGTGCACTACAGTTATCACAGTGATTGTTCTCTACTCTGAATCCCATAGCACGTATTGCTAAAACCCTCATTTCAATTTTCAACGACCATCTCCTGAGTGCTTCCCAAAAGTACTAGATGCTTGGGCATGATACACAAATTAACCACACACGGCCCCTTTAGGAGCTCAAATCTGGTGGGCAACCTTTGGACATAGAATTTGCTGCTTTATATTGTGTTTTATCTTTTCTAGTGGGTGCGGTGGGTTGGATCTTTATAGATTACAAGAGCAGAGAAGTTTTCAAGTCTGATGTGATGGGAGTTCTACATCAGGCTCCACATCAAATTAGAATCTTAGTCCAGATACTGTGGCAAATGTAGTGACACCATAGCAGGTTTCGTAACTATCGCATGTAACTCAGATGATGGTGTCGCTCTGCTTCCTACTTTTGTCTGACTCCCATTCTTGTAACCTGACTTTCTCTGCCTGCTCACTGCTGACCCTCTTTGTATGTCTCACTTTCAGATTCCCTGAAAGAGGATTAAATTGGGCCAGTTTATCCTTCTCTGTTCCTATTGGGCAGAGTTCTGCTACAAGCCATCTTAAATGGCAATGCTTTGCTTTATGTCCAGTCTATAGATGAGCAGCTTTGTCCTGAGTAGCCAGATCACATGAGACAAGTACGGCAACTGTCATGAACATCTGTCATTCGCAGCTGCCCGAAATCTTCCAAATAGTCTATCTTCGTTATCATAGTTCCTCAGTAGAAATCCTGCCTTCTCAATGTAGAACCCCAAACTCCCTTTCCAAGATTTCCTTCTTGTTAGGGTGCATACGAGTGATGTAGATTCCACTACCTAGACTCAAGCATTTGTTTCAAGATGGAGTTACATGGGGAAGGAGGGAGAGTACAGGGCCTGCATTTTGCAGGTGCAGATCCTGGCAAAGATGGTGTGGTTCTGGAGCCGGTGAAGTGAACCACAGAAACCAAAGAAGCAATGGACATTCACATCTGCACTTACTCTATATCCCAGTTCCAGATAACTTTTTCTTTCTCTGAGGATGAGGACTTCATGGAGACAAAAGGCCATCAAAATAGTTGCTGACATCCTGCAGCCAGAGAAAATGTTTCAAAAATGCAGATTGGATCATTACCCTCCAAAGACTTTCTTGTGCCTCTGCTATAGCCAAGGGAAGTCAGGAGTGAGCTCTCCTGTTGTTCTAGGAAGAGGATGAGAGACAGGTAAGGCAGGTCCCAGTGCATAGCTAGGGCCAGCATACATCACTGACTCCCAGCTGACCGAGAGATACATTGAGCTTGCCCAGCCCAGCCCACATCAGCTGACCCCCTGCTGACCCCAAAACACATGAGCAAGTCCAGCTGAGATTAGAAGAGCTGCCCAGCTTAGCCCAGATCAGCGGACCTCCGGGTAACCCTGGGACACATGAGCAAAGCCAGCTGAGGTCAGCACACTTACTCATCCCTACCCAGTTAAAATCAACCAATCCCCAGCTGAGCCACAGTTTCATTGTTAACAAGATAGAGCTACTCATTGAACTGGACCAGTCGTGGCTCCAGGACTGGAGACTGGCACTTTTCAGGTGCCACATTGAAAAGATGCTCAGGTGGCCCAATACTCTTGCCTCTGTGAGAGAGAGGAGATCCCTCCAGCACTCAATACCCCCTCAGATTATTATTTTGAACAGCAGCAACCTGAAGGGCTTCTGTCATCAAACATTTCACCCCACATGCAGGAAACATGTGAGAATTATTAATTATTTCCATGATCACAGTTGGACTCCACATTCTAGAAATGTGAAGACTTTGAAAGTACCACTTGCTTTGTCCTTAGGTTTTTTTTGTTTTGTTTTGTTTTGTTTTTTTGAGGTAGAGTCTCACTCTGTTGCCCAGGTTGGAGTGCGGTTGTGAGATCTTGGCTCATTGCAACCTCTGCCTCCCGGGTTCAAGCAATTCTCCTGCCTCAGCCTCTTGAGTAGCTGGGATTACAGGCATGCGCCACCATGCCCGGCTAATTTTTTTTTTTTTTTGAATTTTTAGTAGAGACAGGGTTTCACCATATTGGCCAGGCTGGTCTCGAACTCCTGACCTTGTTTTCTGCCCTCCTCAGCCTCCCAAAATGCTGGGATTATAGGTATGAGCCACCGCGCCCTGCCTTATCCTTAGCTTTTTAAAGTTAAAAGTAGTGAAGTAAGTTGAAACCATTTGTATGACTCCTCCAGTAAATTGCCCCATTCACATTCAAAGGCTAGACAAAAATCAAGGAGGGAGCTGAGAATGGGGAGTTTTCTTTGACCTTTGTGGCAGAATAAAGCCCTCATGGCCTCGGAATGAAATATGTACTCAGAAGAGGAAGAGCTTTTGGCCAGCGTTTTATGGGCTTCCCTCCCCTGCTTCCACTGAGGTCTGTGCCTGTTGCCAGCTTCTGGTTTGGTTCTAGGTGCAATGCTCACTGGTGCTCTCTGCATCTGATGTGGCTGGCAGTGTCCTGGCAACCTGAGGGGTTCAGAGTGATGGTGATGATGCTGTGTCACACCTGTCCTGGGGACACTGTGCCAGGTGGTGGAGGCATAACCAGGTACCTCATCCCAGGCCCAGGTCCTCATGGATTGCTGTGGAAAATGGTGGTATTCCTAGTCATATTTCTAATTATTAGAAGTCTACTTTATGCAAGTAGAGACAAATAACTGGCCACTTTTGCCCTTCTGGAGAAAGACATTAAATATTTTACAATCTTAACCTCATTCAGAAGAATTTTAAAAAGGCCACTATGGCTGGGTGCAGTGGCTCACACCTGTAATCGCAGCACATTGGGAGGCTGAGGTGGGCGGATCACGTGAGGTGAGGAGTTCGAGGCCAGCCTGGCCAGCATGGTGAAACCTCGTCTCTACTAAAAATACAAAAATTAGCCGGGCATGGTGGCGGGCACCTGTAATTTCACCTACTTGGGAGGCTGAGACAGAATTGCTTGAACCCGGGAGGCGGAGGTTGTACTGAGCCAAGATTGTGCCACTGCACTCCAGCCTGGGCGACAGAGACTGTCTCAAAAAAAAAAAAAAGGAAAGAAAAGGCTAAATACGTATGATTCCAAGTATATGACATTCTAGAAAATGCAAAATTATGGAGATGGTAAAAAGATGAGTGGTTACCAGGGATTGGAGGAAGAGGTGTGAATAGTCAGGACACAAAGAAAGGACTTTTAGGGCAGTGAGGCTATTCTGTACAATACTGCAACGGTGGATACATTCCATTAAACATTTTTCAAAACCCAAAGAATATATAACACCAAGAGTGAGACCTAATGTAAACTATGGACCTTGGGAGATAATGATGTATCAATGTAGGTTCATCAGTTGTAACAAATGTATCACCGTAGTGTGGGATGTTGATAGTGGTCGAGGTTGTGCATATGTGGGAACAGGGGTATATGGGAACTCTCTGTACTTTCTGCTT
This sequence comes from Homo sapiens, assembly GCF_000001405.40. Taxonomy (NCBI): domain Eukaryota; kingdom Metazoa; phylum Chordata; class Mammalia; order Primates; family Hominidae; genus Homo; species Homo sapiens. Next base: position 55,251,663 of record NC_000014.9, read on the forward strand.
AATTTTGCTGCGAACCTAAAAACTGCACTAAAAAGAAAGATCTTTTTTTTTTTAACTTGAAACTTACACTAAAGTTGCAAGTGCAGCACAGAAATCTTTTTTTTTAGACTGAGTCTCACTCCGTCGCCCAGGCTGGAGTGCAGTGGTGCGATCTCAGCTAACTGCAACCTCCACCTCCTGGGTTCAAGCGATTTTCCTGCTTCAGCCTCCCGAGTAGCTGGGACTACAGGTGCCTGCTGCCATGCCCAGCTAATTTTTTTGTATTTTTAGTAGAGACAGGGTTTCACCGTGTTAGCCAGGATGGTCTTGAGCTTCTGACCTTGCGATCCACCCACCTCGGCCACCTAAAGTGCTGAGATTACAGGTGTGAGCCACTGCGCCGACCAGAAACCTTTTTTAAAAAAAAAATATTGGCTGGGCGCAGTGGCTTACGCCTGTAATCCCAGCACTTTGGGAGGCTGAGGCAGGCGGATCACTTGAGGTCAGGAGTTCAAGACCAGCCTGGCCAACACGGTGAAACCCCATCTCTACTAAAAATACAAAAATTAGCTGGATATGGAGGCACATGCCTGTAATCCCAGCTACTCGGGAGGCTGAGACAGGAGAATCGCTTGAGCCTGGGAGGCAGAAGTTTCAGTGAGCCGTGATTGCATCACCGCACTCCAGCCTGGGTGACAGGAGTGAGACTCTGTCTCAAAAACAAAACAAAACAAACAAAAAAACAAAAAACAAACAAAACAAATCTTAAACTGTTTGGGAGTAATCACTATTTGTGATGCCCTATCACCCACCCCCAAATATTTTCGGGGGTTTACGTAGAATACTCTCCTATTTAATCACAAAAAAATCAGGGAATTAACATTGGTAATTAGCGGTATCTAATCCTGAAATCTCATTAAATTTCATCAGTGGTCCCAGTAATAAGGCAAAATAAAGAATCCACTTCAAGAAGAAAAAAAAAAGGAATTGAGAGACCTTGAATAATTTTAACAGAAGTCACATTTGAGAACAAATGATCAAAAACAGAAAAACTGGAGGCCATTAATAAAGAGCTGGAAATTTTCAACTCTTTTCTTGGGCTTAAAGAGTTTGAGAAAAGGACCGATAGAAGAGAAATCTGAACATTTAAAACAAGTTGAGGTATGATTGACATTAAAAGAAAGATTCAGTCTTCAGAAGATGCATCAAAACACGTACAACTTCAAGTAGTTGCAACCAAAACAGCTTTCAAAATACATGACAAGAATGAAAACAAATTCAGAAGCACTAAAAGATGCTTTGGATGAAAATTCTGGTTTTCAAGAAAACATAAAGGGCTGGACGTGGTGGCGTCCGTTGTTAACAGTGTAATCCCATATTCCCAGCACTTTGGGAGGCTGAGGCGGGTGGATCACTTCAGTCCAGGAGTTTGAGACCAGCCTGGCCAGCATAGCTAAACCCCATCTCTACTAAAAAAAAAAAAAAAAAAATACAAAAAATTAACCAGGCCTGGTGGCACACGCCTGTAATCCCAGCTACTCAGGAAGCTAAGGCAGAAGAATGACTTGAACCCGGGAGGCAGAGGTTGCAGTGAGCCGAGATTGCACCACTGCACTCCAGCCTGGGTGACAGAGTGGGACTCTGTCTCAAAACAAAACAAAAAAAAGAAAACATAAAGTGAAAAGTGGAATGGGAGAGTAAATTACCTTATCTAACAGAAAAAAAAATTAGAAACTCTAAATTGCATGAGACAAGGCTTTTTGTTTGTTTGTGTTTGAGACACGGTCTTGCTCTGTTGCACAGGCTGGAGTGCAATGGTGCAATCTTGGCTTATTGTAGCCTTGACTTCCCCAGTTCAAGCAATCCTCCCACTTAAGCCTCCCAAGTAGCTGGGACTACAGCTGTGCACCCACACGCCCGGCTCATTTTTTAAATTTTTTGTAGAGACAGGGTCTCCCTATATTACCCAGGCTGGTCTACGAACTCCTGGGCTCAAGTGATCCTCCTGCCTCGGCCTCCCAAAGTGCTGGGATTACAGTCATGAGCCACTGCGCCCAGCCACAAGGGACAAGCACTAAATGATAAAAAGCAAGCCCCTGGGTGAACATGTGCTAAAAGTGGGAGATTAGGCTGCCGTTCTTGAAGAAGCAAGCCTAGATGGTGGGAACTTACAATTGGATATAATGAAGATAAACCAAAACGAGCTTGAATAAATGGATTGGTACTGATAAATTAATTGTTTAAAACCTCTTGGCCGGGTGCAGTGGCTCACGCCTGTAATCCCAGCACTTTGGGAAGCTGAGGCGGGTGGATCACGAGGTCAGGAGATCAAGACCATCCTGGCTAACACGGTGAAACCCTGTCTCTACTAAAAATACAAAAAATTAGCCTGGCGTAGTGGCGGGCACCTGTAGTCCCAGCTATTTGGGAGGCTGAGGCAGGAGAATGGCATGAACCCGGAAGGCGGAGCTTGCAGTGAGCCGAAATCGCACCACTGCACTCCAGCCTGGGCGACAGAGTGAGACTCTGTCTCAAAAAAAAAAAACAAAAAACAAAAAACAAAGCAAAAACAAAAAAACCAAAAACCTCTTGAAGAAAAAAGAAACCAAATGTACACTAACTGAAAGAAGGTAAATTAATTGGCACACTTAAAGATCATCTTAAAAGTCTCCAAATGAGTAGGTGTCATTGCAGGAAACAAACAAACAACAACAACAACAAAACAGGAAGGGAGAGGCCAAAGCTTTGGCAGAAACTTTAAGTTCTTTCAGAATTGCATCAAGGAAAAAAATGAATTTTCACTGAAAAAACAATTCAGAGAAAGTTTGCCCTGTAAATACAGAGCAGAATCTTTTGAAAGCAGATATGAAGAGCAGTCATGCATGTAAAGAGCTGAACACCTATAAAATAGAAATCAAATTCTTTCCGAAAAATCCAAAAGAAAAGCTGGCTATTATCAAAGCTAGCTTATTACCTATAAAAGAAAGGCTTATGATAATGAGCTGGGAGCTGTGTTGGTTGAGAGAAACCCTGATAATTTAAGAGGAGAAAATGCATACATTCATATGTCTGGAAAAGAATCCTTATATTCCAAATGGGATATTTGGCAGAGGCCCAAGAGGTTCACTAGGGAATCCTCTGGATGACCAGATCCCCAGGGAAAAAGGAACATTCAACTGTACTGTCATGGAGATCCAGGGCTCAGCATCTTGTATGAATCATATGCTGCCCTTGTTGGGTCAGGATCCCAGAGAAAGGCTCCCTTCATCAGGAGGCCAACTCCATCTCAACGTGAATCTTCTACAGGAGCAAGTGAGACCTTGTCTTGGTGTTCTTCACACTAACAGACACTTGGGATCTTCTTTTGGCTTACCTTCCTACATGACCCGGGAGCCGCTGGTTCCAGTTGATTCTTCTCTCATCCTCCTGTCAGGGTTGAGATGTTATAGAGGGGACAGAAGAGCACCAGGACGTACTATGTTGCCTTTCCATCCCTTGCTGTAACTTCATCATCAAAAGCTCCTGACTGTGGTGTGCTGGAGCTAGCACTCAGGTGCTAGTGAGAGCAGATTGTGCGCATCTCTTCCCAGCTTCACATCAGTAGCTTGAAACTGGCCATGATGGGAGTATTTACACCATGAAATAGGCAAATGTGATATAAATCAGGCTTTCCTGCACAGCCCACCCCCATCTCCAAGACCGGCACTTTGGCCGGCACTCCCTGTCCCTTTGGCAATAATTCTTCATTGTTCATCAAAATCACCCATGCCTGGGCTCCTCCTCCCACAGATTCTAATTCAGTTGCTCTGGGGCTGTCACTATGCATCCTACTTTTCCAAAGCTCCCTAGATGATTCTAAAGTGCAGCTAAGGTTGTGAACCACTGCCTGTAAATGCTTTCAACCAGCCTTTGATCTGTTTGTTGTAAAAGAGGCCTTTAGATGTTACCTTAACTTTCTTTAAGGAAAAACAAATCTACCTTGAGTTCTAAGTTGCCATCTACTCCCCTGAGGCAAGTAAAGACCAGCATGGGAAAAGGTAGAATGCCTTGCACCGAACCCAGGGTGTTCTCAGCTAGCAAAAGCCCTCTGAGTGTACTTTGGTGTTACTAGCTCTCCTTCTCATCAGGTATCTTATATTATCCCAGAATGATTTCTTTATGTTGGGTGGTGCTTTTGAAATAGGTCTCGGGCACTCCTTTAAAAAAAGTGATGCCTTTTCTTTTTTTTCACAAGACTTTTACACGTTTTAGGCAAAAGTAAAAGGTTTTAATAATTTAATAGTTTAGAGCCTGGTGAGGCTTCATTAGCCCTAACAATGTATTTGCAATTTATTTTGCATGAAGCATATGGATCAAGAATGTGGGCATTTGATGCAGTGTGACCACAGACTTTGCCGTATGTCCATAAAGACAGGCTGGGATCCTGTGCATTTCTCCTTATGTATTTCTGGGCTCCCTGGGCCCTCCACTGTGCTTGGTCATTGAATGGTACTGTTTTGTAACAGGTCAGCCATGTATCTCTTTGCTTTGTGTACGCATTCTGAGAGTGATATGGACAGGAGCCAGGGAAACAATGGGTAGAAGAGGGCAGTTCCCTGGCAAGGCCCCACCCCCAAGCCTGGAAACCCATGGCCCTAAATGAAAACAGCCATTCCTGTTTTCATGCCCAAATGTTGCCTTTTGGCCCACCACGCCCCCCATCCTGTACCCATATAAACCCCAAACCCCAGGCTCCATGGGCAGATGAACAGAAGAGCAGAGGAGCAAAAGAGTGATGTGGCGTGGAAGAAAAGGAGAGAAGAGAAGAAACATTTAAACATTGAGAGAAGTTCGGCTGGGGACGGTTGGATAGGTGATCGGCTGCGGGATGGCTGAACTCCATGGCAAGATCATCTTCCCACTCCATCCTCTTTCCAGCTCTCCATTTGTTCTGCTGAGAACCACTTCCATCTGGCAATAAAATCCCCTGCATTTACCATCCTTCAGTTTGTCCATGTGACCTGATTATTCCTGGATGCCAGACAAGAACCCGGGTACCAAGAAGGCACTGAGCTGGTTAACACTTAAGCTGTCTGCGGATGGCAGAGTTAAAAGAGCACTGTAACATGCCCTCTGGGGCTTCAGGAGTTGCAGGCACCCAGCCCTAGATCCTACCATGGGGCTGGAGTCCAAAAGCTCTCACCCCAGCTCCTGCACCTGCCTGTCTGCGTGCTCCCCCTCCCATAAGGAGACACACCCCTGTCGCACGTCCAGTGAGGGGGGTCAGGGAACTCCCCTTTCAAGAGTATGGAACCAATTAGAAAAGCAACTGACAGAAGGACGATTTAGGGATGAGAGGAGAACTTTGATATCCGTCTCATTGCCGTTTCTGTGTATGCTTTTTACAGCATTACAGAAGCATTTGCTTGCCCCTAGACTTCAAATTCCACGTGTCTTATAAATGCCTAGGATCTGTTATTGTCTTCTCAGTGGAAAAATAGAGCAGTCATGCCCATAAATAGAGGTAGAAATCACAGCTTCGCTTTTTTCACTTAAAAAGAATTATGTTTTATATAGTAAGGCTTTTAAATGTTTAGCTAATAGTGTCTATGTTTCACAAATGATTTGGGATAAGAGCAGAAAATAAGAATGAATCTAAGGTTTTTTTTTGTTTCATGTCAATATTACCTAGAGGTAATTAATAAGTTTATTGGTTTTCTTCTCAAAGGTATTCACATCACAATTTCTTCTAAAATTTTCAAGTGAAAAATTTGCATTTACTTGTTACTTTTATGAAATATATCTAAGATGCAAAAAATATCAGAGTTATTTTACAAACATCCACAGATTCACCATATTTTGTTCACATATTTTCTTTCTTAAATATGATGTTATGGATAAAATTGAAGCTCTTTTGTTCCCCATTCCAATTCTCTCCCCCTTCCTTTCTCCCCAGGGGTAACTATTATTCTGAAGTTGTTTTGGGTATTTTTCATTGAAGTCTTTAGGCTTTTATTGCAATGGTAGCTGTCCATAAGCAATACCAAGTATTGTTGTGTGTGTGTGTGTGTGTGTGTGTGATTTGTATGTTTTTAAGATTTGAATAAATGGTAGCATATAGTGTATGTTGTTTTGCAATTTGCTTTTATCACATGAACAAAACGTTTTCTGGCCCTTTCTCTATTTTTTTCCCTAATGAATAGGGAAAATAATACGTAGGGAAAAAATAGTTTGCATTTTCTTAAGTATTTGAAAACAGCTTTTAAAAAATAATTAGGTACTTGTGAGTCTGGCTCTGGATTTAGATTTTACCGACAGTTCCATAAGACTGACAGGGAATCAAATAAAAGGGTACTCAGACTGGACTAAAATGTTGTCAGGTTTTTTACTTTGATCTCTATTGCTAAAAAAAAAATTGTCAGATTCAATTGTCACTTAGATGAATATTAAATTGTGTTTTTATTTATTTATTTTGAAACAGGGTCTCACTCTGTCACCTAGGCTAAAGTGCAGCGGCATGAACATGGCTCACTGCAGCCTCAGCCTTCTGGGCTCAAGTGATCCTCCCACCTCAGCCTCCCAAGTAGCCGCGAACACAGGTGCACGCCATCATGCCTGGCTAAGTTTCTTTTTTTTTTTTTTGAGACAGAATCTCGTTCTGTCACCCAGGCTGCAGTGCAGTGGTGTGATCACAACTCACTGCAGCCTTGGCCTCCCAGGCTCAAGTGACCCTCCCACTTCAGCCTCCCTAGTAGCTGAGACTACAGGCACGTGCCACCATGCCTGGCTAATTTTTGAATTTTTTGTAGAGATGGGGTTTCACTGTGTTGCCCAGGTTGGTCTGGAGCTCCTGGGCTCAGGGAGTCCTCTCCCTCAGCCTTCCAACTAGCTCAGACTACCGGATGTGCTAACATGCCCTGCTACTTTAAAAAAAAATTTTGTAGGCCTGGCGCGGTGGCTCACGCCTGTAATCCCAGCACTTTGGGAGGCTGAGGTGGGCGGATCAAGAGGTTGGGAGATGGAGACCATCCCGGCTAACACGGTGTAACCCGTCTCTACTAAAAATACAAAACGTTAGCCAGCTGTGGTGGCGGGAGCCTGTAGTCCCAGCTACTCGGGAGGCTGAGGCAGAAGAATGGTGTGAACCTGGGAGGCAGAGCTTGCAGTGAGCCGAGATCCCGCCACTGCACTCCAGCTGGGCAACAGAGTGAGACTCCATCTCAAAAAATAAAAATTTTTTTTTTTTTTAGAGATAGGGTTTTGCTATGTTGCCCAGCTGGTCTCAAACTCCTGGCCTACAGTGATCTTCCTGCCTTGGCCTTCTAAAGCATTTGGATTCCAGGCATGAGTCACTGTGCCTAGCCTCAGATTCATATAATTTATCTTTGATAACAATGTGCAAATTTTAGTCCCATCCATGATAATAAGGTCCAATCTGCCAACATTTGAAAAACTCCCTGAAAAGAACATGTAAGTCATCTTACCCTTGAAAAGGCACCAAGAAAAATGTCAGCCTTTGGAAAGGCCAGTAAGATTCACTCCAGCACATTCAGGTAACGATTCAGGTTAACGATTCAGGAAAGGATCACAAAGCTATGGCCTTTAGGGAGGGTCATACTCTTTAATTTTGTTCCATTTATGTAATATCGACAAATGTGGCAATTTAAATATCACTGCACTTAATGAAGAAGTATTTTTGTCTCTGACTAGTGTGATGTAGTAAATGAAATTGTTCTCATTGATTATTCATGCAGTCACTGATTCAATAAATCAGTAGTGTATGCCCTTAAAGAGCTCACATAGGGAGAGGGGTAGCTCTATGTAAAAATTACATTAAAATGTTTTAAATGAAATAGCAAACATGGAAACAAAGTATACAACACGATCATAGATCTTGGGAATAATTTGTTTAGAGAGTGAGGGAAGAAGTCATGGGGATGACATTGCAGTAGGTGGATAGGAACATGTTGGTGTGCATCACAGTGCTTGTGCCTTCTCTGGATGGCTTGACAGCCACCCAGGAGAAGCGCAAGGGTGGAATTGAAAGAGGCAAAGAATACCAACTTTACTCATTTTATACTTTGTACAGGCTCTTGAAAGAAGGATGGCTCAGCCAATAATTTTGGAGCTTGAAAAACTCCACGTTTCTTTTTTTTTTCCTGTGATGTTCCAATAGGGCTTTTACTTATCAGAACTCAACTTCTTCCTTAAAGCAGGAAATTAAGAATTAGATGTGCCGGCTGGCCACAGTGGCTCATGCCTGTAATCCCAACACTTTGGGAGGCCGAGGCGGGCAGATCACAAGGTCAGGGGTTCGAGACCAGCCTGGCCAACATAGAGAAACCCCGTCTCTACTAAAAATACAAAAATTAGCCAGGCATGGTTGTGCATGCCTGTTGTCCCAGCTGTTCAGGAGGCCGAGGCAGGAGAATTGCTTGAACTTGGGGAGTGGAGATTGTGGTGAGCCAAGACTGCGCCATAGCCTGGGCAACAGAGTGAGACTCTGTCTCAAAAAAAGAAAAAAAAAAAAGAATTGGATGTGCCAACACACAGAATAACACAGATGTGGAAACATATTTAGGGTATTTTTTAGAAGGATTTAATGAACTTAAAAATGGAGCTAGTGACCACACTGTTTTTTTTAGAAACAGGGTCTCAATCTGTCACCCAAGCTGGAGTGCAGTGGTGCAATTATAGCTTGCTGCAATTCCGAACTCCTGGGTACAAGCAATCCTCCAACCTCAGCCTCCCAAGTATCTGGGACTACAGGCACACACCACCACGCCCAGCTAACTTTTTCTATTTTTTGTAGAGACGGAGTCTCCTTATGTTGCCCAGATTCGTCTTGAACTCCTAGACTCAGGCAATCCTTTCTCCTAGACCTTCCAAAGTGCTGGGATTACAGGCATAAGCACCCGTACTCAGCCATTACCACACATATTAGCATTATTCAGAGGACAGAACTCTATAGAGTTTTGCCAGTACTGAAAAATGTAAAAAAGAAAATGCATGCATCCATGCAAAAGCAGCCCCCGAGTAGCAAGGAATGGAGGAAATAGTTGAGAAAGGGAGAGGATTCAGATCTATACTCGACATGCAGAGACCAGAGGGATGTCATGTGTAGATCAACAGGAGTCTTCTTGGCTAGTGATGACTATAGAAGTCAAGCCTATTGGAAAGAAAGTCAAAATATATTGGAGATACGGTAGGGACAGAGGCAGGAGAGAGAAAGAAACACAGAAAGCTAGAAAAGTGCAGCAATAGTAAAAGTAACAGATGGCAGAAGCCACAGGAGCAATGGGGCATTAAGGAGCATATAATCTGCGAGTGAAAATGTCAGCTCCAAGATAAGAAAACCAGAATAGCTCTGAATCAGGAGGAGCAATGAGATGCTCACACCTTCAGTAATTTTATAAGGTCGTCCTTATGCTACTTTGAAGGTACACTTTGGCTTTGCTGAGGGGAGGGACATCAAGAGAAAGGACAAAAAGGCTCAATTGACTTTAGTGATACATATAGGCATTACTGTTCAGAGTGTGTCTTGCTGAAGGCACACAAAAATATGTATAGCTCAGCAGTCTTAAGAAGGGGCAAGGCGTGAGTTGCTGTGAAAGGTCAGTGGGATTCTCTGTCAGTGACAGTGAACTATAATATAGTGGCATGATCGAGCCTATATAATGGTACACTAAAAAAAAAGCCAAATTGGCCTGGCGTGGTGGCTCACGCCTGTAATCCCAGCACTTTGGGAGGTAGAGGCAGGTGGTTCATGAGGTCAGGAGTTCAAGACCAGCCTGGCCAAGATGGTGAAACCCTGTCTCTATTAAAACTACAAAAATTAGCCAGGTGTGGTGGTAGGCACCTGTAATTCCAGCTACTCGGGAGGCAGAGGCAGGAGAATTGCTTGAACCTGGGCAGCAGAGGTTGCAGTGAGCCGAGATCATGCACTCCAACCTGGGTGACAGAGTGAGATTCCGTCTCAAAAAAATAAAAAAGGCCAAATCACCATAAACTTTTCCAAGGAAAGTATCTGAAGGCACCCCTATTCAAGTTCAATACTAATTAACAAAACAAATGCTTTTTTTTTTTTTTTTTTTTGGTAAGGAAATCTTGATATCCAAGCTCCGCTTTTTGAAAAGTTGTCTTTGGTATTTTAAAGTAAGACTTGGCAATAAAAGCATAGTTACGCCTGGTAAAAAAATGTCAGCAAACCCTAAAACTGCAGAATAAGTTGCTGGGTTTTTTTTGTTGTTGTTATTCAAAGAACTCAATGCTGAGCAAAATCTATCCCTAGGACCATTTTTAGCAGGCTGATGTAACTAGGTTGTTTTAGCCAGGCAGCTCCTCCTTTGCTGTAGCAGGTGCCTGTGAATTAGGTGTGCTAGGGCTTGAGAAGAATAAGGACAGGCTGGCTGGTCTCATGCTAATGCTGCAGGCTCCCCCAAATTAAATTGCAGTGACTGGAAAATATCATTTTCTTGAAGATTTCAAAATGTCACATGAGTGCCTACTCATTTACTTAAATAACACAATCTTATGCATTAATAGACAGACTGTTTCCCCCACTGATTTTATCAACTTCTGGTATCATTAGTTTAAGATCATTCTGGAAGCACAGCAAAGAAAATTATTTTATTACTGGACAATTGTAGAGCCTGCCCCCAAAGGAGGTTAGTGTCTTTCCTCCCATATTTTATTTTCTCTTCCACATATCAAATAAAAATATAAAATATATATCAGGATGTTTTCAGCTATGAAATGTTTTAAAGCCCTATACATGACTTAAATAGCAATAGAATTTATTATCTCATATAACAAGAAGTCTCAAGGATTGGTTAAATCAGAGGTGCACTGATGTCCTCAGCCTCAGGTAACTTCCATCCTTCCGCTTTGCCATCCTCCTGTTTCTTCAGCTAACTCCTCTCATGGTTCCAGGATGACAGCCATAGTTCCAGATATCACATTGCAGACACAATGGCATCTAGCAGCAAACAGATGGTTTCTTGCATGTTTCTCTTTTTCTCGTTGTTGGTAAATATGATTTTATTTAGGAAAGTAATGCATTTCAACAGAAAATGAATGTCTCTTTTTAGGGGTAAGAGAAGATTTTTTCAGAAGTATCTCGGCCAACTTCCCATTGCATTTTATTGGCTAGAATTACATCACACTCCCATAAGATTATTATGTGAGTTGAATCAGTTACTGACAGGGAGATTGGGACCACACTGATTACCCTAGAGCAGGTTCTCTCAACCTTGGCACTACTGACATTTTTGGTGGAATAACTCTTTGTCGTAGAAGCTGTTCTGTGCATTATAGGATATTGAGCAGCGGCATCCCTGGTCTCTCCCTTCTAGAGGCCGATCACGCTTCCTCTCAAGTAGTGACAACTGGAAATGTCTCCAGACATTGCTGATGTCCTCTGGGAAGCAAAATCAATCACTCCATGAGAACCACTAGCTGAGGTCAATCATTATTCACACGATGGTTCTGGGCCCACCTCACCAGAAGCACAGATAGGGTAGCCCAGATCAGGATTCTGTTAACAAGCAAGAAAAGGGGAAATTGCTGTTCAGTAGGCAGTCAGAGGGCAGTGACTCCCACGCTCACACCATTTTCTATCTTGCTATTCTCAACAAACAGACCAGGGGCTTATTAAAAATATAAAAGATGTTAACACAAGTTATTTGGCATTACCTGATGAATACTGGTGGTTATCTAAATGCCAAGTGGCTAATGTAAATATCCTTGTAATCAATGGGTGAGCTAGGTAATTAAATCACGGGTAATTTGTGTTGAAGCATCAAAATCATGACTGGCTGGTTGGCTAGGTTCTGTAGGGCTCAGATGTTCCTACTTTTGGTCATATATTTGCAGCAATGACTTAGATTTTGCCTTTATTCAGGTCCTATTTTTAATGTACAAGTCGCTCTACTCATGTTACTTTTATTAGTCATCCACTGTAACATTTGTGGCCTGGATTAAATCTTTTAGTAAAAGAAAGTATATTTTTATTAATTCAACAGATATTTATTGGGTGCCTATTATGTACCAGGCATGAGGCACTGCAAAGGAAAACAAGGCTGAAATACTACACTGGATAGTTAAGGAAGGCTCTCTGAGGCGATGACATTTTAGCTGAGACAAGTTGGGAGAATAAAGAGAGTTGATAAAAGGAACATGTCTGATTATACTGGGCCACAGTAAAGGGTTCTGATTTTATTCTAAGAGCGGGGAGAAGAATCAAACGGCTTCAAGATTTTGTGTGTGTGTGTGTGTGTGTGTGTGTGTGTGTGTGATGAGCTGCTTCCCTTTGCCTGCTATATTTTTGTACTTGGAATGCAGCTGGGTTTAATTCCTTCTGTGCTATAATAATTAGCGGGCTATGCAAACCTGCGTTCTCATTTTGTGGTTTTTTTTTTTTTTTTGCCTTCTATTTCTTAAGGCAATGTTACCGTTTTGTCTTCTAGTCTCCTATGCACAGCTCTTCCATCTCCTGGTTCTTTAAAAGGTCCCAACCTCTGGATTCAAGCTCCAGGGTCTATGGCCTCATCCGAATCATGTCTTTTTTATTTTATTTTATTTATTTTTTTGAGACAGGATCTTGCTCTGTCGCCCAGGCTGGAGTGCAATGGCGTGATCTTGGCTCACTGCAACCTCCGCCTCCCGGATTCAAGAGATACTCCTGCCTCAGCCTCCTGAGTAGCTGGGATTACAGGCGCACACCACCACACCCAGCTAATTTTTGTATTTTTAGTAGAGATGGACGGGGGGGGGTCTCACCATGTTGGCCAGGCTGGTCTCCAACTCCCGATCTCAAGTGATCCACCCACCTTGGCCTCCCAAAGTGCTGGGATTACAAGGGTGAGCCACCGCGCCTGGCCTGGATCATGTCTTTTAATCTTACTCCATTGGCTTTGGAGAGAACACTTCCTGGGGAACATCCCACTTTCCTAAGGAGCAAGGTCCCTCATTTTCTTCCATCTTCCTTTCAAAAACGTCTTCCATCTTTCATAATTGCAAGGGCTAAATGATTCTAAATATAGATCACTGTTGTCCTTGCAGAAAATCTTTCTAGCATTTGAACATAAATTATTCCATTGTTGTTGTAGAACCCCAAAAGCCAGATTCAAGTACCTGGTGCGCAGTAAGCCAAACACAGATATGTCAGTCTTAGGAGCAGAGAAGGCTTATTCAATTTGGCCAAATTGTGAGGATAGGACAGGCAAACTCTCAAATCCAACCTGCCTTTGAACATGATTGAGTGTTTCCATGAGAAAGGTAGCTACGTGGAAGGTGAGATCCCTAGGCCGATCAAACTTCTGAATGCCATCAAGGCCGATCAAACTTCTGAATGCCATCAAGGAGGTCTGAATGACCCAAGAATCATTGTTCTTTGGAAAAACAAGTTCATTAATCTTGTGGGCAGCCCCTGAGGGTTAGGATATGAAGTTAATCAATTAGTAGTGACTACCCTCTACCGAAATGACTATGTGCGAGCAATCACGCATGGGGGAAGAAAAGAACAAAGAAAAAAGGAAAACAAGTGTTAAATCAAGTTTAGTCTAAAGCTGCCTCCTTACATATTTTAAGTTCAGCCCAAAAATTTCTCCATGCATAGTAAACTGAAACCTAACTGAATGTGCAAACAGACTAACCTACCTATTAGTACTAAACCCCCTGGCTTGTACCAGCCACCGGGTTTTGGCCAATAGGTGGCCAACTATTGAAACTGTGTTCAAATAAGGCAAACGCTGAGCTGTATCCAATGTGGCTGTTTCTGTACCTCACTTCCGTTTTCTGTATGTCACTTCCCATTTTCTGTCCACAAATCTTATTCCACCACGTGGCTGTGCTGGAGTCTCTCTGAGCCTACTCTGACTCAGGAGGCTTCTTGACTTGTGAATCTTTCTTTGGTCAGTTAAACTCTGTTAAATTTAACTTGTCTAAAGTTTTTCTTTTATCACAAGTAAGACAAACACCTTATGATGTGGTCGTTTTTAAAAAATAATATAGGCTTGGCCGGGCATGGTGGCTCACGCCTGTAATTCCAGAACTTTGGGAGGCCGGGGGCGGGTGGCGAATCACCTGAGGTCAGGAGTTGGAGACCAGCCTGGTCAACATGGTGAAACACCATCTCTACTAAAAACACAAAAATTAGCCAGGTGTGGTGATGCACCCTTATAATCCCAGCTACTTGGGAGGTTGAGGCACGGGAATTGCTTGAACCTGGAAGGCAGAGGTTGCAGTAAGCTGAGATCACGCCACTGTACTCCAGCCTGGGCGACAAAGCAAGACTCCATCTAAAAAAAAAAAAAAAAAAAAAATATATATATATATATATATATATATATATATATATATATATGCTCAATGACATCACCATTACTTATTGAGTACCTTCTAGGTATTAGGCACCGAGGTTGGTATTGGGATAAAGTGATGAATAAAACTCAGTTCCCATGTTTTCCAAAGCTCTCATTCTACAGGGGTTATAATAAATAAACTCTAGTGTAATTAGTGTTATGAAGGAACTAAACAGCTTTGTGAAAGAGAATAATTTTGGGGCGACTAGATAGGAAGGCTAGGGAAATCCTGGCTTGAAGAAGCTCTAACTGCATTCCCATGCCACCCCAAATAAAAATAATATCTAAGTAAAAATTGTGCTGGCTAGGCAAATGTTCCTAACATTAAGTTCCCCAGTTTTGTACCCCCCTCCCGCCCCCACCACCCCCAGTGCCTCCAAAATCCCTCTAAATATAAAGTCTGGCACCTTCAGTGCCCTGAGGAGACTGTTAAGCCAACACCTAAGGTAGTGTTGGGGCCAATGAGGTGCAGAGGGGAGAGGAAGCTTCCGGGCTGAGGGACCTCGAGATGGAACAGAGATTGCCTGACTTGACGGAAGAGCTAACATAATGCTGTCATTGACTTCTGTTGTACTGCACTTGAGTTCCATAGACTACATAGAGCTTTTAAATGTAGGGACATCAGGAATGCAGATTGTTACTTGTGCCTAGAATTCTAGTAAAAATTCAAACATTAAGGAGGGACTTGGAGACCACTGTGGCCTGTTATCTAATCTGCCCAAGTGTTAATTTTGATGAAAAGAATGTGACGATTTCAGTCTAAGCCTTGCTTATAACTTTAGCAAGAGAAGGAATTTCTCCTTTTTTTTTTTCTTTTGAGACAGACTCTCGCTCTGTTGCCAGGCTGATGTGCAGTGGCGTGATCTCAGCTCACTACAACCTCTGACTCCCGGGTTCACGCCATTCTCCTGCCTCAGCCTCCGGAGTAGCTGGGACCACAGGCGCCCACCACCACGACTGGCTAATTTTTTGTATTTTTAGCAGAGACGGGGTCTCACCATGTTAGCCGGGATGGTCTCGATCTCCTGACCTTGTGATCCACCTGCCTCAGCCTCCCAAAGTGCTGGGATTACAGGCATAAGCCACTGCGTCCGGCCAGAATTTCTCCTTTTATATGCTATCAGAAGTGAAATATGGGCACAGTGACTTATACCTGTAATCCCAGCATTTTGGGAGACTGAGTTGGGAGGATCATGTAAGCCTGGGAGTTTGAGACCAGCCTGGGAAACATAGGGAGACCCCATCTCAACAACAATAAAAAATTAGCCAGCCACAGTGGCGAGCATCTGTGGTTCAAGCTACTTGTAAGGATGAGGTGGGAGGATCACTTGAACCTGGGAGGTCAAGGCTACAGTGAGCCGAGTTGGTGCCACTGCTGCCTAGCCTAAGTGACAGAGCAAAAACCCTGTCTCAAAAAAAAAAAAAAAAAAAGAGAGATACCTATGGAAATTGTGTGGCTCACTGTATTGACAGTGTAGAAACCACCTTCTGAATGTTCTGAGGGCAATACTGTGGGGATAGGAGGATCTGGGACCTTGATTTGTTTCCCATCCATTGTACTGGAAGGGCTGCCCTTGCTCTACATGTCTCTTACACCGCCCCACCATGAGAGTGCAGATCACTATAAGATAAGTTAATCTAAGGAACTTTTAAAAAAATTAAAATTATCTTCTAAACTGTCTGTATATATCAGGGTGTGCTTTTTTACTTCTGCTAAGAGTCTCCAAAGAGACTCTTGATTTTTAGCTCTTATCAGATTTTCACAGGGGCACAAGATCTAAAAAGAAGGATAAGAAGGATAAGAACTATGATTTCCTGGGTTTCAATACTTATTCAACTTTATGTCCCTCACCATCCACATCTTAATTATAAGATAGAATCATATCTGTTAGACAGTGTGCTGCCTTGGTGCTCTAGTTTTCCCTGAGTTGTTCTATTTATTGTGGATAATATTTATATTCTCATGGCTGAGTAGCTCCTGCCCATCCCCCCGTCATCACCAATGAGCTTCACACATGCATAAACCTGGGCATAAGCTCAGGGCTTGAAGCATGCTCCAACGGCCACATTCCAGGCATATTTTTTAAGTACATGCTTTACTTTTGCAAAGTTGAAACTTTTAAAAGCACTTCTGCTTCTCTTTTCTTATTTGGTCTTTATAATAACACAGTCAAGTAGGTAGGGAAAGGCATTATCACACCCAGCGGCCTAGGTTCTGCAGCAAAGTAGGTCTAGATGCAAAGTCTAATGGAGCCTGTCTCTTGGTTTCCTTTCTCCAGCAGCGGGGAAGTAAGTTTGATAAGGAGGGTTGGGGGGTGAGAGAGAGAAGATGAAATGGTGGGTGTCCTAGTCTGTTTTATGCTACTATAACAGAACACCTGAGACTGGGTCATGTATAAAGAACAGAGATCTATTTCTTACAGTTCTGGAGCCTGGGAAGCCCAAGGTCAAGGGGTTCATAACTCTTGAGGGGCTTCTTGCTACATCATCCCATGGTATAAGGTGGAAGAGCAAGAGAACACCTAACAGAGTGAGAGATAGAGAGGGCCAAGCTTGCTTTTATAGTAACTCCCTCTCTTGATAAGTAATCCACTCCCTTGATAATGGCATTAATCCATTCATGAGGACGGAGCCCTCATGACCTAATTGCTTCTTAAAGGTCCCGCTTCTTAACACTGTTGCATTGAGGATTAAGTTTCTAACACATAAACTTTGGGGGACACGTTCAAACCATAGCAGTGGGTGTTTTTATTTGGAGGTTGGAGTAAGCTTATTAAGGAATAAGCAGTAAGTTCTTAGTTTTTTTTTTTTTTTTTTCTGAGCAAAGAACAGAAATGAAACCAAGTCTATACAAGACAAATCCCTTGAACTGAGTTTTAATTAATATGTTTGCTGGCTTGAAACAACTAAGTTTTAATTACTAATGGAATAACCAAATATATATACTATATATATTTAGAACTTTTCTGCTGCTGTGCCACCTCAGTCTTGTTCTTCTTTCGGCTCTCACCAGTCCCATGGCCTCAATGTGCCACCCCATGCCCACCTGGGGAGCACCTTCCTGAAGACCTACCACAGGACCTGTGGGTTGATAAACTATACTGGCTCTACTGGCTTTGCTTCTAGGGGATCATTGCCATTATACAAATGGAGAAACAAAATCAAGGGAAGTTCTTGCCTAACATGGTTATGCTCTCTCCTAGTTCTTTTCTCCTAGACTGGGGCTATTTAAAGTGTGGTTCACTGGCCAATCTGAGACAAGAACTGAAATTGAGAATCAGATTTTAGAAACTTTACTAGCAATTTGACAGAATAATTTTATGTCTGTGGACTTTAATAATCAATAATTCATAGGCTAGGCATGGTGGCTCACTCCTGTAATTCCAGCTATTTGGGAGGCTGAGAAAGGAGGATTGCTTGAGGCCATGAGTTTGAGACCACCCTGGGCAACATAGTGAGACCCTGCCTCAAGAAAAAGATGAAAAAATATAATAATTAATAGTTCGGGCTTTTATTATGTCTTTTAAAATTAATTTCATTTTTATATCAATTTTTTGAGTCCTCTAATCAACAGGAATCAAGTTTTGTTTGTTTTTTTTTTTTTTTTAGATGGAGTCTCACTCTTGTCGCCCAGTTAGGAGTGCAGTGGTGTGGTCTCAGCTCACTGCAAACTCCACCTCCCAGGTTCAAGCGATTCTCCTGCTTCAGCCTCCCAAGTTGCTGGGACTACAGGCGTGCCCTGCCACACCGGGCTAATTTTTGTATTTTTAGTAGAGATAGGGTTTCACCATGTTGGCAAGGCTGGTCTTGATCTCCTGACCTCAAATGATCTGCATGCCTTGGCCTCCCAAAGTGCTTGGATTACAGGCGTGAGCCACCATGCCCAGAAGGAATCAAGAGGTTTTAAGAAGGACAGTGTTTGAGATGAATCTGAAAGGATAAACTGAAGTTTTACAATTTTGAGCTAACTATGACATAAAGAAGCTTCAAATGATCATGATATATTGAGCTAATATTGCTCACATATTAAATCAGACATACAGTTTGATGCCACGGTGTACCATATAACACCCTTCCTTAATTTTTTTTTTCCTTTTTGAGATGTGAGCCACCGTGCCTGGACTTCCCCTCTCCAATTTTTATTAAAAATATGTATATAGATAAAGGTCTAGATGGAGATACTGAGTGGTTATTTCTTGGTGATGAGATTATGGGAAATATTTTTATTTTGTTTTTACGTTTTAATATTTAAGATTTTACACATATATTTTACAACAGTAGTTTTATAATTGGACAAAATTATTTTTGTTAAGGACTGGCTAAAATCAAAGTTGCTGGTTTAAGTGTAACTTGGTACAACCTTTTAAAAATCATTTGGCAGTTTGTATTAGTAACTGTGAAAGTGTTGATAGTCTTTTTCACCTAGTAATTTCACTTTTGGGTATCTTTAAAAATCTACATTCATGAAGATGTTCTATGATTTCTTTATAATGGCAAAAAGTGAATGAAGGAAACAAGTTATGTCCAAAAATAGAGAATTACTGCAGTAAATTTTATGTCCACTTAATGTAATTTTATGCAGCTGTTAAACTGGTTATGAAGCTTATGTGGAAATATGAGGAATGCTTATAAAAGTGAAAAGAGGATGCAAAATCGCGTACAACTACTATTACAGTGTAGTAAAATATATGTGATGGGGCAAAAGGTCTAGAAGAAAATACATTGTCCTCATGTTTTTCAATGTGGTTAATATTATTTTCACAATGAAAACAATAATAAGCTTAAAGATTGGGAATCAAAAGTTCCTCACTGGCCCTCTGATTTGAATATAAAGTGTTAAAAATTTATATCCATCATTAACCAGCCCTTAAGCTTCTACAGACTTTAACAGTTTCGTGTCAGCCTCAACGTTTATCTACTTTCTGACCGGTATCCCTGCCATGATTTTCATAGGAAAGAGAGTCAGAAGGGACCTTTCCAATTTTGTCATTTTACAAATTGAAACTCTGAACCCCAGCCTTCCAAGCTAGCAGCAGAACCAGTATGAGGATCCAGGTCTACTAGGTTATCTAATAGTATCTGAGACCATTTACAGCTTCAGGTCCACCCACGAATATTCATAAACTTGACATGTCTGCTGATTGAACCCTGGCGTCACTACCCTTCTTGGCTGGCCTGGGAGGTTTGATTCCTTTCCCTACAGTCGTGCTCAAACTTTCATTCTCTACCACTTGGGGGCCGCAGACGCGTCATCCAGGTCTCCCTTTTCACTTCCCCCTTCCCGCCCCCAGTGTCCGGCAGGGGGCGCCGTGAAACTCTGGATCCGTGGCCCCTCCCCCGGCCAACCGTCGATTGGGCCGGCGCGTGACGTCACTCCGTTTTAGCCAAACAAATGGGTTTCGGGGCGAGCGTTGGGCGCCGCCGCGCCGCGCTGGGTGCTCGGTCCGACTCAGCGGTGGGGAGTGAGCCAGGCCTCCCGCCACCGCTGCTGCCGCCACCACTGCGTCGGGCTGGTGCAGCCCCGGGCCAGGCCGCGGCCGGGGCAGGAGCGCAGGTGGGTCCGGGCCGAGGTGGGGCGTGGCGCGAGGGCCGCGCGACTGGGGTCCGGCGGCGGCCACCGTGGCCGCTCCCCGCCCCCTACCGCCGCCTGCCTGCGCTCCCGGGGCGCGGGGCGGGTGGGGGTGGGGGCGGGGGCGCCGCCCGCGGGTCCGGGGTAGGGACCCGGCCGCCTGCGCCTCCTCCGGTGCGGCTCTTTCCGCGCGCACGGCCCGGGCGCTGAGCGTCCCCGCGGGCCACGGAGGGTCGGGCGGGTAGGGAGCGGGGTCCTGGGTCCCCGCTGAAGCCGAGGAGATTCACGGATAGGCCGTGAGCTTGCACCGGACCGGCGCTCCCACTTACGGGACCCAGGGCGGTGAGGAAGTCAGCCTCTGGACTGGGGTCGCCTCGCCCCTGTCGCGCCCTCCCGGGCTCGGCCACTCTGCCCTTCCCTGCCCCAGCGCAGGTGAGCTGGCGCTTGTCCTTAACCTTCTTCAACGACGAGGCGGGACGGAGGCTCGGACGCCTCCCCAGCCTCTGGGCTGGCGCAAGTCGACTGCGGTTCGTCCTCAGTCCACGATGAAGTCATAGGGCTGTGGGTCCGTGTGTCTGTGACGTCAGAAGATGGGTCCTGGGATGTCACTGCAGGCCCGGGCGGGGACCTGGGCTCACGGAAGGGCCGGGGGGACCCGCAGGGTAGAAAAAGGAAGTTGTCTTCCACGAACGCTTGGAATCGCAGTGGATTTGAATCGAAAGTTGTTCGGTATCAGCATTTTGCAATTTTAATGTAATAGTTGTCAATTTCTTTAACTTCTTGTCCAGCAAGCGTTGCGAGTACAGCTCAGTATAAGACATTTGATTTAGAAAAACTTAAGTCAGGGTAGGAGGTTTTTTGGAGGGTGTAATGTAAAAAGCCTTTTAGGAAGCTAAATTCGTAGTTTGATAGTTTGCAATCAGAATTACTGAAAAAAAAGAGAACCACTTCTAGTGTTGATAAATCAGTTTGCTTTTTTTTTTTTTTTTTAACTGGACATCTATCTGCTTGTTAGCATTTTTTGTTAGAAAATGGCCAGGAGGAGGGAGAGTGGATCTTACATGATTTTTTTTTTCTGTTGTAAAGGGAGGGAGGAGTTTGAATTAATCCAACATTTGTCTTAAATAATAATTACCTGAGGAGTTAATTTATCCAGGTTGTCCCTATCCCACCCTATGGTACCATGCTACCACCCCATGCTACCATGGTTTAGAAGTCAGCAACAAGCTGTTTTCTTGCTTTCTTACTGAGACCCGGCTATAACTTAATATAAAAACATATTCCAGGACCGCTTGTCTGGATAGGTAACTAAAATTTTGTCTGTAGTGCTTTTAAATATGAAATTAGAGAATAAAAAAATGATTTGTCTGTGAATACTGTTTTTCTTCCAAAGCTTTCAGAAGAGATCTAACTGGAAGAGAAGCTAGTCACTTTGTCATAGTGACCCTCTTCGGGTATTCCAGCATATCAGTACTTTTCATTTCCTCCTCTGTAGAATAATGTAAATGGAATCTAGTTCAAAAGGTAGATGGCTTAAACTTGAAGCATAGTTAGTCTTTAGCAGGAAGCTTGGGTAGAAGTCCTTAATCCTTCCTCACTGACCTTGACTTGTAATGGTACGGTTTTTTTTTTTTCCTCTCTCTCAATACTTCCTGCTCCCCATTTGCCTTTTAGAGGTGATTGATAAGATACTGTCTCTCTGGGTTTTACATCAACATGCAGATGGAAGTTATGCCCATTTTCAGGCAGGAAATAAAAGCAAAAATTTACCCGTTAGGTACTATTGGATTTGACTGGAAGTTCACAAAACAAGGCTTTCCTGTACATGTTATTTTGATCCTCACCACAACCTTGGGAATTTGACAGCATTGTGTGCGCTACTGAAAGTTGTTCTGGTTTTTTCTTCCTTCTTTTAAGAAATGAGGAATTTTATGCTGACAGTGTTGAGTGAAGTCTCTAAAGATACAATTTTGTATACAAATTATTTTTCGTATGTACAAATTTTGTATACAAAATTTTGTATGAAAGATACACATTTGAGCCTTTGGATCACCAGAGACTGAGAGGCACTTGAATTATTATGCAACTGCTGATATTGAGAGTGTTAGTCAACCTTTAAGATGAAAGAATCTTGGCAAGATACTATGTAATGCAATTGAAGGAGGTCCAAAATGGACGCTTGCATGTGTCTTTCCCGAGCGGTAGCGATTCTGGGGCCGGCTACACGGCTGTATGTAAGTTAGGTGTACTAGTTTTTTTGTATGTTTTTTTGAAACAGAGCCTCGCTCTGTCACCCAGGCTGGAGTGCAGTGGTGCGATCTCGGCTCACTGCAACCTCCGCCTCCCGGGTTCAAGCGATTCTCCTGGCTCAGCCCCTCGAATAGCTGGGACTACCGGTGCGTGCCACCATGCCCGGCTAATTTTTGTATTTTTAGCAAAGACGGGGTTTCACTGTGTTGGCCAGGCTGGTCATGAACTCCTGACCTCGTGATCCGCCCACCTCAGCCTCCCAAAGTGCTGGGACTACAGGTGTGAGCCACCGTTCTCGGCCAGGTGTGCTAGTATTAATGGGAAAGGATGAAAGTCAGACTAAATAAGAGTTGAAAGACCTGCAGCTGATAAGGAGATACCTGCTATTCGGCAGTGCATTTTTCCTCTCTATTTTGCTTAGCAGTTAGGAAGTTTTTATTTTTCCTCATGGAAAATGAGTTAATAGGTGAAGAATAAATGTCATAGTGCATACTGATGTGACTGAGGGACAACGACAGATATTTAAAAAGCCAGCTTGTGAGTGTTGTGTAATTATCTAACAAGCCAGAACTCGTGTGAAACATTTTTACAGTCTGTTTCTATTTTTGGCAGGATCTTTTTCACCCATGCTTTCCAGTTTTGGGTCTGGGAAGCAGCTTTTACTTCATATAAATGGTTTTATGGAAATTAATTTTGAGATTGGTTTATTATTTTAAGTCATTTTATTCACTTATATAATTTGAAGGCACTAAATTAAACAGTCATTCGTTATCCATCTTTCTGATGGATAAAAGCAAATGTCAAGATGAGAGTGCTGTATTGTAGAAATTCCTCAGGATATGTTTATTGGATCAGTTATTTTATTAACATTTAGAATTTAAATTCTTAAAAATTTTTACTTTATTTTTTAAACTTAATTTATGTTCAGCTAGCTTAATTTGACAGTTTTTATGTTCTAGTAACTTTAATCTTGTTTTAATATTTGTTTGGGAGAAAACATACTTATCTTTAGAGACATCATTTAGTGTTATCTTCCAAAATTTGCAGCTGTTTAGAACCAGATACTTGAGGGAAGCTACTATGGTATGATGAATGCCTTCCTTGTTAGGTCATGTGTGACAAAGGCAAAATTCAGCAAGTGCATAATCTGCAGTCCTTTGGAAGCAACAAAAACAAAAAAGAGCAGATTAACTCGAAATGCATTTAGGTCATCTGGAAATTGAATTCCTGTCAGTTCTTATCTTTGCATAATTTATCTTCTCCCCTTTAGTTAATGCTTATGGTATTTTGAAGCTGATGACATACTTTATTTTCCAGGAGAGCATTAATACAGTGTAGTTGTTTGTTAGTGTTGGTTAAAAGAACTTATCAACCTTTCATTCCCACCTCCATCTTCTAGTTAATGCTCCACAGAAGAGGCTCTCAGTAATCCATTTTAAAATATTCAGCTTCAGAAACCTAACATGTACATTTCCTATCCTCAGTAGAGTATAGGTGTAAATATGAAACTAAGTGCTATGTAAGTGTGGTTATTGCATTATTAGGTATGGATTTCATTCATCCAGCAAACATTTTTTTGAGTATTTCTGTGCCAGGTACTCAGATAGGGACTGTGACACAGAGATGATATATCCTTGCTGCAAGGACCCTTAACCTTTGTTTTAACATTGCCTTGCTATGATGGGTCTTGGGTGTGAGAGGCTAGAGTTGGGTCAAGAGGATAAACTATTGGCCGGGTGCAGTGGCTCATGCCTGTGATCCCAGCACGTTGGGAGGCTGAGGCGGGCAGAACACGAGGTCAGGAGATTGAGACCATCTTGGCTAACACAGTGGAACCCCATCTCTACTAAAAAAAAAAAAAAATACAAAAAATTAGCCAGGCGTGGTGGCGGGTACCTGTAGTCCCAGCTACTTGGGAGGCTGAGGCAGGAGAATGGTGTGAACCCGGAAGGCAGAGCTTGCAGTGAACCGAGATGGCGCCACTGCACTTAAGCCTGGGTGACAGAGCGAGACTCTGTCTCAAAAAAAAAAAAAAAAAACGAGGATAAACTATGTTATGCTAGATTGGCCAGAGGTGTTAGTTAAAGGTCAATTTAAGGAGGTATTAGAAACTCAGTTAAAAAGAATAGGGAATAGCTTATCATAGCCCAAGACAGACAAAGGGCCTAGATAACCACAGATTGAGATTGTGCTAGAATGAATGGAACTTGGTGAGTTCGGGCTTCCTTAGAGGCAAGAACAAGTGCTCAAGGCCAGAACTAGTCTATCTAGGCAATCTAAAATTAGAAGCATAGAAAAGAGGGACAACCCGAATACCTTTTCTCCTTTTCTTTCCACTCTCAGGCATGCATATACCTTCTTTTCCTTTAAAGTCAGTCCTTTAATTGATGAACTTGGGAAATACGCAAGCCTCTCACAGCCTTCATTTCCAGTGTTTGCTTTCTTTCTGGAAGATTTCATAGTGAAACATTTCATTCATTACAGAAAAGTGGAAAGAATTGTTTGTACATTGCATACCTAAATACCCACCACCCCTATATTGTTAGTCATATTTTGGTGTATTTGCTTTATTGCCTATCTATCGGTCTATCCATTCATCAATCCTTTTGTTTTTGTTGTATTTCAAAGTATACTTTACACCTAGACATTTCCCCATGCCTATTATTAACTATTTGTTTACTTGTTTTGTTGTGCCTGAGCGAGTTAGAAAAATGCCACACTTTGAGACGAATTAAGAGTCCTTTATTAGCCGGCGACCGAGAGACGGCTAACGCTCAAAATTCTCTCGGCCCCGAGGAAGGGGCTTGATTAACTTTTATATCTTGGTTGAGGAAGCGGGGGGGTCTAGTTAAAACAATTTTACAGAAGTTAAGTAGTCAAAAAAATTAAAAGGATAAATGGTTACAGGAAAGTAAACAGTTCCAGGTGCAGGGGCTTTAAGACTATTACAAGGTGATAGATTCGGGGCTTTGGGCATTATCAATCAGACGAATTCTTGGGGACTGCGGATATAGCTTCCCACAGTATCTTATCAGTTAATTGCATTCTTGGATGTGCTGGGAGTCAGCTTGCACAAGTAAAGTCCTTGAGGGAAGGGGCTGCCAGTGAAAGCCAAGATGGAGTTTGTCTGGTTCTCTTAGCTAAGGGAGAAACAAGGCCAGGTGAATAAGGATAAAACAAGGTTGGGCATTACAGTTTTTAGGCAAAACTTGTATATAGTAAAATGTACAAATCTTATGTATACCATTCCCTTAGTTTGAACAAGTTCATACATCTGTGTAATCCATATCCCTGTCAAGATATAGAACATTTTCATCACCACAAAAAGTTCCTTCCTGCACCTTCTAGGTTAATTTCATTAGCTGTTTAATCTCCTGCAATCATATTTCTACTAGTTCCTTCTGAAACTACTTGTTCAAATGGTCTACTTTGTTAGAAGTACATTAGGGTCGCATTGTGCTTGGTGTTCAGAGTATAAAGAAATGAAGAACATAGCCCTTGCTATATGATTTAATTTTTTGTTTTGTTTTGTTTTTTGAGACAGTCTCGCTTTGTTGCCCAGACTGAAGTACAGTGGTGCAATTCATAGCTCACTGTAACATTGAGCTCCTGGGCTCAAGCCGTCCTCCTTCCTCAGCCTCTTGAGTAGTTGGGTCTACAGGTGTGTGCCACCATGCCTGGCTGCTTTTTTTTTTATTATTATTTTTTAAAGAGACTAGATCTTGCCCAGTTTGGAGTGCAGTGGCTGTTCAAAGGCCCAATTATAGTGTACTGCAGCCTTGAACTTTTGGGCTCAAGTGATCCTCAGCCTTCTGAGTAACTGGCATGTACCACGGGCTTAGTCTGGGTTGTAATTAGGTATCTGAAGAGAGATAAGTAAATGTTACATGAATTCAGAGGACGCAAGTTTCTTAGGAGTGGATCTTGAATTAGGGCTTCTCAGTTATAATTCTATCCAAGTCGTGCCTACATTTTTATTCATAAACTGTTAACTCTTGTTGGGTTTCTGACTACTAGGAAGATGCTTCTTTTGTATATCCCTTTTTACTTTGGCTTATTCAGGATCCTGTAGCAAGATCATTTGCTTTAAGTAGTTGTAGCAAACAGGATTTATTGAGAGAAAGATATGTAAACTTTGAGCGGGCTGAATCAACAGATTAGTCTGAACTTCTAGAAACAAACCCCTGAATGACACTGCAGAGCTTGCCTGCCAAGGGGGCTACTGCCACCGCAGCACCGAGAACCATGTCGTTGAATCAGAAAGCCGCTACCAGAAGTTTAACTTCCTTGGGTAGGACTGTTGTTTCTGTTCTCTGTATCTTATGCAGGTATGTCTGCTTGCCCATACTTAGGTCATATGTGAAACCTTAGCATTGCCTATATGTAAAACAGGAAGTGCATGTGAGAGCTTTATTGCATTATTGAGTCTGCAGTACATTCAGTTTGTGAGGAACTGAACTCATTTTCCCCAGATTCCCTCACTGTGACGAAGTTAAGCTTTTTCTAAGTTTCCTTTTTCAGTCCAAAGGGATGGGTATTGTTCCAGTTTTCTGAGGTAGAAACTATTGAAAACTGTATCATTTAGATTTTTTTAATGCAGATGTAACAGAAAACCAACTCAAATTCACTGGCTCACAATATTAAAAAGTCCAAAGTTGAGGCTTGATTCAGTTATACTTGTGTGATCAGACTTAATCTTTCTCTTCCTTTATTTAATGAGCTCAGCTTCCGTGGTTTTGGTCCCTTTGTGTTCACATGTTTGTTGCAGCTCAAGCCCTACAACCTCATGCTATCAAGTCCAGAGGAAAATACATAGGACTACTGTACAAAGAAAACTAGTTACATTAAAATGTAGTTATAAAAGTATTTTAAAAAATTGTTGGTAATACCTGTTTCTTTTTTTGAGACAGGTGCTTGATCTGTTGCCTAGGCTGGAGTACAGTGGTGCTAACAAGGCTCACTGCAGCTGAACCTCCTAGGCTCAAGTGATCTTCTCACCTCAGCCTTCTGAGTAGCTGGGACCACAGGTGCGCACCACCACACGCAGCTAATTTTTAAATTTTTTGTAGAGATGAGGTCTCGCCATGTTGCCCAGGCTAGTCTCGAGTTCCTGGGCTCAAGCCATCCTCCTGCCTTGGCCTCCCAAAATGCTGGGATTATAGGCGTGAGCCACCATGCCCACCCTGTTTCTTTATTAAAGAGATTTAGTGAAGGCCGGGCGTGGTGGCTCACGCCTGTAATCCCAGCACTTTAGGAGGCCGAGGTGGGTGGATCACGAGGTCAGGAGACCAGCCTGGTCAAGATGGTGAAACCCCATCTACTAAAAATACAAAAATTAGCTGGGCATGGTGGTGGGTGCCTGTAATCCCAGCTACTTGGTAGGCTGAGGCAGAGAATTGCTTGAACCCGGGAGACGGAGGCTGCAGTGAGCTGAGGTCATGCCACTGCACTCCAGCCTGGGCGACATAAGCGAGACTCCGTCAAAAAAAAAAAAAAAGGAAAAAATATATTTAGTGGGGTCTAATAATTTCCAAGTGGTGATGAGTATTATTACTATTTGGAGGTATCTGTAACGAAAGATCATGTGATAGGAAAATAAATAAACTGTGATTTCTACTGGTGACAAAATGAACAGATATTGCTAATATAATACTATTGTGGTGTTTTGGCTGAATTCACAGTGAAAGGAAATGCTAAATTTCAGTTAGAGGTTAAAGTAAAGATGTAATTTGTTTTTCTCAGTTTAACGACACCCTGAATTCTATATATAAACCCTTGGAGTATGTGTGAACCTCAGCTTAAGAACCACTGCTAGAAGAGTTTCTCTTCCTAGAAGTTCAAGAAATGTATTCTTGTGTCTCATTGACTTTGGGTTATGTTGTCATTTCTGAATGAACCATTAAGGCAAGAGAAATAGGATTTGCTAATTAGTTTAGCCAGCCTGGGCCTACCTCTGGAGCTGGGGGTCATTCCCTCCTAACCAGCATCATGGGAGAGGAAGTGGATTTCCAAGGGAAAATCAAGAAGCAGTGGATGGCAGGATCTGGAAGAATTTGCTAAGTGCCCCTAAATAAAGAGCCAGTAGATACTGAGTAGCAAATAGCATTATGTCCATCCTCTCCCTTTACCTCCATGGTCAACCAGTCATTAAGTTTTAGTGAAACTTTCATTTGCATTTGCCTTTTTGTGTTTAGTCTCTTTGATAATATCTTAAACCTCCAGTGTGGTAGTGTGTGGATTAGTCCATTGGATTGTGGAAAGAAAAATATTGAAACTTCTGTTTATTCTTCTCATCCTACTAGTATTTATATACATTTTATATGTATGTAAAATATATTAGTACATGATATATGTACATACATGTATATATATCACATCATATTTGTGGGTACATGTTAAAAATGTTTTAAAAAATGGGAATGGGAGAACCAGAAAAGTTGAGATAACTATGTAGAGCAGCGCTGTTGAGTAGAAATAGCCCTCTATCTGTGGGTTTATCATCCATGGATCCAACCAACCTCAGATGGAAAATACCTGAGGAAAAAAAATTACATCTGTATTGAACGTGTACAGATTATTTTTTTCTTGTCATGACAGTACAGCATAACTCTTTACATAGCGTTTACATTGTATTAGGTATTTTAAGTAATCTAGAGTTTGTTTAAAGTATGCGGTAGAATGTGCGTAGGTTATATGCAAATACTACACCATTTTATATCAGGAACTTTTTTTTTTTTTTTTTGAGATGGAGTCTCACTCTGTCACCCAGGCTGGAGTGCAGTGGCGCGATCTTGGTTCACTGCAAGCTCCGCCTCCCAGGTTCACACCATTCTCCTGCCTCAGCCTCCCAAGTAGCTGGGACTACAGGTGCCCGCCACCTCGCCCGGCTAATTTTTTGTATTTTTAGTAGAGACGGGGTTTCACCATGTTAGCCAGGATGGTCTCGATCTCCTGACCTCGTGATCCTCCCGCCTCAGCCTTCCGAAGTGCTGGGATTACAGGCGTGAACCACCACGCCCAGCCATATATCAGGAACTTGAGCATCCATGGAGTTTGGTGTCCAAGGGAGGTCCTGGAACCAATCCGCCATGGATACTGAGGGATGACTATAATATGAACCTTGTATGTATGTAATTTACCATTTTCTAGTTAGCCACATTAAAAAAGGAAAAAGAAACAGGTGAAAAATATTTAAAAAATACGTTAACACAATATATCCAGAACATGATTTCACATTGAAATCAATATAAAAATTACTGAAATAGTTTACAGTCTGGTGTGCATTTTAGACTTAAAGCATATCCCTTTGGGCATGGTAGCCCATGCCTGTAGTCCTAGCTGCTTGGGAGGCTGAGGCAGGAGAATCTCTTGAACACAGGAGTTTTAGGTTATGGTGAGCTATGATCGTGCCACTGGACTCCAGCCTGGATGACAGAGTGAGACCCGACTCCTTAAAAAAAAAAAAAAAAAAAAAGCACATCTCAGTTCAGACTACTAATATTTCAGGTGCCAAAGGCCACATGTGGTTAGTGGCTGCTGTATTGGATAGGACAGATCTAGACCAATGATCATTGTGAATTTAGATTTCTGTAATTGTCTCTATGACGTTTTTTTATAATTCCATATTTGCCCCCTTCAATCTTATACACAGTTGGCAGGTTAGTTGGACAAAAATTCCAGCGGGATGATGTTACTCTCCAAATGAGAACCTGCTCTAGGTTTAGACGTCATAAGATAGTCCCACCCTTCCTCTTCATTTTCTGGGACTCCCTGCAATAAACCTGGTATTCAGGCAGTTTCCTCAGCCTTGCTTTCTCCTTTCATTTCTCCAAATATTACATCTGTTTTACGAAGTCTATTCCCATAAAACCTTGTTGGACTCACCAATCCCTCTGTAACATCCTTACCATTTCCCAAATTTCTATGGTGTATATTGAGTACTTAGCCACTCAGCACGTTGGCATTTCATTGTATACTGTTGCTTGTTGCTCTTTGTTTCACGTGTAATGAGCCTTATCTCCCCTAATAAATTCTAAGCTTCATATATTATCCCTGAATTGTAGGCACATATCGAAGGCTTAGCTTTTCCTTATCTTTAGAAAGGACATAGCTGGGCTATGTAAATTTGTAGCTTTACGTTTTTTTGAAATGAATTGTTTATTCCAGTAAGTTTCATTTTTAAATTTAGCTTTTTTTTTTTTTTTTTTTTTTTTGATACAGAGTCTTATTCTGTTGCCAGGCTGGAGTGCAGTGGCACGATCTCGGCTCTCTGCAATCTCCGCCTCCCGGGTTCAAGCGATTCCCCTGCCTCAGCCTCCCGAGCAGCTGGGACTACAGGCGCATGCCACCATGCCTGGCTAATTTTCTGTATTTTAGTAGACAGGGTTTCTCCATGTTGGCCAAGATGATCTTGATCTCCTTACCTCATGATCCGCCCGCCTCAGCCTCCCAAAGTGCTGGGATTACAGGCCTGAGCCACCGCGCCCCGCCAAATTTAGCTTTTTGACTCTGTGCTTGTGCTTTCAACACTTTCACAATGATTTTCTGCTTCTTGATAAGGAAGGCACCCTTGATCCTGTCATGGATTCATTTAGCACACATTGGACCACGATAGGCCCTGCTGACATGTTTTTTTCATTGTAGACAGCATTATAAGAACTTTAAATCTCACGGCACAAACCCCTCGAAGTCTGTCTGGGCACATGCCACATGCCAATCTTGTGCCTTTCCCAACCTTCTTGGTTGGTAAACAGTTCTATTGCCAGGGGCTTGGGACACCCTATTTCTGTTGAAGGCTGTGTTGTAGGAAAGCTGATGATTGTATGTCATACACTGGACCATTCTGAGTGACTGTAGACAATGTCCCCGGAAAAAAAAGCAGTTGCTGTGTTTTCTACTCTGCTTGTTAACTTAGACACTTTTTAGCAGATTCATTTGTAGGAGTTGGTGTTCATTTGCTTTATGACAATTAAAAAGATTAATTTTGTTCATTGAGTAGTTTATTTGAAACTGTAGAATCATTCTTGGAACTACAGAATAGGGAATTATTGATTAGTTGGAGTTTCTGAAGATGAAATTTGAGTTTCGTAAGGTAGTCTCAAAGGACACTTTTGCTTTATTGTCCAGAAACCAGGAGAGGCAAACTTGTTTCCAAAGTAGGGCAAGAGGTTTTATTTCAAGTTCAGTCATCAGGATTATTCTCTGGAGGTTGTCAGTACTTTTTTACAAACCCTAGTCACTTTAACCCTAGGGAATAGGTTTCTCTTGTTCAGGCTGTCTTCTTTCTTGGATGAAGAGCTCTACCATCGTCACTATATTTTAGCTCATTTGTGGAACGAAGGACTATCAAAATGTTTCCTGAAAATAAGTCCAGGGAGGGCCTTAAGAGCTTTATGCTTTATTGAATCGTCTTTCATTTGACATTTTCTTTGCTGTATTTTACTTAACATAGGCTATGATTAGATTGATAAAAAGCTAAAAAAAAATACACCAACATTTTTAACTTGTGGAATTTCACAGCCGATTTATTACAACCTATTTTATATGCGAGGTAGTATGTTAAGTGTATTAGTTATATTTCCATCACTTTTTCTTTTAGCATAATTTTACAGATATTTATATTCTTTGGCAAATAGCAGTCTGTAAGAATTTATTCTTTTTTTCTTTCTTTTTTTTTTTTTTTGAGACAGTCTCACTCTGTTGCCCAGGCTGGAGTGCAGTGGTGTGATCTCAGCTCACTGCAACCTCCACCCCCTGGGTTCAAGCGATTCTCCTGCCTCAGCCTCCTGAGTAGCTGGGATTACAGGAGCCAACCACCATGCCCGACTAATGTATTTTTAGTAGGGATGGGGTTTCACCATGTTGGTTAGGCTGTTCTTGAACTCCTAACCTCATGATCCGCCTGCTTTGGCCTCCCAAAGTGCTGGGATTACAGGCACGTGAGCCACCATGCCCAGCCAAGAATTTATTCTTTTTATTTAACACTTTGTGTTTTCCCCCCTTTTAGGTAAATATAATAAAATTGGTTATTAAAGTCCAAAAAAATACTAACTTTACTGGAGAGTTCACATTTTTGTTTTATTAGCTGGTAGGAGGTTATAACTTTTCCTAAAATTAAAACGTGACTTTACATTCTAAGACTATGTGTGTGTGTGTGTGTGTGTGTGTGTGTGTCTGTGTGTGTGTGTATGTGTATGTATGTGTATGTATTTTTAGAGGTAGGGTCTCATTCTTTTGCTCAGACTGCAGTGCAGTGGCACGGTCATAGCTTACTGCAGCCTCAGACTCCTGAGCTCAAGCAGTCCTCTTGCCTCAGCCTCTTGAGTAGCTAGGACTTACAAGCATGCACCACCATGCCTAGTGCTAATTGCATGTATTTTTAAGACTGTAGGGTATAAAATTTTTTTACACTTAAAAATTACAGTATATGGGTTGGGTGCGGTGGCTCACGCTTGCAGTCCCAGCACTTTGGAAGGCTGATGCTCATAGATCACCTGAGGTCAGGAGTTCGAGACCAGCCTGACCAACATGGTGAAACCCTGTCTCTACTAAAAATACAAAATTAGCCGGGCGTGGTGGTACATGTCTGTAATCCCAGCTACTCGGGAGGCTGAGGCAGGAGAATCTCTTGAACTCGGAGGTGGAGGTTGCAGTGAGCCGAGGTTGTGCCATTGCACTCCAGCCTGGGCAACAAGAGTGAACCTCTGTCTCCAAAAAAAAAAAAAAAAAAAGTGAATGATTTATTTTCTTCTCTTTTTATTTGATTCAGGGACCTAGCCTCTGGATTTTGAGTGTTTGTGGTTACCTAAAATTTTGTTACTTTTTTTTTTTTTTTTTGAAACAGGGTCTCTGTCACCCAAGCTAGAGTGTAGTGGTGCATTCTTAGCTCACTGCACCTCAACCACCCAGGCTCAAGCAATCTTTCCATCTCATCCTCCTGAGTAGATGGGACTACAGGCATGTGCCACCACGTCCAGCTGATTTTTGTATCTTTTGTAGAGATAGGGTTTCACGCCTTTGCCCAGGCTGGTCTTGAATTCCTGGACTCAAGTGATCCTCCCTCCTCAGCCTCCCAAAATGCTGTGAGAGTGCAGGCTTGAGCACCATATCTGGCCTTACCTTGGTTCTTACTGCAGTTGTCTTGTTTTGTTTTGTGAATCTTTACCATGTTTATCTTGCTTTTAATTGTCCTATTTTAAAATGCAGAGAACATTCTCTCTGGCCAGGTGAGGTTAAAAAAAAAAAAAAACTGCAAAGATCAGTTGTAAAGCTTCTTTCAAGAATTGTTCCGGCCGGGCACAGTGGCTCACGCCTGTAATACCAGCAGTTTGGGAAGCCGAGGTGGGCGGATCACGTGAGTTCAGGAGTTTGAGACCAGCCTGACCAACATGGAGAAACCCTGTCTCTACTAAAAATACAAAATTAGCCAGGCGTGGTGGCGCATTCCTGGAATCCCAGCTACTTGGGCTGATTCAGAAGAATGGCTTGAACCCAGGAGGCAGAGGTTGCAGTGAGCCGAGGTAGTGCAGTTGCACTCCAGCCTGGGCAACAAGAGCGAAACTCTGTCTCAGAAAAAAAAAAAAAATTGTTCTTTCTCCTGGGAGTCGAGGAACAGCATGTTACCTAAGGTGGGGTGAAGGGAGGTTTCCAGGTTGGAAACAGAGCAGGTCAAAACTCCCATGCTGATCAGTAGTGGGATCGTGCCTGTGAATAACCACTGCCGTCCAGCATTGGCAACATAGTGAGACTCTGTCTCTTTAAAAAAAAAAAAATTCCTTTATGAACACTTCATGGGATTTCCTCCATCCCCTTTTAGGGGACATAACTAGAAGGAGAACATGCCTCCTTAAAAGGTATTAGTTTTAGCAATTAAAATCTCCCTGCCAGCTCATTTGTTGGTCTACTTAAATATTCAAGTTTTATTTCATTAAAGGTCTTTTCAGGTGTTTCAAGTGTTCCTTTAACCGAACACTTGTTGAACTGAACACTTGTTCATGTTTCTCATGTTTAATGGCTATGATTTAAATACATGTTGGTGTTACTGAAGTCATAATCCAGTGAGAATTCCTGTTAAAAGTGTTAAGATTTTGGACTCTTGCATAAGTCCCTTAAGGAGTGGTCTGACAGTTACTAATCTTTGTTTCCCATAGAATCAGGAATACCCTCTATCTTTAGATGTTCAGTCAAAATTCGTTAGAATTGAATTTGAGTAACCCACATGCTTGTATTTATACTGCTTATTTAGTATTCATGGAGAATGCTGTATGAAAATTTGATTAGTTCTTTTTTTTCCTTCCAAATTCCTTCCAATCAATAACTTAGAAGAGAAAATTAATCTCTACCTCTTTCCCTTCCCAATTTGTAAAAAATGAGTGTAACTTCCCATCTTTCTACTTTTAAAGGATGTTAGACTTCTTGGTTTATTAAAGTAAGAGTGATATTCTTGAAGATTCGACGTGAATTCAATTTAATGTTCTTGGCAGACACAAACTTAGTTTTTTTCCCTTTTAGAAGAAAACCATATCAAGCCTTCATTAATGAACCTCGGTGTAACTTTTGGCTTTCTCAAGACATTTGTCATTTGCGTTGTACGGCTGTGGTGTAGATATCTTGAAATAATGCTAAATTTTAATTTTATTTCCTTGTGCATTGTATTTGTTTTTAAACTCCTGCTCAGTTTACTTACCAAATATTAATAGTGTGCCTACTTTCAGTCTTCTATGTTTGAATGTCCCTTTAGTCTATGTTGCTGAAATTCTACTTTATGGAATAATACAGATAACTGTATTGGAAAGTGTAGTGTTTGCCCTCAGGAGCATTTACTCTGATAGGGTTAATGATTGTAAGCCCCTAACGAAATTTCCACACTAGTTACTAAGAATTTTTA
Organism: Homo sapiens; assembly: GCF_000001405.40. Taxonomy (NCBI): domain Eukaryota; kingdom Metazoa; phylum Chordata; class Mammalia; order Primates; family Hominidae; genus Homo; species Homo sapiens. Next base: position 55,286,689 of record NC_000014.9, read on the forward strand.
AAGGATAAGTGATTTTGTTTGTAACCCTACAACCCTGTTCAAAACAATTTGATGTTTGTACTACAGGTTGAGTATCTCTTATCTTACATGCTTGGGACCAGAAGTGGTTTGGATTTTGGATTTTTTTTTTTGAATTTGTAATATTCACATATACGTAATGAGATATCTTGGAGATGGGACCCACATTGAAACACGGAATTCATTTATGTTTCATTTACTTTTTTTTTTTTTTTTTTTTGAGACAGAGTCTCGCTTTTTCGCCCAGGCTGGAGTGCAGTGGCTTGATCTCAGCTCACTGCAACCTCCACCTCCCAGGTTCAAGCGATTCTCGTGCCTTGGCCTCCCCAGTATCTGGGATTACAGGTGTGCCATCACACCTGGCTAGTTTTTGTATTTTAGTAGAGATGGGGTTTCACCTTGTTGGCCAGGCTGGTCTTGAACTCCTGACCTCAGGTGATCCATCTGCCTTGGCCTCCCAAAGTGCTGGGATTACAGGCATGAGCCACTGTACCCGGTATCATTTACATCTTATACACATAGCCTGAAGGTAGTTTTATACAATATTTTAAATAATTTTGTTCAGGAAACAAAGTTTGTGTACATTGAAGTGTTAGCAAAGGTGTCACAATCTTAGTCACTCATGTGCACAGTCTGTAGTTATTTAGCATCACCATCACACTCAACTGAATTTATATGATACTGATAAGCAGTCATTTTCTTATACTTATTCACACATAAGTATAAGAAAAAAGTAAAAAATAACAGTAAAAAGTATGACATACCATTAATATAGTGGAATAATAATGTGTTCAGGGTAACTAAGCACAATAGCATCACCAGAATATGTGTATCTGCTGTTAAGCAACATCATCAACAAATAAGGTTAGGCTTTCAGTCCCCACCTATGATGTTATTTTTTGATTAAAAGGTTTCTAGACTTTTTGTTTGTTTGTTTGTTTTATTAAGGCCGGAAGAAACATCAGAATCGATTGAGGGACCAGGAAATGGGGCCTCTAGGGAAGAGAAGGCATTCTGCTAGATGGCTTTTAAAAATATTTCCGCCAGAGTCACTTGTCTCATTAACAACAGTTTTTGTCTTAGAAGTCTCTCTGTGATTTTATAAACTAGCATGATTTTGTTATGAATGCATGCTGCTCTGGTTCTCTAATAAGCCCAACATGCATTTGCATCATGTCGGCAATAAGCACTTTTTTTGCTGTGTTAACAATGTCATCTTCATTGTTGTGTGCCTGTGTTTTGACTGTGACCTGTCACATGAGGTTGGGTGTGGAATTTTCCACTTGTGGCATCGTGTTGGAGCTCAAAAAGTTTTGGATTTTGGACCATTTCGGATTTCGGATTTTTGGATTAGGAATTCTCAACCTGTGCTATCAGCCAGGAGGTATAAATGATGTCTCCTTTGTGGGTTTAAATATAATTTATTACTTAAGAAGTTGCTTGTAATTGGTATGGATCAATAATTTATGCTTCATGACCTCTACCTTATGATGTGGTTAGTCATCTTTTGGCATTGGTGTGAGAAACAAGGTTTTCCAAAAGGAAAATCCAATTTTTTTTGGGTATTTCTAAAGTAAAGAAATTTTTTTAATTTTGTGCATTTAAATTATAATCATTACATAGAAATAAGTACATAAAAATGGAATATAAAATTACATACACTAATCATAGCTGGGAAAAAATAGTCCAAGACTTGGGCTACTGCAAAATTAAATGGTTTAATTAAGAGTAGATTTTGAGTAACTCTTGTTGTGTTGTTTATGCCATGAAAAAGGCAAGAGTTTATATTCACATATTTTAAAATAGTGTTGAAAAGAAAACCACGTACGGCCTGTTTGATACATTTCTCAGAAATCCTCATTTTATTTCAGTCTGATTCATAGACTTTCAAATGATCCTACTTGTAACTGTTTAGAAACTGTACTCCTCTAGCAAGAAAGAACCTTTTGTAATGATTTCTTCAGTTAATCAGAGAAAAGGCTTGTTGGACGATTTGATTTAGCTAGCTGCTTTGTTTGTTTTACTCCAAGAGTAAATGATGAGAAATGAAAAAAATATATAGGGCCGGGCATGGTGGCTCACGCCTGTAATACCAGCACTTTGGGAGGCTCAGGTGGGCGGATCACTTGAGGTCAGGAGTTCGAGACCAGCTTGGCCAATGTGGTGAAACCCCATCTTTACTAAAAACACAAAAATTAGCCAGGCGTGGTGGCGCATGCCTGTAATCCCAGTTACTGGAGAGGCTGAGGCAGGAGAATCGCTTGAACCTGGGAGGTGGAGGTTGCAGTGAACTGAGATCAAGCTACTGCACTCCAGCCTGGGTGACAGAGCGAGACTCTGTCTCAAAAAAACAAAAAAAGTATATGTAATATATATTTCAAGCAGCAAAATGACCCCAAAACTTCTCTTTTTGGTGAAAATGTTTTCTTGCCCTTTTCTCTCAAATGATTTAGAGTTCTTAGCCTTCTCTTTTTTCCCCCCTTTCCAGCATTTTTAAATTTTGTTATTTTTGTATCTAGTAGTTCTTAGGTAATTAGTTTAGTGTGGAAGTATTTCAAAACCAAAATCTAATATAAACCTTCAAATCATTGAAATCTGCATATACCAAAATTTCAAAAAAGTTTGTATATTTTAGTAGGATGGAAGAACATTTACTTTTTGAATAATATGTTCACATGCTTCAAACACAAAAGGTGCAAAAAATGAGAAGTTTTCTTCCTTCCCCTGTCTCTTGGGCACACTTTACCCCTCTCTGGAAGCAAACAGTGTTACCAGTTTCTTATCTATTCTTCCGGTATACGATTCTTTCTTTCTATGTATGTGTGTATGTGTGTATATATGACAGAAAGAAAGAGGTCTTGCTTTGTGCCCCAGGCTGGAGTGCAGTGGCATGATCACAGTTCAGTGCAGCCACAACATCCTGGGCTCAAGAAATCCTCCCACCTCAGCCTCCCAAGTAGTTGGGAATACAGGCATGCACCACTACGTCCAGCTAGTTTTATTTATTTATTTATTTATTTTTGTAGAGACAGAGTCTTACTTTGTTGCCCAGGTTAGTCTCAAACTCCTGGACTCAAGGATTATTCTGCCTTGGCCTCACAAAGTGCTGGGATTACAGGAGTGGGTCCCCAAGCCCAGTCACTGTCTACCTTTAAAAAAAAAAACAAGTATGGTAGCATACTCTGTATACTATTAGCTTGCTTTTTTCACCTAACAGTAGTTTTTAAATTCTTTACATATTGGTGTATGAAGAGTGTATTTGTGATAGAAAACTTAACAGTGACTTAAACAACAACAAAGTATTTTTCTTTTAAAAATTCAGGAGGGTGATTTAGGGCTCATCTGGAACTCATGGTGTGCTGTTTTTCTCTTACTCTCCTTTTTTTAAATTGAGGCATAATTTGGCCGGGCATGGTGGCTCACGCCTGTAATCCCAGCACTTTGGGAGGCTGAGGCGGGCGGATCCCACTTGAGGTCAGGAGTTTGAGACCAGCCTGGCCAACATGGTGAAACCCCGTCTCTACTAAAAAATGCAAAATTAGCCTGGTGTGGTGGCAGGTGCCTTAATCCCAGCTACTTGGAGGCAGAGGCAGGAGAATCGTTTCAACCCGGGAGGTGGAGGTTGCAGTGAGCCGAGATCGAGCCATTGCACTCAAGCCTGGGGGCAAGAGTGAGACTTCTCTCAAAAAAAAAAAATAAATAAAATAAATAAATTAATTAATTAATTGAGGCATAATGGATACAGTAACATACACAGATGTTAAGTGCATGGTTCAGTGAGGTCATCACCCCCTACCATCACTTTTCTGATTGGCCTTTTTCTATACTAATACTGCTCTATGTATGCTGCCTGTGTCCTCATTGACTTAGCAAGATCTCCAGCTATTGGAGCCCATTCCGAGCAGCAGGGTGCATGAAAGGGCAGAGGTTCTATGTTACCCTTTTAAAGGAAGGTTTCTAGAAGCTGTCACTTCATAGCAGTTTGAATTATGTTTCATTAGTTAGAACTTAGTGTCATAGCCACATCTGAATGCAAAGAAGGTTGAGAAATGCAGTCTTTATTATCTTTTTTTCCCATTATAAACAATGCTGCAGTGAATAACCTTATTCAGATTTATTTTTATTTATTTATTTTGAGACAGAGTCTCTGTTGCCCAGGCTGGAGTGCAGTGGCACTATCTCAGCTCACTGCAACTTCTGCCTCCGGAGTTCAAGTGATTTTCCTGCCTCAGCCACCTGAGTAGCTGGGATTACAGGCACCTGCCACCATGCCCACCTAGTTTTTTTTTTGTATTTTTAGTAGAGACAGGGGGTTTCACCATGTTGGCCATGCTCGTCTTGAACTCCTGACCTTAAGTGATCCTCCTGCCTTGGCCTCCCAAAGTGCTATGATTTTAGGCATGAGCCATCATGCCTGGCCTCAGATGGTGTTTTGTGGGATACATTTTTAGAAGGGGAACTACTGGATCAAAGAGTATTTGCAGTTGGACAATACACTTGTTTTCTCATATCCTTGCTGACACAGTTTTTGTATTTGCTAATTTCATAGGTAAAAAAATGACAGAGGGTAGCTCTAATTTGCCTGATAGGACATGTAGGTAGAGAAAATACTTCTATGCTTACATACTGATGATACCTAGAAAGCATGGATTACACAGTTAGCTAATGTAATGCTAGTTGGGGTGAAGCATATGCAGCATGTTTTCATTTTATTTAGGCCAATTGTAGCAGAAGATTGATGGTTAAAGGTAGATGAGAAACCCTTCTACTCACAAACATGTCACTGTGAACTGACAGGAAAACAGGGTAATAATGTATTCTTTAGGAGTTTTTAAATTAAAAAGTAGGTTAGGGCTGGGCATAGTGGCTTATGCCTCCTCACTTCAGGAGGTGAAGTGGGGAGGATTGCTTGAGGCCAAGAATTGGAGACCAGCCTGGACAACATAGCAAGACCCCACCTCTAATAAAAACCCCAACAAATTAGACAGGTGTAGTGACATGCACCTGTAATCCCAGTGCTTTGGGAGGCCAAGGCAGGAGAATTGCTTGAGCCCAGAAGTTTGAGACCACCCTAGGCAACATAGGGAGACCCTGTCTTTAGAAAAAAAATAGCTGGGCATAGTGGAGTGCACCTGTAGTCCCAGCTATGTGGGGGTGGCTGAGATGGGAGGATCGCTTGAGCCCAGGAGTTCAAGGTTACAGTGGGCTGTCATTGCACCACCGCTCTCCAGCCTGCGTGACAAAGTAAGACCTCATTTCTTTAAAAAAGAAAAAAAATCAATTCATGTATAAAGTTAATTTAGCATTAATTTTCTTTGGTCCTGTTTTCTATCACATACATTTCTTAACATTCAGAAACATATTTTTAACTGATCTTAAAGTACCCTTTAACCTAATGGGGAAAAAGAAAGTAATATATATTTTTTGGTTCTTTTTATATAATATTTTTTGTTGTGTTTTCTTTTTATTCTCTGATTGCTAAATGGGTTCAGATACATTACATGATATGTATTCTGCTTAAACTGTAATTTTTTAAATAGAATGTTAAGTGTCCTTAATTATATTTTTAACTATGAGCTTTTGGTTGGGACTTAAGGAAAAACTTCATAGTAATTTTCTATGCCACTGGGTAGTATTATAAGCTGTATTTACATTTTTTTTTTTCTTTTTTGAGACAGGGTCTTGCTCTGTCATTCAGGCTGGAGTGTGGTGGTGCCAACACAGCTCACTGCAGCCTCTACCTCCTAGGCTCAAGTGATCCTCACACCTCAGCCTCCAGAGTATCTGGGACTACAGGCGTGTACCACCATGCCTGGCTAATTTTTGTATTTTTCTCAGTAGAGATGTGGTTTCACCATGTTGCACAGGCTGGTCTTAACTGTTAGACTCAAGACCCTTCTGCCTCCCAAAGTGCTGGCGTTACAGGTGTGAGCCACTGTGCTCGGCCTGTACTTACTTTTAAAGTAGGAAATGGGAGCATTAAAAGAAAGGATATATATGCATGTTTTCCCCATACCACCTGATGAAGTCTTAGATAGCAGAGACCTCCTACTTAGCTACCATAGGTACTGTGGCATAGTAGATTAGACTCCCAATAGCAATGTTTTGGCTCTTCTGGGTGAGAGGGAGGGGTAGATGTTAGTACTTTTAAAATGTCAGTTCTTTAGGTAAAGAAACTTTTCTCCTTTTTTTTTGAAACGGAGTCTCACTCTTTCACTGAGGCTGAAGTGCAGTGGCACAATCTCACCTTACTGCAGCCTCCATCTCCCAGGTTCAAGCAGTTCTCCTCCCTCAGCCTCTCTAGTAGCTGGGATTACAGGCGTGTGCCACCACACCCGGCTAATTTTTGTATTGGTAGTAGAGACGGGGTTTCACCATGTTGGCCAGGCTGGTCTCGAACTCCTGACCTCAGGTGATCTACTCGCCTTGGCCTCCCAAAGTGCTGGGATTACAGATGTGAGCCACCCCGCACCCGGCCTTGTTTTTTTCTGAGACAGGTTCTCACTCTGCCACCCAGGCTGTGGTGCATTGGCACAATCTCGGCTCACTGCAGGCTCCGCTGCTGGTTTCAGATGATTCTTATGCCTCAGCCACTCGAGTAGCTGGGATTACAGGTGTGTGCCACCACACCCAGCTAATTTTTGTGTTTTTAGTAGAAGATGGGGTTAACCCTTGCCATGTTGGCCAGGCTGGTCTTGAACTTTGACCTCAAGGGTTCTTCCTACCTTGGCCTCCCAAAGCACTGGGATTACAGGCATAAGCCACTGTACCTGGCACTAGGTAAAGAAACTTTGTAAGGGCCTGATATCTATAATCTGAAGATAGAGACTTTGAGATACTTTGAGTACAGTATCGTCTCACTTATCTGGAGGTAAGATTTCTGTAAATCTCTGCTTTTTTTTTTTTTAAATCAATGAAGGCTTAATAAGCCAAGGAGTAGGAAAAAAGTATTGCTTAGTAAATGGGCATTGTGATCAACCTCAGGTTCTTTGCTAAGGTTCCTGTGACAGAATAGAAAGTATTGCCTGTCATGTTCTTTTCTGTATCCTTAGCACGGAAAGTGGGACCTAGCACATGGGTATTGTTCAGTAAACATTTGTTGAATGAATGAATTTTTATGAAGTGTGGTTTTTTTTTTTCCTTCCCTAGCACAGATTTGTGTGTGTGTGTGGAGAGAGGGATATAGAAACTTAACAGCAGTGGCTGACATTTTTGCTTATTTGTTAGGTATTGGTGGTGGTGTTAATCGGGTACGCATATGCTTTCCTTAGGATTTGCATTTGCTGTTCCCTGTGTCTAGAACGCTATTCCTTAGATAAATCTTCATTCCTTACCTCCTTAAAATGTTTTCTCATCTATCACCTTCTTAAGTCTGTACTGATCACCCTACTTAAAATTATAACTGCCCCTCTTTGCTTGCACTTCTAAGCTTCCTTACCCTAGTCTGTTTAGCAGTTACCTCCTTGAAACATGCTCTGTAGAATTTACTTATTATGACTATTGTCTCTCTTACTACCAGAATGTTAGTTCCTTGAGGGCTTTGTCTATTTGTTCACTGTATTCCAGGTGCCTAATAGATGCTCAAAAAATTATTATTATTTTTTTTGAGACAGGATCTGGCTCTGTCTCCCAGGCTGGAGTGCAGTGGTGTGAACACTGCAGTCTTGACCTCCCAAGTTCAAGTGATCCTCTGACTTCAACCTCCCAAGTAGCTGGGAGTACATACGCACACCACAGGGTTTTGCCACATTGCCCAGGCCGGTCTTGAACTCCTGGGCTCAAGTGATCCACCTGCCTTGGCCTCCCAGAGTGTTGGGATTATAGACATGAGCCTGGCCTCAAAAAACATTTGCTATATGTGTGAAGAGAAGAAAGGGTATAACGTAAGAAAGTTAGCTATAAAATAGTTTACATTTTAAATACTTATATTTGAAAGTATTATTTCCATTATTTAAAAAGTAATTTTAAAATTTTGCTTTTGGAGACTACTGTGTTCCATAATTACACCGGGGCAAACACAGCTGTGCTAAGTTTAAGAACTGTATATTCTGTTGGTGGAAAAGGACTGAATATTGCTTTGCCCAATACATCACCTGCCTCAGTCTTCTAGTGGTTTTGTGGTGAAGTTGCTTTCAGTGGTGGTTTAGTTAATGCTGTTTGACTTACGTCCCGATAAATCAGTTGAAAATAAATGCATTTAATATATTTAACCTACCAAATATCATAGCTTAGCCTAGCCTACCTTAAACATTCTTAGAATATGAACATTAGTCAACAGTTGGATAAAATCATCTAACGCAGAACCTACCTTGTAATAAAGTGCTGAATATCTCATTTACTTTATTGAATACTCAAAGTGGAAAAGCAGATCAAAATTTGAAGTGCAGTTTCTACTGAATGTGTATCACTTTTGCGCCATCGTAAAGTCAAAAAGTCATAAGTTGAACCATCCTAAATTGGGAACCTTCTGTAATGGAAAAAACCTCTAGGTTTGAATGTGTTCCATAGTGTCCAGATGGAACATCCCTTTCCTACTGGAGGTAGCTTTCTGCACAGTGCGGTGTGACAATGTTAATAGTTAGCTTTATTTATTTATTAACGTGGACTAGGCCTTATGCTAAGCATTTTATGTATATTATCTATTCTATATAATGGCTCTATGAGGTAAATATTCTTTTCTATTTTTTTTTTTTTTTTTTTTTTTGGAGACAGAGTCTCTCGTCTGTTGCCCAGGCTGGAGTGGAGTGGTGTGATCTTGACTCACTGCATCTTCTACCTTCTGGGCTCAAGCGATTCTCCAGCCTCAGCCTCCCGAGTAGCTGGGATTACAGGCATGCACCACCATGCCCAGCTAGTTTTTTGTATTTTTAGTAGAGACGGGGTTTTGCCATGTTGGCCAGGCTGGTCTTGAATTCCTGGCCTCAAGTGATCTGCCTGCCTCGGCCTCCCAAAGTGCTGGGATTATAGGCATGAGCCACTGCGCCCAGCTGAGGTAAATATTCTTCGCCATTTTTTCTTGCAGAAAATTGATTATTCATTAAACACCTTGTCTAGCTAGTAAGTGTTGAAGCTGGAATTCAAATCCAGCCAGTCTTACAGAGGAACTTCACTACACAAAACACTTTCCTGTTATAGTAAAGAATACTTTGAAGTAAAAAAGAAATTAGGAACAGCTTAGTGGAACAGTAATGTCACAAAGAGACCATTATCTTTTATTTGCTTTAGCTTCCCATGATTTACTAGATTGAATGAGACTGCTGTGACTGAAGCAGTAATGTTATGTTAAAGTTAACCAATGCTGTCAGGCACAGTGGCTTGCACCTGTAATCCCAGCTACTTGTGAGGCTGAGGTTGGGAGGATCTTTTCATGCCTGTAGTTGAAGACCAGCCTTAGCAAGTCCCCCCCTTTTTTTTAAAGTTAACCAATGCTAATTTAAATAAAGTAAATATATTTTAAATAAAGCCAGAGTTGGCTCCTAATTATCTCTTCTACTACTTAGACTTAGTTCAGGAAGAGTTTAGCTTCTTTTTGGGACAGAATTTTTATGTTCTCCCTTTATCCCTAAAAATTAGATTCAGCAGGAAGGCAAAAGTTGTAACTGTATAGCTGGACAGGAAGTATAATTTAGTGAAGGAGTAGAGGGGTAGACAGTGGGTAGGTTTTGCTGTTCTTGTGTTTTTTTTGTTTTTTTTTTTTTTTTTTTTTTTTGAGACAGTCTCGCTCTGTCGCCCAGGTTGGAGTACAGTGGCTTGATCTTGGCTCACTGCAACCTCTGCCTTCAGGTTCAAGCAATTATCCTGCATCAGCCTCCCGAGTAGCTGGAATTACAGGCGCCTGCCACCACACCCGGCTAATTTTTTTTGTATTTTTAGTAGAGATGGGGTTTCACCATATTGCCCAGGCTGATCTTGAACTCCTGACCTTGTGATCCACCTGCCTTGGTCTCCCAAAGTGCTGGGAATACAGGCATGAGCCACTGCGCCTGGCCGCTGTTCTTGATTTTTAAAAGAAAAACTTGCCCATAATTTACACAAAATTATAGTAGTGGAAACAGTCTTCCCCTACCTACTATAGAAAGCAATTTTTAATTTAAAATTTTGACTAGAATATTCTGATTCTTTAATGTGAATTAGTTTTGAACCTTAATTAGCCATTTGTCTTCTAAAAAAATATATTTTATTTCCCAACATGCAAATATTTGTTCTGTTCTAAGGAGCTTCAGACTGTACCTGGTTATCTCCAGTATATAAATCAGTTTTAATTTGTTTTAAAACAGTAGTTTAGGGGAGTAAATTAGAATCTACAATTGTAGGAAGACCCACCCTAATCTTAGGATGCAAATGTACTTTCCCCTTGACCGGCGTCATTTTGGCTGCCCTTTACAGTACACGTGGCTGGCAGAGAAGGGAAGATGGAGCCGCCATTTTGAACCTGATTGGCACAACTGCCGGCATATATGTCTGCAGCTCTATTTTATAGGCTGCTCTTTGTTAGGAAAGTGATTTGGGGCTGCTTTTCATTAAAAGGGAAACCTTACTGAGGACTCCCGTACCCTATCTACCCAAGTAATTTCTTTTTAACTCCTATGTCAGTATTAACACAGAGTAGTTCAAATGTTGCAGTCAGATTGCTAGGGTTCACATCCTGGTTTTGCCATTTACTATTTGGTGCCCTAAGTTAACACCTTACTAGCCTCTCAGTGCCCCATTTTTCTCATCTGTAATATTTAGACAATAATATTACCCACTTATTAGGGTTGTTAGGAAGATTTAGTTTAAAATACATGTTAAATGCCTAGCATATAGTAAGTGCACAGAGCATGTTAATTTTCCTTTCTCTTTGCCAGCAAAAACGATTATGTGATTTAGATATGGTAGTGATAGCCTCTATTGGAAATTTTGATAGGATTAGGTAATTTTAGATTATTTTTCTTTTTAGAACCTCAAAGAACACTTGGTATCATTACATGAAATGCTAAAATGTATATCTATGTGTATGTGCAAATATTTTCATAAAAGTCTTTGAAAAACCCTCTACTTCTTCCCAAGAAAGGATCTCACTAAAGATTATTTGGTAAAAAAAGAAATCTTGGAGCACAGCCAAAAAACCGGGAATGAAAAAATACTGTTTTCACACCCAGAAACTCTGTATGTATAATCAGAATTGTACATCTTAGGATGTTAGGGAAGCTTTCTTTGTTCCATGCAAAACAAACACTGACCGTCCACTTCTTGGACTTGAGAAATGTTGAAAGTTTCTTTACAAATGGATGTCTAGGGCAGGACTGGCAGGAGGAAATAATTCTTTTCTCAAAACACTTTTTTTGATTCCAGTAAGTGGAGGAACATTGTTGAAACTTCCCTCACCACGCCCTCTGCTGAGTGTTTGTGAAACTCAGGTGAGTTAAATGTGTAGCACACGCTTGTCCAACCTGCAGCTTGTGGTGGCTTTGAATACTGCCCAACACAAATTTGTAAACTTTCTTAAAACACTGTGAGTTTTTTTTTTTGCGTTTTTTTTTAAGCTCATCAAATATCGTTAGTGTATTTTATGTGTGGCCCAAGACAGTTCTTTCAGTGTGGCCCAGGGAAGCCAAAAGATTGGACACCCCTGGTGTAGTGGTTCCTCCCACTTCTCCCATACTTGACCCTTATTTGAACTAGGATTATTTCTTTTTTTTTTTACCCTCCTGGATGAGTGGAGGAAGTCCTTGAAATCTATTTTACTGCTACTGTTATTACTACTTTTTAAAATGGAAACATACACAGAAGTAGAGTCAGTGAGCCCTTATGTTTGTACCAGTTTTATCCTACCCCTACATTTGACCTACTTCTTGTCCTCATCTTTGAAAAAAGCAAATTTGGCAGGGTGGAGGCGGAGGAGGGCGGGCGCCGGAGCCCAGCCGGAGCGGGCGTTGAAGGCTGGCGCGGCGAGCGCTGTTCGGGGCTGGAGGGGGTAAGGCCGGCAAGGGCGGCCTGACCCTCCAGGAGGCCATCCAGCGGCTGCGGGACACGGAGGAGATGTTAAGCAAGAAACAGGAGTTCCTGGAGAAGAAAATCGAGCAGAGGCACGGCACCAAAAACAAGCCCGCGGCCCTCCAGGCACTGAAGCGTAAGAAGAGGTATGAGAAGCAGCTGGCGCAGATCGACGGTACATTATCAACCATCGAGTTCCAGCAGCAGGCCCTGGAGAATGCCAACACCAATACCGAGGTGCTCAAGAACATGGGCTCTGCAGCCAAGGCCAAGAAGGCGGCCCACGACAACATGGACATCGATAAAGTTGATGAGTTAATGCAGGACATTGCTGACCAGCAAGAACTTGGGGAGGAGATTTCAACAGCAATTTCGAAACCTGTAGGGTTTGGAGAAAAGTCTGACGAGGATGAGCTCATGGCGGAATTAGAAGAACTAGAACAGGAGGAACCAGACAAGAATTTGCTGGAAGTCAGTGGCCCCGAAACAGTCCCTCTACCAAATGTTCCCTCTATAGCCCTACCATCAAAACCTGCCAAGAAGAGGAAGACGACGACATGAAGGATTTGGAGAACTGGGCTGGGTCCAGCGCGGGCAGGATGGATGTGGTGCAGGCAGGTTCCATCGCTCTCGACTCTCACTCCAAAGCAGTAGGGCCGCATTGCTGCTCGCTCTCTGCATAGCATGGTCTGCACCTAGTGGGATGGGTGGGGGCGGGTAGAGGGGGGTTGCGGGGCACGGGGGCTGTGGGGGAGAAGTGCCTGCTGTTTATAATGTTGAATTTCTGTAAAATAAACTGTGTTTGCAAATCCAAAAAAAAAGCAAATTCTAGATATGTCATATTGGCCCTAATTACATCGGTATGTGTCTTTTAAAAAGATATTTTCCCCCCATAACCACAGTGCCATTATCCCCACCTAACAAAACTAACAGATTGATCTGTTGCCTTAGATCTGAGTCTTAGTATCCTCAGATTCCTTTTGATTATCTAAAATATTAAAATAAATATTGAAAATATTAAAATACATTCAAGTTTGTGGTTATCACTTTTAAATGACCCATTTTTCTTCATTTACATACAAATATTTTGTAAATGTTTGACTTTCTAGCTTGCTATGGAAATTTTCAAACAAAAGTAGGTGGAATCCGTATAAGAAACCCTCATGTACTTATCACCCAGCTTCAACAGTTATCAACCACTCTACTCATGTAGGAGGGGAAATTATCAAATCATGCCCAAGTTTGGTTGAACTGTTCCCCTCCAACTTCCCCCTCCTGAATTATTCTCAGGCAAATTCCAGAGTGGATATTATTTCATTGGCAGTCTAGTAAGAATCCTTGTCTTTTAAAGATACAGACTATATCTGCATATGTATATATCCACAATACCATTATCACCCCTTCATTCTTTAATATCTTCAAGTATCTAGTATTCAAATTTGCATTTGTCTCAGATGTCATAGTTTTAGTAATGGTTTAAATCAGGATCCATATAAAGTCTCTACCTTGCAGTTGGTTGGTAATGACCTTTAAGTCTAACCCTTTATAGGTCCATTTTTAGGCTTTAGTCTATAGTCCATTTTACTACCTCTCTTTGGTAATGTTTTTTGTTCAAGAAACCACGTTGTGGCCGGGCGAGGTGGCTCACGCCTGCAATCCCAGCACTTTAGGAGGCTGAGGCGGGTGGATCACGAGGTCAGGAGTTCCAGACCAGCGTGGCCAATATGGTGAAACCCTGTCTCTAGTACAAAAAAATACAAAAATTAGCCAGACCTGGTGGCACGCATCTGTAGTCCCAGCTACTCGGGAGGCTGAGGCAGAAGAATCACTTGAATCCGGGAGGCGGAGGTTGCAGTGAGCTGAGATTGTGACACTGCACTCCAGCCTGGGCGACAGAGCGAGACTCCGTCTCAAAAAAAAGAAACCACGTTATTTGTTCTAGTGTTTTTCAGAGTCTGGATTTTAATGATTACATCTGTGGTTCAGTTCAACACGTTCTTATGTCCTGTATTTCCTGTAAATTGGTGATTGAATCTAGAGGTGTGCTTAGCATATAATATATATGCACATGGTAAAATTTAAAACAGTTCAAAAGTCTGTGTAATGAAATGTCGGTCATTTTCCCACACAGTATTTTAGGTATCTTCCCCAGAAGGAATTATTCTGTCTAGAATGAATGATGTGTTTTTATTAAGCCTTATATCCCAATGAGCATACTAAATGTTCTTGTAATTCTGAATATACTAAGGTTATTCTTTTGTGAATTTTAGAATTTGATTTAAATACTACAAAAGCACATGGTGCCAGTCACTAAGGTGTGGTGTTTTCTTTTTGGTAAAGGAGAATTTGTAAGGTGAAATGACAGTGAATTAGAAGTTGTAAACCAAATTCCTTGTTACTACAGTGGACTACTTTTCATAGAACGAACAAGAAAAATCAGCTCTGTAGGACAATGTTAAAAAGAGTGTTCTTGGCTGGGCACGGTGGCTCATGCCTGTAATCACAGCACTTTGGGAGGCCAGGAGGGGAGGATTGGTTGTCTCCAGGAGTTTGAGACCAGCCTGGGCAACACAGTGAGACCTCCATCTCAACAGAAATTCAAAAATTAGCCAGGTGTGGTGGCATGTGCCTGTATTCCTAGCTACTCGGGAGGCTGAGGTGGGAGGATCACCTGAGCCCAGGAGGTCAAGGCTCCAGTGAACTGTGATTGTGCCACTGCACTCTAGCCTGGGTGACAAAGTGAGACTCTGTCTCAAAAAAAAAAAACAAGAAAAACTTCTTTGTTAATATTATACAGCATCTAGCATTGTTAGGTTTATTTTCTTAAACATGAAGATAGTGAAGTACCATAGTTTTCTCATCTGTAAAATGAGGGCATTACTGTATTTATATCAGTGGCCTTTGGTAGGTCTTGAGTGAGAAAGTATCTAGGGAGGAGACTTGAATGTTAATTTCCTTTTCTATAAGTATGTCCATAATTAATTGTGAAACTCTGCTCTCTTCAGTAGAAAGTTTTAGGTACAAGGCATGTGGCCAGGGATGTCATGCCCAGTGTAATGGGTTTGATTGGGATCAAGAACAAGTCTGTCAGAGTGAGCCAGGCAGTATTATCTGAGCCACTTGGTCAGGACAGGTTATGGAACAGTTAGAACAGATGAGTCATGTCATGTGTACCATACCACAGTCTACTTTTTCTTGGCCTCTCTCCCCATGCCTACTCTTCTGGTGTCTGTCTGGCAGATAGTACAATTCAGCAGATAGGCATTAGATCAGTTCTAAGCATATAGGAAGAATGATAATTGGATTACCAGCAAGGCAGAGTGGCAGATCAGAGGCCATAGGGAACTGGGACCAAATAAGGAGACTCTCCAAAAGATGCAAATGTAGCTCTAGCAGCAAGGAAAGGCAAACTGGTTGCAAAGTTACATGTGTAAAGTCGATTGAGAACAAAAATAAAGCAGCAGTCCTGGCTCCTTAAGTGATAGTTTCTTTTATGAGACCTCAAAACAGTTTACTGATAGGAGTATTCCATCTGAACTTCTAGGTTTGAATAGCGGGACATTACATGGAGGTGATTTTTTGGAATATATTTCTCTGTCAGCTATATAGAGATAGATAGGTAGATAGGTAGATTTGGACCTGGGATAATTGTCATCTGTTAGTTTACCTCGCCTGGTTGTGTACAAAGTTTGTATGATGTTAGACAGTTAATAGAATAGAAATTTTTAAATAGCCTTGTTCTCATCAAGTGACTCTGTAGCCTCTTTTTTGTTTTTTTTTTTTTTTTTAATTGAGGCAGGGTCTCACTATGTTGCTCAGGTTGGTGTGGAACACCTGGCCTCAGGCAGTTCTCCTGCTTTGGCCTCCCAAAGTGCTAGGATTACTGGTGTGAGCCACTGCACTTGGCCCGTATTATCTTGTTCGGGGGCAGGGAAGTATGGAGATACAGGAGTCTTTTCAAGCCTTTTAAACTCTCTTTAGTAGCTATTTTACTCATAGACTCTGTGGCTAGAGTAGGCTTTATAATTAGAAAGTAGTGCTAAGTGCTTACTTACTAGATACAGAAACAAGTTTTATGATGTTTCTTGGGTTTAGAGAAGAATTGGTTAAAGACTAAGAAATTCTGTTTTCTTCTTTGGAAAATCTTTTAAAAACTAATGTAAGTAGTTTTGGGGCAAATGCGGCAAAGAATTAGGGACTTGCCTTTGGTTTGAACTAGATGTGTTTCCTTTTTTTGGTGAATAGTGGAAGTAGTAAAGAGGCTAACAGTTGTCAGGGCTTGTCAGCCGATCATGGGATTGAATACTACTGAGGTGAGCAAGTCTTGGCAGCAGTGTTTTGCCTCCTAAAGATCTTTAATTTAGGCAAAGATAGTTTCTCTTTCTGGAATAAATTCTGAAAACAGAATAGTGCGTTTTAATGTGCATTAATTTCTCTTTACAGGCCTTTTTTTTTTTTAGCATTGGCTATTCTTTAAATTTTGAGTGCCTCCCTGTGTGTTAGCATCATTATAAGAACTGTCAGCTGTGAAAAAAGATGATGCAAGAAGGAGCACTAATTTTGATTTGCTTTGAACAAAGTAGACAGAGTGAACCTGCATAATTATAGTATCAGCTGGATACTCTGCTAAGTAATCTAATCCTCATCACAACTCTGTGAAATGTCAGACTCAGAAATAGTGACATGCTCAAGGCCATAGAACTAAGATGTAGCTTCTCTTAGGGCAGAATCCAGGCTTTATAGGACTTAAGATGCTATTTTGCTTTAAAAATTTTGGGAGGAGTGAGAGTCTTATATGTGTAAATGGGTATATCTAAGGTCATGATATCATAATTTACTAAGTAGACCAACTTTTATCAAGTATCACAAAGTAGAATTTGGTAGCTAGGACAACTCCCCTCTCCCATTCTTATCTTTTTTTTTTTTTTAATAGTTGTAAAGTTTCTGGGAATTTATGGGAACATACTTTTCTTTCTTTTTAAAAAAAAAACCCTTTATTTCCTTCTTCCTCATTTTGCTTCCCACTCCCCCTTAATAAAAATAGTAACTTTTGTGAAAGAGGGAGAATGATGTTATGAACTCAGCAGGTTCAGACAAGTGTTGTGAGTGTGGAGGCCAGGAAGCCATGTGTATGTACCAGGACCATGTTACTGCCTAAGAAGAAATGAGAGTGTCCAGATGCAAGGGAGGTGAATAGAGAGTCAATTTCAGTTCCCCTTGATTATTGTGATTTATGTGGTTCTTCTGGGACTGATGTAAAGAATGTTTCACGACTTACTGGGAAGCCCTCTGTTTTGTGTCCCTTGTAATAGTGATTTTACATCAGAAATAAGCCATCTGATAGAGGGAAAGAATAGTGTTTGGATTTATTGCTTAGTTACAGTGACATGTGTGCGGTTAAAGTGATGAAATTGTTTAGTATGAGTTAGCATATATCTTAATTCTAATGAAACTAGCTCTAAGTCTATGTTTATGCTTGTGATTTTAGCTTTTACTATGGTAACCTCATTTCTATCATTAAAAACAGTAAAAACTCTACCATGTATTGAGTGCTGTACTTTTTATGTTAGGAATAGCAGATTATTTTCAGTACTTGAAACACCAGCTCCTTAATTCATTAACACCATCATGGTTATTCTCATCCTTGAAAATCTTTCTCTTTTACTTTTTTTTTAATTTTTAAGATTTTTTTGTAGAGACAGGATCTCACTATGTTGCCCGGGCTGGTATAAAACTCCTGGCCTCAAGCAGTCCTCCCTCTTCAGCCTCAGAATGCTTGGATTATAGGCATGAGCCATAGCAGCCAGCCAGTCCCTCACCCTGCTTTTCCATTTTTGAGACAAGGTCTTGCTCTGTCACTCAGGCTGGAGTGCAGTGACATGATCTTAGCTCATTGTAAGGTCAAACTCCTGGGCTCAGGTGATCCTCTGCCTCAGCCTCTGGAGTAGCTGGGACCACAAGTACATACCACTGTGCCCAGCTAATTTTTACATTTTTAGTAGAGATGAGGTCTTGCTGTGTTTTCCAGGCTGGTCTCGAACTCCTGGCCTCAAGTG
Source organism: Homo sapiens (assembly GCF_000001405.40). NCBI lineage: Eukaryota > Metazoa > Chordata > Mammalia > Primates > Hominidae > Homo > Homo sapiens. Next base: position 55,304,739 of record NC_000014.9, read on the forward strand.
ATCCTCCCGCCTCAGCCTCCCAAAGTGTTGATTATAGGCTTGAGCCATTGTGCCCAACCCACCCTAGCCCATTTTTATTGTAATAATCTTTCTAGGTTTGGAGCTCTATGAAACAGGTTTGGTTTTTCAAAATCTTTTTTAAAAAGATTTATTTAAAATATGTTTTTAACCTATTTTGTTTTTGTACTTTTTGGTGAAAATTATCATAGTCTGTTCCTATTCTTAGAGTACATTAGGGCAGGAGTTGCTGAACTCCCCTTTTAATCAACTTCCCTTTCAGTTTAGTTTGAGCAATAGATTTCTCTCACACCAGCATTTAACTAACCTCAAATAAAAATCCTAATTAGTGATTGGAATTGCAACTGAAAAAGACTATTTCAAAAATGAGTCTTGGCCGGGCCTGATGGCTCATGCCTATAATCCCGACACTTCAGGAGGTCGAGGCGGGTGGATCATGAGGTCAGGAGATTGAGGCCATCCTGGCCAACATGGGTGAAACCCTGTCTCTACTAAAATAAAAAAAGTTAGCTGGGCATGGTGGTGCGCACCTGTAGTCCCAGCTACTCAGGAGGCTGAGGCAGGGGAATAATCACTTGAACCCGGGAGGTGGGGGTTGCAGTGAGCCAAGATTGCACCACTGCACTCCAGCCTGGTGACAGAGTGGGACTGCATCTCAAAAAAAAAAAAAAAAAGTCTTAGTCCGGGTGCGGTGCGTGGTGGCTGAGGCGAGTGGATCACTTGAGGTCAGGAGTTCGAGACCAGCCTGGTCAACATGGTGAAACCCCATTTCCACCAAAAAATACAAAAATTAGCCAGGTGTGGTAGTGCGTGTCTGTAGTCCCCAGCTACTCGGGAGGCTGAGGCAGAATAGCTTCAACCCAGGAGGCAGTGGTTGTAGTGAGCCGAGATCGTGCCACTGCACTCCTCAAAAAAAAAAAAAAAAGTCTTAAAGCCTCTACAACAGGAGTCGTACAGGTGAGGGGGAAAGTCAGCAATAAAATTACGTTATAAAAATTTTTACTGAATTAGCTCAATAGCAGGATTTTTCCCGATCTGAATTTTATCCCCCACATTTCTCCCGGTTACTGCAAGTACTGTATCTGTGTATAAGGGTACACTGATTTGGCTGTAAAGTCATGATTTATCATTGTTGAGGCTGGTTTTTCATCTCCTTTCTGATTTTTGCTCTGAAGCCTGTCAACAGAGCCACAATGAGAAAGTATCACATTTTAAACCTGTGTGGTCTAGTAGTAAAATAGTTCAATGTTTGATCAACTGAACTTTACATTCTATCTTAAAGGCCTACTTAAATATGTGTGCATGTATATAATACATAGTCCTCCTCTTTTCCCAGTCATTAAAAACAATTTGAGTTTATGCTCAGTTTGAGTTTGTAGTAAGCCATGAAGTTGAGTTATGTGAACACTAAACTTCCAAAAAGTTGCTTAATTGCTAAATGTTTTGGACTTCATTATGATTAGGGAAAATGGAGTCAGGGAAACCATATGAGAGAGTAATTTGTTTCCTAAGGAATAAAAGCAGTAGAAACCCACAACAAACCACACATTAGCCTTTATGTTGTTACTTGTTGGCTTCATTCAGTTTGCACTTCTATTGTTTGTGAAACAAGTGGTTTTCTTTAGAGTTGCAATGCTTATATGTTTTTAAAGTTTTCCACTAAAGTCATTTCTACACAGCGTCATTTTGAAAATTACATGATGTCAGATCCAGTATCCAGTGCATATATTTTAAGTTAACAAATTATAGAAGGAAATAGTACGTGGTCTTTCAAACTTTTGTTTAAAAACAGGCTGGCTGGGTGTGGTGGCTCACGCGTGTAATCCCAGCACTTTAGGAGGCCGAGGGGGCAGATCACTTGAGGTCAGGAGATGGAGACCAGCCTGGCCAACATGGCGAAACCCTGTCTCTACTAAAAATACAAAAACTAGCCAGACGTGGTGGCACACGCCTGTAATCCCAGCTGTTCGGGAGGCTGAGGCAGGAGAATTACTTGAACCTGGGAGGTGGAGGTTGCAGTGAGCTTAGATTGCATCACGGCAGTTCAGCCTGGGTGACAAAGCGAGACTCCATCTCAAAACAAAACAAAACAAAACAAAAAACAGGCCATATTTAGGTCTTACTAAATGGAAACCTTTCTCAAGTAGTGCTTTTCAAATAATAAAAATTTTTATTGTGTAAAGGAGGAAGGGAACTTAGCATCTGCATTGGAATCATTTTTTCCTATATCCTATTAGCTAATTCCGAGATTGTTTAATATGGTATCCACCCATTTCATTTGGCTCACCCTTTGCTCTCATGAAAGTAAGACTGATTGTTCTGAATTGCTATGTATATGTGCTTTGGCACAGCATGAAGGTACCCTTAATCACATTGCCATTGTCTTTAAAACAGCTTGCAGTTATGGCTACAAATAAAAGGGTGTGACAGGAGGGCATGACAGATAATGGTTCTTTTTTCCGCCCCTCTGTTTAGCAGATCTGCTTTGTACTACTAGCCTTTTGTGTTCTCTGGACTACCTACTGTATTTTCAGTATGTTTTTCTAGTCAACTAAAATGTGTTTGCATATTTGTCACTGCAACTTTAAGCGGACCTCTTTGAATTCTTTTCGTGGAGGCAAGCAAAACAATGTGCGGGAAGAAGGTGAGTGGCCTTGCTGCTGTTGGCATTTTTTCCCCCACTTCTGTGATTAAACACTTAAGCTGTTAAATTATTTTGTGTGACTCTTGTCCTCCAAATGTTTATTTACTTCTGTCTGGTTTAGAAATTTGGTTATAATCCCTTTACTTCACTGCACATCTTTACCTTGTAATTTCTTTATAAACAAGGTAGAAAGAATGGCTGGCGATTTGAGTGTTTAAGTTGCTGAGAGATAACCTACTGACATGAGCAAAGGTTTTTTTGTGTCCTACTTGATTCTGATTTAAAATAACTTTATCAAGTGATGGAGGAAAAAGTAAATATAATGCAGAAATTAGAAAAGTTTCCTTGTTGCTTTAGGAGGTTACCTCTAAATTATATATTTGTCATGGATACCTTTTAAGAGAAGGGGACTGACATTTAATGACCTTCATGCTCTCATATGACTGTTAGCATTTATTCCCATTTTACTGATTCAGAAATGGAGGATGAAATGGTTTGGCTGTGCCCCCACCCAAATCTCACCTTGAATTGTAATAATCCCCATGTGTCAAGGATAGGGCCAGGTGGAGATAATTGAATCATGAGGGCAGGTTTCTCCCATACTGTTCTCCTCGTGGTAATAAGTCTCACGAGATCCGATGGTTTTATAAATGGGATTCTCCTGCACAAGCTCTCTTGCGTGTTGCCGTGTAAGAGTGACTTTGCACCTCATTCACCTGCTATGATTGTGATTAGTAGTGCGAGAACAGACTAATACAGAGGGTCAGAGAAAACAAGCATTTTGCATAGAATTGCAGGCATATATTTTATTACAGGCACATATCTGACTCCAAAGCTAGTTTTTTGTTCTAAACATATTTTTCATTTGAAGAGACTTATTACTAAGGTCAGTTTGTTCTTCAGGAGATCTACTGGATAGTTTTAAAGGTATTTAATGTATGAAATAAACCAGTATTTGATGATACTTAAAGTACACTAAGGAAAAAGAATAACTTGTCCAATTTCTCATGTAATTTATTAACAGCCTTGCCTCGCTGTAGTACTTAACATGGATTTTAAAATTTGGTTTTCATGTTAAGGTTCTTCCATAGTCGGGTTAATTATCTTTATTTTACAGATGATGAAACTGAGGTGCACACAGAAACTATAATAGGTTTTCTTACCTTGAAGTATATTGTTCTTTACTCTCTATTGTAACTGCCAAGTATTGCTAGATTTGAGGTTCAGGTTTTCAGAAGAAAACAGTGGTTTACTGTAAACAATACCCAGTGATTCCTGATTTGGAATCAAGATACTCTAGGCAAGCAATATCATCAAATTCCTCCTTAATTCCCTCATCTTTAAAATGAGGAGTTTGAACCAAGAGCTCTCAGTACCTCTTTAAATGCTTGAGAATGATTATGGTTTAAAAGCTTCAGAGGTCTGTGAATTTGAGAAAAAAGTTACTTATTTTTGCTGGTCTCTGACTGAAATGTAGCATTTCTTTCTAACCACTGCAGTACTACCAGTACCTGTGATTTTGTCATCAACAGAAATCACAGCTATTTTCTTATTACAGTGTAGTTCTTGCAGACATCATGAAAATATCATTTGTGTTGATCACAATTTAGAAATTATGGTAACTAGTAGACTTGTTATTAGAGCTTATTTAATATGTTAAAAAGACAAACATGTATTTAATATCATTAGTTTTTGAAACTATTTTAACTGTATTTTAATATAATTGGTATTCTGTGTGTGTGGGTATACACTTTTTGCTTCAAAAAAGTATTATGGGAGTTTATAGTCTTTACACACTTCCAGAAGAGTTTATGGAACAAAGTTAAATATTCCTATGAATACAGAATGGCCAAGGTTGATGTGAAAAAAACTTTTTGGACACTGCTGGTTTTTTTGCAGGAGTGTGGCGGTGTGTGGATGGGGGAGATGTCTCTACAGCAATGTCTCAGGTTTCCAGAACGATGGGCTATGATTGTGTCACCTTCCTCTAGTACTGAGCAAGCTAGATAGAGCAAAATGATGATAAAAATAAATTTATGATTATTTGGATATCCTTTTTGCAAGAATTAAGCTTCTAAGCAGTTGTTCCATTTGAGGGGTTAGGAGAAGACCTCTTTTTTAAACTTATCTGATTTTTCAAGCAGGAGGACTAGCTTGCCAAGAACAAAAGTTACCCACACAACACATGTACTGCATAAAATTATTTCTGAAACAGAAAATCATTTGGAAGGCTGCATTACTTTAAAAACATTAGTGCATTCACTGCTGAGTTTTTGTGTGTCTGTTTTTTATTTTTTTGCTTGCTTGACTGTTAGTAATTTACATACTAACTGGTTATGAGGGAAGAAATGGTAATAATTTCTTCATATTTGTAATAATTAGAAATACATACAAAACTCAGTAGCTTCATTGTGACACAAAGACCACTGGAGTTCTGTCCTTTGGTGAGCCTGTTATTCCATTCGTAATGCATTTATCTTTAGATTGGGTAGGGTGGGATTTGCATTGAGTTACAATGAGTTTTCTGATCCTTATCAGTCAGTATTAGGAGTGACTGTTTTTAATAGTGATAATGAGGCAGCTATTCCCAGGAGAAGACTTAGTCACAGGCAGAATTGTCAGAACCCTGAAATAGTTTGGAAAACTCAGGATGGAAAAAGTAAGCTGTTTCAAAAACAAAACAAAAAACTTGAGTTGCTTTTTTGGGAAGGTTGAGATGGGGATGGATGGAGGTAGCAAGAAACCAGATGAACTTCCTTGAAGCCTGTGAGCTATCTAGAATGGAGAAGAGATTAGTACTGTTTACCCAAAGTACTGGAGTGTGAACATAAAGGTTTGAATAAGACCAAGTTGGTAATAGCTATTAATGTGGAAGTATGTTTGTTCTCTGTGCAAATTGGCAAAATTTAATTTGGCTTTGAGAAAAAGAGAAATGCTAGTAGCAGGTTACTTTTGTTGCCAGTTGAGAGAAAAATTCAAGTAGCATTTCATGCCAGGAGAGTATTTTACTGGTGTTAGAGTGGAAGTGGGGAGTGCTCATGGATCTGCAGGTCACACCACCAAACCAGGATTTACTGATTAATAATGGAGACAGGATAATTTTTGGCCTCATTAGGAAGAATGAAGATGAGAAATGTAGACTATGCCTTCAGGTATGTCTGTCCTACCTCAATTTTAAGTGTACAAGGAATCTTTTAGATTAGGGTTTCTTCATGCCTGCCTGCCTGCCTGCCAACATAATAAGCTGTAAAACCTTGTTTAGTTTTCCTTAAATCCAGAAATGATTCTATACCAAATCCATACAAATCGAATCACTCTTAAGGGAGTAAGTGAAAACATGTGTATCTGCCTTGGCTGGACTATATCTATTTGCAGATTGCCTCAATTCTCTTTGCTAAGCAAATTTCTTAAACATCCTATGATGACCATCATCCAGTTTGGAGGTAAATACAAGATGTGATAGCGTTTTCTTATCTGAACTGTTTTATAAACTCTGACCACACTAACTTTTCTAGCTACATAAGAGTCAACCTATCACTGCAAGGAAAAAAAAAAACATCCAACCTGACATATATAAAGACAAAATAAGAACAAATGCTGTTTGATTGCATTAAAACAATATACTGCATGTTGCAATTTACATATTGTATTAGTCCACACTGCTGCAAAAAAACTGCCTGAGACTGTAATTTATAAAGGAAAGAGGTTTAATTGACTCACAGTTCCACATGACTTGGGAGGACTCAGGAAACTCAATGGTGGAAGGTGAAGCAGATACTTTCTTCACAATGTGGCAGGAGGGAGAAGGAACACAGGAGGAACTAGCAAACACAAAACCATCAGATCTCGTGATAATTCATTCACTAACATGAGAACAGCATGGGAGAAACTGCCCCATGATTGTTACTTCCACCTGCTCTCTCCCTTGACATGTGGGGATTATGGGGATTATAATTCAAGATAAGAGTTGGGTGGGAACACAAAGCCCAACCATATCATTGTTTTCCTGGCCCTTCCTAATCTCATGTCCCTTTTACATTTCAAAGCCAATCATGCCTTCCCAGCAGCCCCCCAAAGTCTTAATTCACTCCAGCATTAACTCTAAAGTCCAAGTCCAAAGTGTCATGTGAGATGAGGCAAGTCCCTTCCACCTAGCAGCCTGTAAAATCAAAAGCAAGTTAGTTACTTCCAAGATACAGTGGATCGGATACAGGCATTGGGTAAATGTTCCTGTTCCAAGTGAGAGAAATTAGCCCAAACAAAGGGCCTGCAGGTCCCATGTAAGTCCAAAATCTGGCTGGGCAGTCATTAAATCCTTTTTTTTATTTTGTTGTTTGTTTTTTTGAGAGGGAGTTTTGGTCTTGTTGCCCAGGCTGGAGTGCAGTGGCATAATCTCAGCTCACTGCAACCTCCACCTCCTGGGTTCAAGAAATTCTCCTGCCTTAGCCTCCCAAGTAGCTGAGATTACAGGTGCCCACCACCATGCCCAGCTAATTATTCATTAAATCTTAAAGTTCTGGCCAGGTGCAGTGGCTCACGTCTGTAATCCCCAGCACTTTGGGAGGCTGAGGCAGGCAGATCACGAGGTAAGGCGTTCGAGACCAGCCTGACCAACATGGTGAAACTCCGTTTCTACTAAAAATACAAAAATTAGCTGGGTGTGGTGGCATGCGCTTGTAATCCCAGCTACTTGGGAGGCTGAGTCAGGAGAATCACTTGAACCTGGGAGGTGGAGGTTGCAGTGAGCTGAGATCACACCACTGCACTCCAGCCTGGGAGACACAGTGTGAGACTTTGTCTCAAAACAAACAAACAAACAAAAAACCTTAAAGTTCCAAAATGATCTCCATGTCTCACATCCAGGTCACACTGATGCAAGATTTAGGCTCCCATGGCCTTGGGCAGCTCCACCTGTGGCTCTGCAGGGTACAGCCCCCTTCCCAGAGGCTTTCACGGGCTGGTCTTGAGTATCTATGGCTTTTCTAGAAGCACGGTACAAGCTGTCAGTGGCCCTACCATTCTGGGGTCTGGAGGATGGTGGCCCTCTTCTCACAGCTCAACTAGGCAGTACCCCAGTGGAGACTCTGTGTGGGGGCTTCAACCCCACATTTCCCTTCCGCACTGCCCTAGCAGAGGTTCTCCATGAGGGCTCCACCCTGCAGCAAACTTCTGCCTGATCATCCAGATGTTTCCATACATCCTCTGAAATCTAGGTGGAGGTTCTCAAACCTCAATTCTTGACTTTCGTGCACCTGCAGGCCCAACACCATGTGTAAGCTGCCAAGGCTTGGGGCTTGCACCCTCTGAAGTAATGGCCTGAGCTGTACGTTGCTCCATTTTCACCCCAGTGGGGATGCGGGGCACCAAGTCTTGAGACTGCACAAAGCAACAAGGCTGTGGGCCTGGCCCAGGAAACCATTTTTTCCTCCTGGGCCTCCAGGCCTGTGATGGGATGGGGCTGCTGTGAAGACCTCTGGCATGCCCTGGAGACATTTTCCCCATCATCTTAGCAATTAACATTTGGCTCCTTGTTACTTATGCACATTTTTGTAGCTGGCTTGAATTTCTCCTCAGAAAATGGTTTTTTCTTTTCTGTCACATCATCAGGCTGCAAATTTTCCAAACTTTTATGCTCTGCTTCCTTTTTAAACTTAAGTTCCAATTCCAAACCATCTCTTTGTGAATGCTTAGAACTGAATGCTTTTAAGAGCATCCAAGTCACCTCCTAAGCTTTGCGGCGTAAACATTTCTTCTACGAGATACTCTAAATCATCTGTCTCAAGTTCAAAGTTCCACAGATCTCTAAGGTAGGGGCAAAATGTTACCAGTTTCTTTGCTAAAACATACTGAGAGTCACCTTTATTCCAGTTCTCAATAAGTCCTCCTCTTCATCTGAGACCACCTCATCCTGGACTTCATTGACCATATCACTATCAGCATTTTGGTCAGAGCCATTCAGCAAGTTTCTAGGAAGTTCCAAACTTTCCCACATCTTCATGTCTTCTTCTGAGTCCTCCAAATTGTTGCAACCTTTGCCTGTTACCCAGTTCCAAAATTGCTTCCACATTGTCGGGTATTTTTATAGCGCGGTGCCCCACTCTTGATATCAATTTACTGTATTAGTCTGTTCTCACATTGCTGTAAAAAAAACTGCCTGAAACTAGGTAATTTATAAAGGAAAGAGGTTTAATTGACTCACAGTTTCACATGGCTGGGCGAACACAGGAAACTTACAATCATGGCACAAGGTGAAGAAGCAGACACCTTCTTCACAATGTGGCAGTTGGGAGAATGAATGCAGGAGGAGCTACCAAACACTTACAAAACCATCAGATCTCGTGAGAACTGACCTCACTGTCATGAGAACAGCATGGGGGAAACCACCCCCACCATGATTCATTTACCTCCATCTGCTCCCTCCCTTGACATGCGGAGATTATGGGGATTATAATTCAAGATGAGATTTGGCTGGGGACACAAAGCCTAACCATATCACATATACTAGAAACTGTGTGTGTGTGAGACAGGGTCTTGCTCTGGCATGCAGGCTGGAGTGCAGTGGCATGATCACAACTTACTGCAGCCTCAACCTTCCTGGCTCAAAGTGATCCTCCTAACTCAGCCTCACAGGCAGCTAAGACCACAGGCATGCCACCATCCCTGGCAATTTTATTTTTTATTTTAATTTTTTTGAGAGCTGAGGTCTCCCTTTTTTGCCCAGGGTGGTCTGGAACTCCTAGGCTCAAGTGATCCTTCCAGTTAGGCCTCCCAAAGTGTTGGGATTACAGGCATGAGCCACAATGCCCAGCCCTGAAAACCTGTAATTTAGTGTTGGGAATAATAAAGATATGAAAAAAAAATGGATTTTGTTACCACCTTAGGGCACATTCTAGAGTTTATTGTGTTTATCAGTTTCTCACAACTTAAGTGGAAACGGTCTTAACAGTGCTTTGACAGACTGTAGCCTTGCAGGGGGAAACCTAATGTGAGATAGTTAACCAAATACACACCTTGGTGTAAACTACTGAGCTACCTCCCAGAAGGGAAGCTGCTATCTTCCTGAGGTGTGCTAGATTGGGTATCACATAAATGTTTTGTCTCCCCTTGAGTCTGTTCCCTGGGAATGGATTGGGTATCATTATGACATAGGAACAGCTGAAAATAAGGGAGTTACAGATGATTTTGAATATCAGACAGTAGTAACAGGTATGTATAAAATGATAGATGATAATATTAAATTTTGATTATACAGCAATAAATTTTTGTTGTAGAAAAATTGGAGAATACAACAAATGAAAGAAAAAAACCTTGTTGGAAAAATTTAATCTGAAAAAAGAACTAAAACATTTTGAACTTTTATCACTATTCTTATCCTTTTATATTGTGTTTTTCATTGAAGTATTAAATGTACATAGTTTAGTTGATAGCTGTTTAAGACTTGTTTTGAAAAGTGTCAGTCTTTCTCCCACTTCATCCCCCCACTTCTCCCTCTTGGAGGCTTGCTTTTAGCTTATTATTTTTGCATTTACCTCCATGTTCTTAACAGCATTCTTGTATTCTGATTTCTTGATTTCTCAGCTTCAGGTATCTTTTGATTTCCATTGTGGCACTTGAGGATTTAGTTCTTTTTTCTCATCCCCAGGAATGTTTTTGTCCCCCCATTTCCCTGGTATAGGTATTTATAACATTGCTTAGACTAGTATTCTAGTATTCAGTGTTGACACATTAAGACTGAAAGTGCATGTTAAGATTCACAGTTAAGCCATGTAGTAATTGTGACTACTTTTACTTTATTACTTTTGGTTTTCCATGAAATTTATGTTTTTCTTTATTGTTTACTTTTCTGTTAACTTCTCACTAATTTATTTCAAATTGTAACTTGTCCTTATTTACTTTCAGGAAAGTCAGACACTTCAAGTATTCTATTATCTTCATATTCCTGAAGATGTGTTCCCATCTGGACTGGTTGCCTACTGGTTTTATGTATACCTGTTATCCTGGGACTTCCCTTTACCAGCACCTTAGAGATATTCATTACCTCTTTGTATTGGATTACCTGTTTTTTAGATTTCATGTCTTCTTTCTTGGTTTAGTCTTTCATCTTGGCAGAACAGGTTCTCCAAGTAGCTGCCTGTGAAAGGGTTTATGTAAGTTAAACTTTGAGATCCTAATAGGCTGAAAATGTCTTACTCTGTTCTTACTCTTAATCGATTGTATGGTTGGGTATAAAATTTAGCTTGAAATTTTCCTTTGGAATTTTAAAGGGAAGTTCCATTGTTTTCTAGTTTCTTCTATGCTTCCTGCATTGCTCCTGAAGACCTAAGCCATTCTGATTCCTGATTTTTCATGTTATCAGTTCTTTTCTTTGTCCCTCAGCATTAGACATTTCACAATAATGTGCCTTAATGTGGTGAGGTACTTGATGCTGAGTACTTGAGGAATCCTTTCCATCATTGTGAGTAATTATGAACCCCTGCAATCTGGCAACTACTTTTGCATTATTTTGTTGATGACTTTCTCCCCTCCTTTTTTCTTCCTTAGTTTTCTCTTGAACCTTGTTATTCAAATATTGAACATTTTGGACTGGTCTTCCAATGTTTTTCTCCTTTTCTATTGCGTTTTTCATTTCTTTGTATTTTTTTGAGCTTTTCATTTCTACTGAGAAAGCATGCTTGTGCTTGCCCTGTATCACCTTTTAGTCTTCTTTTTTTTTGGTAGCATACTGCTCTTCTTATTTGAATATTTTCTCTTATATTTCTGAAAATAATAATGATTTCTTTTTCTCCAGAGGTTTCTTCTGCCTGCATAGTCTCTATCAGGAATTGACTACATAATTTGCAGGGCTGAGTACAGGATGAACATGTAGAGTCCCTTGTTCAGCATTTGTTAAACAATTCCACTACAGGCTGGGTGCAGTGGCTCACACCTGTAATCCCAGCACTTTGGGAGGCCAAGGTAGGTCTATTGCTTGAGCTCAGGAGTTCGAGACCAGACTGGGCAAAATGGTGAAACCCTGTCTCTACAAAAATAAAAAAAAAAAAATTAGCTGGGTGTAGTGGTTCACACCTGTAATCCCAGCACTTTGGGAGGTAGAGGTGGGTGAATCCCTTGAGCTCAGGAGTTTGAGACCAGCCTGGGCAACATGGCAAAACCCTGTCTCTACCAAAAAAAAAAAAAAAAAGCCTAGCACAGTGGCACATGTCTATAGTCCCACCTACTCAGGTGGCTGAGGTGGGAGGATCACTTGAACCTGGGTGGTTGCAGTGCATTGAGCTGAGATCATGCCACTGCACTACAGCCTGGGCAACAGAGCAGGAACATCTCAAAAAAAAAAAAAGCCATAAAAGAATTTCAAGACGGCAACAGCAGAGCATTAAACCGATTTTCAGACTCAAAGTCCACGGCTCTGCATGACTGGCCAAGTCACACGCCTATAAAGTTGATCCTGCTCTCTTTTTTCCAACTTGTTTTTCTTGTTTTTATCTCTATCTTTTATGCTAGAGATGTCTAGCTGTTTGCTCATATTCAATAGTGAGATTCTAAAAAAACTGATTAGAAGCTCTGAATATGCAAGTACGGCTTATCAACTAAGCTTCACTGGGGGATGATCTGGCTGGCAAATTTAGACTGGGGAATTTTTCAGTATCTCTGTGTTTCTCCTTTTAGAATAATGGCTGATCAGATTTCCCACAGAAGTCTCTTCCAGTTTCCCCTCCCTGGAAGTCAAGGCCTTACTGTGTCAGCCTTTTGGGAAGGGGTAGAGTGGGCTCGGGTCAGTGGTGTGTTAGAGCTGGTTCATACTAGCTTATCAGAGCCAATTGTTAAATTTTCAGAAATTTTGCAAGCCAGTTGCTAAATGTAACAATTATTTAAAATTATACAAATTTGTAGTTAAATAAGTTATATAAAAAGCCAAGGTAAATGTAAAAATTAGCCAGGCGAGGTCGTGCATGCCTGTGGTCCCAGCTACTTGAGAGGCTGAGGTGGGAGAAGCCCTTGAGCCCGGGAAGGCAGAGGTTGCAGTGACCCGAGATTGTGCCACTGCACTCCAGCCTGGGTGACAGAGTGAGACCCTGTCTCAAAAAAAACAAAAACAAAAACCAAAAAACGGTAATAAATACTAAAAACTCATCACTTTCTAATTGTTTTGTTACATTTTGTTATTATGGATGCTCTCCTATTCTGTTTATATGGTGAAATACTGTATAGTAATATATACTGTGCATCTCTTCTGAACTGTGTTCAGTGACATCATTTAGTAGCTTGAAGCTGCCATGGTAAGATATTTATACCGCAGAATCAGCAAATACTACAAACAACTGCCCTCATTCTCCCCATTACCCCTTCCTTTAGCCAGCTGGTAAACATTTACCAACCCACCATGGAGTGGGATCTGGCATGCACATGTTCACTTAAACTGTCCCACCTTACATCGTGATCCCTGGTCCAGATAATCCTCTGTTTTAACCCTCTGCAAAGATTATCTTCAGCCTTGTGCAAGGGTAGGTATTTGCCTGCCTGCCTAAGAGTAAGAAAGGGAATATGGGAATTGGATTGCATTTCAGAAACATTTTCTATTAATCCCTCCTGTTTTATCTTCTACTTTTAATTTCTGAACGTTTTGTAAGAGAATGTTCCCTGATGCTTACCTTAGGGTTTGGCTTTATTGGGGGTTATCTGAGTTCTTTAACTCTTACTCATTTATTTTTCAGCTTTTAAAGTTTATGGCTATAATCTCCAGTTCTTTTTGACCTGTGAGTTTATGTCTTTACATTTCCCTAGGTCTTTGGGGAAGGATCAACAAAGAGCTATGTGTTTAGTCTACCATCCTTAACCAGAAGTCTGGGACATAATTCTTTATAAAAATAGGTAAATAACTTAAACAATTTAAGTTCTAAATAGGCATAGCCAATCCCCTGTTGGTTTGCAAGTCATATATATATATATATATATATATATATATATATATATATATATATATATATATATATATATATATATATATATATATGCAGTCAGTAACTTTTTTTTTTTTTTTTTTTTACTGATTCTGGGGTATTTTTCATTTCCTTAAAGAAGTAACCATCTATATGTGGTTGTTCAACTACATGACTTGTATTTTTTTTTTGTTTTTGTTTTTATTTTTAGAGACAGGGTCTTGCTATGTTACCCAGGGCTGGTCTCAAACTCCTGGCCTCAAGTGATCCTCTTGCCTTGTCCTCACAAAGTTTTGGGATTATAAGGCTGAGCTACTGTACTGGGCTTTATCAGTTTTTTATATTTTTTATATGGATGTATGAGGAGATAAGAAAACACACAAAATAGTTTCAGGTCATATTGTTTGGTCTTGAGAATTGGAACAATTAGTATTCCATTGTCTCTAATTCTTCAGCAATTCCAGTTGCCCATCAGTAGCTGGATCTGGTGACCTGGTCATCTCACTCGCTCTCAAGTAGGCATTTATTGCTCTGTTATCCAAGACTGGAAGATTGAGTCTTCCAGTCTTGTGACTGTCTCCATGGGATTTCATGTTATTGAGTTGGTTAGACTCTCATTGTGCTTAATTTCACACTAGGTCATCTCACAGTCCACTAAGTTCTCCTTTGTCTATTTGTTGATGGTTTTGTTGTTGATGGCCAGTGTAGAAGGGTCATAGGATATGAAGGTGGAAATTTAAGTAGGAAAATTTGCCTATTATTCCTATGGATTAAGAAGGGGGAATGTGGGTCTGTTAGGCACTTAAGAAACTCCTGGATTCCTTTATTGAGGAATGCACATATTTACACTTTTTTTAAAAGAAGATTTTTGTGGTTCAAGACAATGACAGCTGTATCTAAAAGAAATAAATACCTGTTCAAGTTTCTTTTGACACTGTACCTATCATACAGTGTACATGTGATCGATTTTTAGGTGAACCTTCTCTTTCAAAGTTGTGAAGATGGTAATTATTTTTAAAAATCCAGTATACAGAAATATCCAGTTGCCAAATTTTATTAAGCATTTATATAGAAAGGACTTCTGGCAACAACTTTTTGTTCTTCTTCTTTCCATTCTGTCCTTCTTCCCTCACTATGGTTTGTGTTTGAGTTGTTTTCAGTTTATATGATGACTCTGTATGGGTTAATGGCTGTTTTGTTTTTAATCCTTTGTAATTTTTGGTGATAACCCTGGGATTCTCTTTCCCTGAATGGGTGGCAGGAGAATTAGTCCAGGTTTTTTCATGTGATTGTATGCACAGGACCAACATTCTATATAGTGTGTGAAAGGATTTATTTTTCCTGAACTTTCTTTTTTTAGATGGAGTCTGGCTCTGTCGCCAGGCTGGAGTGCAGTGGCGCAATCTCGGCTCACTGCAAGCTCTGCCTCCCGGGTTTACGCCATTCTCCTGCCTCAGCCTCCCAAGTAGCTGGGACTATGGGTGCCCGCCACCACGCCCAGCTAATTTTTTGTATTTTTAGTAGAGACGGGGTTTCACCGTGTTAGCCAGGATGGTCTTGATCTGACCTTGTGATCTACCCACCTCAGCCTCCTAAAGTGCTAGGATTACAGGCATGAGCCACCACACCTGGCCAATTTTTCCTGAACTTTCATAGGAAACTCCTTTAAGGGTACAACTGTTAAATCACCTTGAAAGGCATATTTAACAAATCACCTTAAGTGAAAAAAAAAATGTATGCAATTGGACCGCCTCAGGTTATCCAGGTCCTTTAACTGCCATGCTTGCCATAATCTTTTCTCAAAGCAGACCTGCATCTACCTTGGCATTGCCTGAAGCGTGCATTTGAAAGAGGAAATCTACCAGCAAGGAGGGAACTCATTGGCATGGTTTGGGGAGAATTATGATAGGTTTATGATAAACTTGCTCAGGCGGTTGACTTTGTCAAGGCGACGGTGATTGTGTGCTTTGACCAGCAGCCTCAGACAAGACAAGCTCCTTTCTCAGCCTAGATGGGAAAGTGGTTAGCTGCCCAAAGCTAAATGGTAGGGTGAATTTTTTGCCAAACATATCAGCAGATTCTTTTTTCCTGTCTCTTTGCTAATACTGGGTGCTTTTAAAAAAATAAGTTTTGGCCAGGTGTGGTGGCTCACGCCTGTAATCCCAGCACTTTGGGAGGCTGAGGCGGGCAGATCACGAGGTCAGGAGATCGAGACCATCCTGGTTAACACGGTGAAACCCCGTCTCTACTAAAAATACACACACACAAAAATTAGCCGGGTGTGGTAGTGGGCGCCTGTAGTCCCAGCTACCCGGGAGGCTGAGGCAGGAGAATGGTGTGAACCCGGGAGGTGGAGCTTGCGGTAAGTCGAGATCTGCCACTGCACTCCAGCCTGTGTGACAGAGCAAGACTCCGTCTAAAATATATATATAAAGTTTTAAGGTGAGAAAGTTGAATAATTTTAATGTATAGTCATAGTCTTTGTTAAAACTTTTGTTAAATCTGGGATACTGTTGAGATAGCAGATGGCTGTTATAAAATGGGAACATGTCAGCTGTAAAAAGAAACCAATGTGGATTAAATCATAATTAAAAATACCTCTGGTTCACTAAAATATTTTTCCTTTGGGTTAAATATTAATTTTGTTATAGTTTTCTTTTTTATTCATCTTTTGAGAAAACCAAAAAATAAACAGTGGACACAGAGAAAATGACCAAGGGTAGCTTTGGAATTCCTTCATTCAGAGACTTTTTAGAATGTGGACTTTCCAAAGTCAAAGAATCTTAAAAATAAGAGTTACTTGTAAAAGCAAGGCTGATATGGGCGGTTTTTTTTTTTTTTAATTCAGTGACTTGTCAAAAAATAGATGATACTTATCAGGAATATTTGGCCATCTTGTAATATAAGGAATATCAGAAGGATATTGTCCACAAATGCCTTAAAATGGCACGTGCTTTACACATCCCACACCCCCCACCTGCAAAGAACAGATGCCTTCTATTCCCTGGCTCCCTTGCATTGTTGCCCAAAGTAGTTACATATGACCTTTTACTGAGACAACTTGCAATGTTTCTTTTTTTTTTTTTGGAGACAGGGTCTCCCTCTGTTGCTCAGGCTGGAGGGATTTCAGCTCACTGCAACCTCTACCTCCTGGGTTCCAGTGATCCTCCCACCTCAGCCTCCTGAGTAGCTGGGATTACAGCCAAATGCCACCACCCCCGGCTAAGTTTCATATTTTTTGTAGAGATGGGATTTCACCATGTTGGCCAGGCTGGTTTCAAACTGCTGACATCAAATGATCTGCCCGCCTCAGCCTCCCAAAGTGTTGGGATTACAGGCGTGAGCCACTGCATCCAGCCAGCTTGCAGTGTTTCTGACTGGTCCCAGTGCTTAGCTCAGTACCAAGGCACAGTAGGTTTTCATCTGTCGAATGGAGAAAGTGAATCAATACCTATTTGCCTCTTATGTCCATTCTCTGTAAAGCTGCCGCAGGGATCTGTCAAAAATACTCATCTTTAGTGGACCTCAGATCCCTACAGTTTTGCCTTTCAGATGCTTTTCCGTTTAAAATTGTTTTTGAAATTATACAATTTAACATGTATTTGTGATCAGAAATTCAAACCACATTGAAATAGCTGCAAAAAAATCTCTAACTTGCCTCCGCAAATATCCAGTTTGCCAGTTATTATATAAGACATCTTTCAGCTGGGCGTGGTGGCTCACGCCTGTAATCCCAGCACTTTGGGAGGCTGAGGCGAGCGGATCACGAGGTCAGGAGATCGAGACCACGGTGAAACCTCGTCTCTACTAAAAAAAGAAAAAATTAGCTGGGCGTGGTGGCGGGCGCCTGTAGTCCCAGCTACTTAGGAGGCTGAGGCAAGAGAATGGCGTGAACCCGGGAGGCGGAGCTTGCAGTGAGCCGAGATCACGCCACTGCACTCCAGCCTGGGCAACAGAGCAAGACTCTGTCTCAAAAAAAAAAAAAAAAAAATACAAACAAGCAACAACAACAACAAAAAAAGACATCTTTCTGTGTATTTGCAAACTACATATAGTCTTTTCAGTTTTTACACCAATAGCAGCATTATGCTAAAGTATTGTCTCTCTCCTCCCCCACCATTGGCTTCAGTAACTGATTTAATGTCATGGAAAATTTTAAAAAACAATTTATATATTTTTGATGAGACGGGGTCTCGCTCTGTTCCCTAGGCTGGTCTGGAATTCCTGGGCTCAAGTGATCCTCTCACCTGGGCTTCCCAAAATGCTGGGACTACAGGCATGAGCCACCATGCCTGGCCAGTGTCATGGAAATTAACCTTTTGTGCATATTGCAAATATTATTGTCCCATTCTTTTGCTTGTGTTTTAACTTTATGGTGTCTTTTTTCCAAATAAAAGTTTAACGTTTATATTTAGATATGTCAGTAATTTATATCTTTAGGAAGGAGGAGTTACCCAACTAAGATTATAAAGCATTCTACCATATTTGACAGTGTTGGATTTTACATTTTACTCAGTGTGCCATTAAAAATTTTTTTACTAAAATTATTTTTTTGGCCGGGCACGGTGGCTCACGCCTGTAATCCCAGCACTTTGGGAGGCTGAGGTGGGCGGATCACGAGGTCAGGAGATCGAGACCATCCCGGCTAACACGGTGAAACCCCATCTCTACTAAAAATACAAAAAAAAAAAAAAAAGCAAAAACGGGCATGATGGTGGGTGCCTGTAGTCCCAGCTAGTCGGGAGGCTGAGGCAGGAGAATGGCGTGAACCCGGGAGGCAGAGCTTGCAGTGACCTGAGATCACACCACTGCACTCCAGCCTGGGCGACAGAGTGAGACTCTGTCTCAAAAAAAAAAAAAAAAAAAAAAAAAAAAAAAAAAATATATATTTTTTTTTTTTTTTTTTTTTTTAGAGACAGAGTCTCACTTATGTTGCCCAAGCTAGTCTCAAGCTCCTGGCCTCAACTGATCTTTCCTTTTTGGCCTCCCAAAGTACTGGGATTATATGCGTGAGCCACCCCCTGACCTGGCCCCCCTTTAAATTTATTTATTTTTTATTTTTTTGAGATGTAATCTCGCTCTGTCCCCAGGCTTGAGTGCTATAGTGT
The DNA here is from genome assembly GCF_000001405.40 of Homo sapiens. NCBI lineage: Eukaryota > Metazoa > Chordata > Mammalia > Primates > Hominidae > Homo > Homo sapiens. Next base: position 55,323,446 of record NC_000014.9, read on the forward strand.
GATCTTGGCTCACTGCGGTCTTCGAGTCTGTGATTCAAGTGATTCTCCTGCCTCAGCCTCCCGAGTAGCTGGGATTACAGGCACGTGCCACCACGTCCAGCTAATTTTTGCATTTTTAGTAGAGACGGAGTTTCACTATGTTGGCCAGGATGGTCTCAATCTCCTGACGTCATGATCCGCCTGCCTCAGCCTTCCAAAGTGCTGGGATTAAAGGTGTGAGCCATGGCGCTTGGCCAAAAATTTTTGTTTATGATGTAGGCCTGTATCTTTTCACTCAGAGATCCAGTTTTCTCAATTTATTCAAACATCTTGCATTTCCCATTTACTTGATGTCTTCTTAATCATTTGAGGTTCAGTTTATTGAACCACTTATTTCTGTACTGCTGCCATACTGTCTTGATTACTATAGCCCATTTTGGGAGTTGTTAAATTTTTCCCACTGCTGATGTTACTGATTTATTTAAAAATTTAGATATTAATCACATACCACAAAATTCACCCTTTGAAAGTGTACAGTTCACTGGTGTTTAGTGTATTCACAAAGTTGTGCACTTATCACCACTGTTTAATTATAGAACATTTTTGTCACCCCCATGGGTGACAAAATGGGTAACTCCATACCCATTAGCAGTTACCCTGCATTCCCTCCTCCCCCCCAGTGGTTGCCCTAGGCAACAACTGTTGTACTTTCTGTCTATAGAATTGCTTCTTCTGGACACTTCATACAAATAGAATCATATAGTATGTGCCTTTTGTTTCTGGCTTCTTTCACTTAGCATGATGTCTTCAAGGTTTATCCATGTTGTAGTGGATATCAGTACTTAATTCCTTTTGATGGCTGAATTAATATTCCATTGTATACTTGTACCACAGTTTGTTTACCCATTTATCTCTTGGTAGACAGAAGGGTTGTCACCACCTTTTATCTATTCTGAGTAGTGCTGCTATAAACATTTGTATATAATTATTGGTTTGAGATCTTTTGGGTATATACCTAGCAGTGGAATTGCTGGGTCGTGTGGCAGTTCTTTAAGTTTTTTTTTTTTAATGTTGATGTTTTATCTCTTAAGTTTATTGAGGTTACTGTTAGACTAGACTAAATAATTTTTAATTTGTTGGTTTAACTTGAAAGCCCCACATAACATGTAGTTTGCAAGTAATGATAGATTTTTTTTTCTCAGTAATATGATAGCTGGCATCTTTATTTCTAGCTCTGTATAGGACTGTTTTTAATATTTTGCCATTGTGTGTATGCTATTTTCTGTTTCTGATGGGTGCCTTTTATTAAAGGAAAAGAAGTTTTCCTCTATCCCTAGTTTGCTAAGAATTTTTATCAGGAATAAGTGCTTGTCTTAGTCTGTTTGGGCTGCTATTATAGAACACCATACACTGGGTGGTTTATATACAACAGAAATTTATTTGAACAGTCTGGAGTCTGAGAAGTCTCAGATCAAGGCAGCAGCAGATTTGGAGTCTGATGAGGGCCTGCATCCTGGCACTTAGATGATCATCTCCGAAAGGACGAGTGAGCTCTCTGGGTCTCATAAGGGCACTAATCCTATTCACAAAGGCTCCATCCTTATGACCCAGTTGTCTCCCACAGGCCCCACCTCCAAATACCTTCACATTGCAGATTAAGTTTCAACATATGAATTGTGTCCTGGGTGTGGGGGAATGAACATTCAGTCTATTAATAGTGCTGAATATTATTATTTCCCTATAAGAATTTGTTGACATATGGCTTCTTTAATCTGTTATATTTTAGCAGCATTGGGCTTGCACAGTACTATTTGCCTTAGTTGGTTCTTAGTTACTTTAGTGGATTTTTCTTCCCAACCAGACTGTTGCATAGGAACCTTCTAGACTTATAAATATTTTAATGTGATTTGTGTGTTTATGGGCAATCTGAAAATCTGTTCTGAAAGATCTGCAGTGCTAAGTTGTGATGGTGTAGAGCTGTACATGTTAGAATACAGTCTAACATGTTTATTTTCTTTGGTCCTCTTATTCCCTTCTTTTTTCTTGTAAACTAAATTATTTTTTTTTTGAGATGGAGTTTCACTCTTGTTGCCCAGGCTGGAGTGCAATGGCGCGATCTCGGCTCATCGCAACCTCCGCCTCCTGGGTTCAAGCAATTCTTCTGCCTCAGCCTCCTGAGTAACTGGGATTACAGGCATGTGCCACCACGCCCGGCTAATTTTGTATTTTTAGTAGAGATGGGGTTTCTCCATGTTGGTCAGGCTGGTCTTGAACTCCCGACCTCAGGTGAGCCGCCCACCTCGGCCTCCCAGAGTGCTGGGATTACAGGCGTGAGCCACCATGCCTGGCTGTAAACTAAACGATTTAAAATCTTGTTATTCAGAATCAAGAAACACACTCCTTTACGTGTTGTTTAAATGTACTCTATAATTGGTTCTGCTGCTCCTCCCACCTCGTTTCTCAGTTAAAAAACCAAAACTATAGAATGCTTGAATTTTCAGCAAAGTGGCAAATTATCCCCATTCATGGGGCGCTTATTACCGTGGTAACAAGGAGCCAACTCATTCTTGAAGTGGGGCAGGATTCTGGTCCATTGGTTTCAGGATCTAAAACAATCCAAATACCTTTTTTGTACACTTGACAGCATGGCCTATTCAAGGTGTTTCTAAACATCCTTAGCATACACAAAGCACAGCTGAGATAGTTTGTAGAGGAAGTAAAATCCCCCGAGTTGAGGTTCTGTCATATTACAAAGCTCTGAAACAAATCCAGTCTTTATTTCTGAAGATAATCACACAGCTTCCTATTAAGGTCCATTTCCCTCCCTCTGTCTCCTCCCCTTTCTCCCCATTCACATTAAAGACAACTAGTAGGGAAGATCTGGGGGACTAGATAATTAAATGAGGCAGAAGTAAAATGTGCTTTTTTAGACTTCGGCCGAGTTGCCTAGGTGAGGGCTGCAGGTAATCTTTGGTCTAAATATGTTGTGTTAGATTTTGAAGTGCCTTTTCTTAGGTCTTGCTGTGGGACAAGGTTGTTTGGGGCCTACATCTTAGAGATTTTCCTTAGCAGTTGTGTTTGAAGCTAAAGTCTGGAGGAGCAGGTTTGGTGAGGAGGAAAAAATCATAGATCAAGATGTGAGACTTGCTGTCCAAAAATGATTTTTAGAGAGCGTAAGAAATAAATTTCCCAGTAGCTCGTAATAGAGGGCAATCTAGTTTCTTAGCTTATGAATAGAATTTAAGAGTCCAGGAAAATCAAAGTATAATTCGTTTTGGATTAGTCAGATCTCTTGTTTATGGATACGATGATCAAAAAGAGCATTACATTTTATTTTTAGGAGAAGGAGAGAATTTCAAATGCAGGATAGAAAACTCTCAATAATACAAACTTTAGGGATGTTTTGATGTTAATGAGGACAAAACAGTTGGTATAATTTTACTTCCTAAAACAGCTGGTATAATTTTTATTCTGTATTTGAGTGTGTATAACGTTATTATTTTGGGCCTGTTAAATATGGCAGTGAACAAAACTAAGTCTGTTGTCTCAGAACAGATGATCTAGTGGAGAGAGATGTACCATGGACACATGTCAGAAAGGGGGAAAAAAGTGCTGCAGAGAATGTATAGCAAGGAAAAAGGGGAATAGGGAGTGTGGGGAATAGTACTATATGAGGACAGTCAGGGAGTGCCTCTCTAAGATGACATTGAGCAAAAGCCTGCAGGATGCAAAAGAGTGACACGGGTAAATATCTGGGGAAGGAGCAGAGGGAACCACAACATGTAAAGGCTCTGAGGTGGGATTGTGCTTTGTGTGTTCCAGAAGCAGCAAGATGTCTCATTGGAGCAGAGTAAGCAAAAGGGAGAGATTTGAGTAGAACATGAGAAAGAGAGGGGGCATCTTAGAAACCATTGAAGGGTGTGGTACAGAAAATGAGATGATGGAACTTCCCCTTTTATAAGATCACTCTGCCTGCGGAGTTTGAGAGTAGAAGCAAAGTGCAGGTGAGAAATGGTGGTGACTTAAAACAGGGTAGTAGCAGTGGAGGTGGTGAGTTGTAGTTTATTCTGAATATATTTTGAAGATAGAGCCAACAGGATTTGCATATGTGGTTTGTGAGAGGAAAATGGAGTCATTTTCCAATAGCATTAGCTATTGGGAAAAAAATGTTGCTGTTTACTAAAATAGGAAAGATTTTGGAGAGTAGTACTGGAAAGTGCATAGGGAATCAGGATTTTTACTTTGGACATGTTGAGTTTAAGGTGCTTGACATCCAAGTGGAGATTTCGAATAGACAGTAGCCCCTCTTATCCTTGGAGGATACGTTCCATGGCCTCCGGTGGATTCCTGAAACCTTGGGTAGTGCCAAACCCTATATATATTGTGCACGAAATCTTTTTTCATTCGCAATTTTATGGACAGAAGATTCATCCTTACCACAGATCTTAGCAACCTCGTCATATGATTTTCTTTGTTGTTGTTGGTTTTTTTTTTTTTTTTTTTTTTTTTTTTTTTTTTTGGAGACAGACTCCCACTCCATCACCCAGGCTGGAGTGTGGTGGTGGTCTCAGCTCACTGGAGCCTCCGCCTCCTGGGTTCAAGCAGTTCTCCTGCCTCCGCCTCCCAAGTTCTGCCTCGTGCCTCAGCCTCCCGAGTAGAGTAGCTGGGATTACAGGTGTGTCCCACCATGATCGGCTAATTTTTTTGTATTTTTAGTAGAGATGGGGTTTTGCCATGTTGGCCAGGCTGGTCTCGAACTCCTGACCTCAAGTGATCCACCTGCCCCAGCATTCCAAAGTGCTGGGATTAAGGCATGAGCCACCATACCTGGCCGATGTTTTTTGTTTATAAAGTCGAGAACTTTGATCTTTTCACTTGAAGGAAACACTATAAGGCTTCTCTTTGGCATATGTGAATTGGCCAGCATCACTACTCTTGCGCTTTAGGGCCATTATTAAGTAAAATAAGGGTTACCTTAACACAAGCACCGTAACAATAGAGCTGATCCCTAGAGATAGCTACTGAGCTACTGAGTGACTAACACATTGGGAAGCCTAGACAGCGTGGATGCCCTGGACAAAGGAATGATTCTCATCCTGCATGGGATGGAGCAGAGATTTCATCACACTTCTACAAATGGGGTGCAATTGATAACTTAATTGTTTCTGGAATTTTCCATTTACTATTTTTGGACCATGGTTGACCTTGGGTAACCAAAACCATGGATAAGGATAAACTACTGTATACAAACTTGTAGTCCTGGAGAGAGGTTTGGGTTAGCCACTTGGAGAAACACGTAGGTAATGTTTAGAGCTGTGAGATCCAGTCGGGGTATTCATTCCTAAACTGTTTGAGGTGCCCTGGGGTATTGCAGTGAACTCACAGGATATTTTAAATTTTCCAGGAAAACAGTATGATAGGGTGTGTGTTTGATGCCTGTGTTTTCAAAATGATGTTTAAGATGTAAGCATGTGTGCATTTTGTATTCCCATGGGGCTGGGTCCAGCTGTATGCCTTTGTGTATGTGTACCTAGTATTCTTCACAGAAAGTATAGTACATTAGCAAACAGTTCCCATTTTACTCAAATTGTCCCCCCCGTGTATCAATCAATCCTGTTGCAGAATGATTGTACTTAATGAGAAGTTCCTAGAGAGTGGAGTAGCCTAAAGGCCCAGGAAAGGGCTGAGGGAGATTTGTGAAAAATGTCTTTAAAACGTGGTTTATTTCTAAAATTCATGCAGCTGAGTTCTTTTCTCATATATTGTCCCAGTCTTAAAATTGTTTCAATTTAATTTTATAGAATGTTTGTTGCAGGAATGAATGTGTCGTAGACTCCTCTCCTTAAGATGTGTACTAGTTAACTTTGAGATGACTGAGAAAATTGGGGAGAATTAGTTGGTAATGGATGAGATCAGACATCTTTAGAAGGAACATACTGCAGTAAATCATCTAGAAAGCTTTAGAACAGTCAAGGAAACTAGTTCAGGCTTAGAATATGAACACTTAGAAAGTTAAAAATGCATTCAATTGTTTCACCTGAAGAAAGTGTGTAATAAACCAATTCAGTAATCTTAAAGGATGTTTCACCAGGTTTTATGTTTCTTGACACTTGAATCACTCCTTTTCTAAAGGTTTAACTTTCTATTCAGTAGTATTTTTGAGGAGTCATCTGAGTTTGTTTCTGAGATTTGCAGGAATTGGGTAGAAATGGTGGAATAGGATTAAAATATCTGTGGACCTATTTTTTAAAAACAGCATTTTGGCTTGAAGTCCTTTTTTTTAAGACCAGAAAGAAAATTTCACAGTAATTTGATTTCTCTGATTAAATTTGACTAGCATATTGAATATTTTCTCTTAGCCTCTTTAAGCCTTACTATTCCTCTTTTCCTAATTCCGTGCCAGGAAAACTATCAGCTTTCAGTGGTGTTTTCTTTACCTTTTTGACTAGCGTTTTTACATTAAGATAAAATATATATATATATTTTTAAACTGCTTGACTGGCCTGTTTTTTTGTTTCTCTACTACTGGTGTTCCTCTTCCTCCTTTTCTGTCTTCCCAAATGAGGACCTGTGGAGGGCATTTATCTGTAGTTTTAGATTTGTGCGTTTCTGTAAGTGTGCAAGGAATTTAGAGTTCAGTGGCATCAGATAGCCATGATGTCACTTTTCTCTTCCATCCAAATTTAGTTTTAGTTTTGTAAACTTGGGAAATACTACACTTAATTGCTAACAAACAGCGACTTAAAAATCTGACATTTTAACCTGATTGGTGGGTGTTCTTTCCACATACTTTCCCTTTTAAGTTTTTTTTGTCTCCGTAAGTGTTCTTCTAAATTTGTTTCAAATCTGTTTTAGGAATGGTTTGAGCACACACCAGGATCAGATTCAGTTTCAAAAAGATCTTTCTTTTTGTGCCGTTTTGTTTCTCTCTGTTACCCTGATGTTCTCATCCCATTCTGGATTTGTCATATAAATGGGTGCACTCATACTATATTCTTTTTGTGGGTTTTATTTTTCAAAACTTTTTGTTCTATGATCTGCATGACTGTAAAATAGCTTTCCGAAATCTTATGACTAAGTCATTTGTGGTGATTCACACCTGTAATCCTAGCACTCTGGGAGGCGGAGGTGGGAGGATTGCTTGAGCCCAGGAGTTCAAGACCAGCCTGGGTAACATAGTGAGACATCTCTACAAAAAAAATTAAAGTAAAAAAAAATTAGCTGGGAGTGGTGGTATATGCTTGTGGTCCCAGCTACTTGGGAGGCTGTGGTGGGAGGATGGCTTGAGGCTGGGAGTTCGAGGCTGCAGTGAGCAGTGATCACGCCACTGCACTCGGCCTGGGCAACAGAGTGAGACCCTGGTTCAATCAATCAGTAATTTGTGTATGGCACACACATACCTTGCTCCCTTTTTTCTCCATAGCCTTTTATATACTGTGTACCTTATTAATCTGTCTCTCAGCTAGAACATAACCTTTTCTATGGATGGAGATTTTGTGCTTTGTTCACTTCTGTATCCCCAGTCTCTGAAAGAGTGCTTGGTACATAGCAGATGCTCAGTATATATTGAGTGAGTGAATAAAAGATCTGTTTGATAATTTAGCTCCCAAACTGTGGGATTTGAATAGGAGAAATGATTGCTTGAACATTCAAATTAGAGACAGGAAATTTTTTTTAGACTTGTGAAACAGAAGAAAATTCACCAAGGTTACAGATTGGGCTTCTATTATAATACCCTGATCTCTTTAGGCCCCACTAGGTAGTTTCAATTTGAGCACAATTCCAGTGTTGCATATTTGGAGGAGACTGGCTAGAAATTTCTCCCTTCTTTGTGGTTTTTATTGAATTTCTCTGGTAAAAATATATTAATGGCTTTTCCTATGCCACTCTCATCCTCTCCTGCACTGAATAATTTCTGTTCTGGAGTAGTAGTTTGTAAATTTGAGTAAGGTATGAATTATATCCAAAAGAAGAAATGTATTGAGGTTCTTCAGTATAGATGTAATTTTCTAATTTCTATGTTACAAATATATATGCAGCTATAAAGAGCAAATAAATACATAACACCTCAATATTATTTTGATATTAATTTGGTTAGAGTTTGGAAAACTAAATTGAGGCGTGATATATATATATACACACACACACATACCAACATGGTGTGTGTGTATATATATAAAAAAATATAAAATATATAAAAATATATATAAAATATATAAAAATATATATATACCAACATGGTGTGTGTATATATATATATGTGTATATATATATATATATGTATATATATATGTATATATATATGTATATATATATGTGTGTATATATATATATATGTATATATATATATATATACCACCATGGTGTATATATAAATATATATATATATACACCACCGGGGTGTATATATAAAAATATATATATACACCACCGGGGTGTATATATAAAAATATATATATACACCACCATGGTGTATATATAAAAATATATATATACACCACCGTGGTGTATATATAAAAATATATATATACACCACCGTGGTGTATATATAAAAATATATATATACACCACCGTGGTGTATATATAAAAATATATATATACCACCGTGGTGGTATATATAAAAATATATATATATATACCACCGTGGTGGTATGTATAAATATATATATATATTTAAATATATATATAAATTTAATATATAACTCATTCTCACTACTTTTCTCCACTTGAACTGCAACTGGAATCTTTGATCACACATCTTCTGGCTTTCATTTTCATTCATTAAATCAGGTTTGCTAGCACATTGGAGCATAGTAGGTGTTAAATCGTTAGTAAATGCACGAGCTCTAAAGTACATCCTTTTTGATTATCCTTGGGCATTTTTCTCACCTATACATTCCATACATAGTAGCAATAATTATGGCAAATGTTACTGTCCTTCAAAGTGTCGTTATGTAAAAATGAACTGATTTTTAAAAGGTCTGCCTAAGTGTGAACCGAGGTCTGGAGCTATCACCTCTTCATAAGATCCCAGGTAATGCAGATTAACTTCTGTTTTGCATCTGGGTAATGTTTAATTATTTGTTGATTATTGTAGAAGTGTTTTTGGATAAAAAGCTCTTTCTCAGATTGTCTTTTACTTTGCTTTCTAAAACTAGGAGGGAAGTATAATACATGATGGGACTGAGTGTTAGTATGGACATATTGTCAAATGTTTTCATAGGGAGAACTTGGTGTACCTCATTATTTAGATTTTTTTATAACTTAAAATGTGGTATGTTTTGAACTTTTAGTTTATCAGAAAATGTTGACTTTTGATGTAATGGCTACTTCTGTAGCTACGGTGATCTTCAGCAAGTTTCACTTTCTAAACTTTTATCTTTTCTGTGCAGTGGTTGCAGGTTGTGAGGTATGGAGATACTGAGGGGTACGAGGCACTGTTTGTGGTGACATGAGAGCCACTAGCGGACAGAGACTGGGGAGAAGGATTGATCAGCTGGCGCATTAGCCCCAAGATGCAGGTGAATTTGGGAACAGAAAGAGGGCCAAATGAGATGTTTGTGAAAATACTTTGTCGATTTAAAACATTCCTTCCAGCTCAGGTGCTGTTATGTTTAGGGAAGATGTGCGTGTTTTCTCTTTCTAGTGGGCTATTGTTAGCTACAAGGTGACCTTGCCTCCTGCTTTGAGGGAGAAGGAAAAAGCTGGACCCACAAGACACAAATCCCAGCAGTCTGTGGTTACTGCTGGAATGATTACTGTTCTTTATTTGTACTATTAGTTGTCTCTAAGATTGGTAACAGGAAAGTGAGAATAAGCTTACTCTCAGAAATTTTTGTTGAGGGAGTTTTGTATAATTTCTGACTATTACCACATTCCCCTTTACTTCGACCCTCTTGGTTTTGCTGTTTGCTGTGCTCTAGTTTTACCATCTAATAACCCAGCACTAAAATCTGATCTTGGGTATCAGATTCTCCTTTGTGGTTTGGTTTGTTAATAATTGAAGTACCTAATGGTTCTGGGTGTGAACTGTGCATACTTGACAATCTAGAACCAGGGAAGTGAGTTTCCTATTGAAGTAATTAATAAAACCTTGTGGCTCTTAAAAATATATAAAAACTGTTACACAGAAATAACCAAAATGTAAACTTAACAGGATATAGTTTAATTATGTTTTTATAACATAAACCTTAAAGATAGAAGTATTTTTAAGCTTGTTGGTGTCCTGTTCCTTTCTAGTTTGGGTGTGTAGGAGTCTTTTTTATCAGGAATTTTGTTAGTGCTAATGCTGGGGTGGCTTTTTTTTTTTAAATCTATGTAAACATGACCCTATTAGACAGCTGTGTTTAATGTAGTAAAGACTCATGGGGAGACTTTATAGTGTTTCTTGTTGGGACTTAGTGTCTGTATATTTTAGTATTTAAAGGATGTGGTTTGGTGCTTTGAAAATGAGAGGGAGGTCACCTAACTCATAGCTGAATGCCTGCGTGTCTAGATTGTTCCGTCCTGGAGGTTATTAACAACATGAAAGTTGTTTTTATTCTAGTTAAACTGATAGTATTAAGTTAAATAACTTTATTGTGGAAGTGTTTGTTTACACATGGCTGCTGAGTAGAATTTTCCTTAAAATCTGATTACATAGGAATGTTTTAGTAAATAGAGTGCTGGAAAAAAGCTGCTACACAAGCCAGAGCCTGTTGTGCTTTGCAGAACAGTAACCAAGATGAAGAGTGGCCTCTTTTTCTCCACCTTTTCCACCGCTCATCTCAGAGAAAGCAGGGCGCTAATCAGGTGGAGCTGCTTAATTGCATTAAGTTCATGGGCTGCTCAAGGGTTGATTAGTCAGACTCATAAACTTCCAGTTATGAGATGCTTGCTGACTGGCTGGTTTAAGTCCTTAGGGTTTGATGCACATTCACTCTAATGAGTACTTACATGTACAGGGCACTGTGCTGTGTGCCCTGTGATGGACACAGAAAAGAATAAGATTACTTCTATCTTGAAGACAGGGTAGAACCTGGGAAGTGTCCCAGGGTAGAAACTGGGAAGGCACAGTTCTGGGAATTCAACGGAGGCATGTAGTTAGTAGCCATTGGGTAATATTGATGGGGTGGGGGTGGGGCAGTAGATGTGATCTGGGCAACGAGGAGCCAGTTGGAGAAGTGGTTTCAGTAGTTGCAGTGGGTAAAGCATGATAAAGATGCTCACAAAGCAGAGAGGAAAAGTAAAATTGACAGGATCAGGCCACTGTGAACATGAAGGGCAAGTTAGAGGAACTCAGGCGGAAGCTCTTCATCAGGAGCCCTGGAGCTTTCCCCAAAATCCTACCAAAATCACTTATGTATGTGCTTTGGTATTTTTGGGTGGCAGAGAACTTAGACCTTTTCTCACATGTTCGGAAGGGTCCAGCATCCAAAAAAGATTGACCACTGCTGCGCTGAGTTTTCATCCATTGGTGACAAGATGGTCAGACTTCTAGAGAAATAAGGTAGTTTTGTGGTAGAACAAACTCTTCCTTGTGGGAGGTATAGTGGGATTTGGGGAATAGGGTTTATGAAATGGTCCCCAGAGTGGGATGGCTTGCCTTTTCAAACTGGGTTTCCCACCCAGCAAGTTAAGTTGACCCATTGCAGTGGATTGAGTGGAGGGCAGGTGAAGGGCAGGTGTTTTCAAGTCAAAGGAGTTCAGGTGAAGGGCAGGTGCTTTTAGTCAAAGGAGTTCCTTAGCATTATTTCCTCCTTTATTTGGAGATCAGATTGAAGATGTAGGGGACTAGAATGCAGTTGTAGTTTGTGGTGTTTACTTTTTATGGAAAAGTGCCTCTTATGTGAAAAGTCTTCTGTGCTTGATCCTGGGGGTAGGGGGGTTATAAAAATGTCATACCTGGGATCCTGCCCTTAAGGAGTTGATGGTAGGTAATGCTTTCCTTTGGCTTTTTGTTCATCTTGAGTCTGTGTATGTTCAGTTATCTTCAGCCATTTCCTGGGCAATGGGAAACATTTCTGTTAAAACAAACTTCTGACTTTGATCTGTGACTTATATTTCTTTTTAGATAATGAAGAACCACTGGGATTAGAGGGTGTATAAAATACAATAATAAGTATAGTGTATGTAGGAACCTCTGTACAACCAATTTGGTGACTTTTAGGCAACTCATTTGACTATTTGACTGTTTGTTACATGAGTGTGCATTTGGCTTTGTTTAAAATTCCTCTATAAAGCACATTTTAAAAAATGACCCAGTACTTAGTATATAAGATGAACTGCCATTTGTATAATTGATCATTTAAAAATGCTTATTATACTTTTAATCAATCAGTTTCCATGTTTATGAAATGGGAATAATTATTATATCTAGCTCATAGAATTGTCCTGAAGATGAAATTTATATCCATATATACATAATGAAGCTCTTTAGAGCAATGTATAACTACATGCCAACTGTTCAAAAAATATTAATGGCTACATCACTATTAATATTTTAAAATTAGTACTGTCATTTTCCCTTCCTACATGACTGAATGTAGGAGGTGACTATTTTTGTTATAAAAGGATTTCCAATGAGATACCTTTGAATGGTAAAATTTCCTATGCATTTATTTAAATGTTTATATATATATGTCTTTAAAGTATGAAAGTTAAGTGCACTTATACAAGGCAGATTCAGGTACTAATTAAACTGCTCATTTAGATTACAGAATGAGGGACTGAAAATTATATGTATTTAATTAGGAATTGGATTGATTGGTCTTGACTGCTGTTGTCTTTCAGTTCTTTTTTATTGTTATACTTCCCATGTGTTTGTCTCCTTTTCTTTTTATCTTTTAAAAATTGCTTTCTGATTTATTTCCTGTTCAGTTTTCAGTAATGGGTGTAGAATAGGGCAAGAACTTATGTTGGTGCCCGTTGTTTGAACCAGGAAGGAGCAACTGCATCAGACAGCCTGGGGCTCAGTTGGGAGGGACTTCAGATCAGTCCCTGCAGAGCTGCCTGGCCCAGGGAACCACTGAATTCCAGTTTCCTAACTCCAAATCGGACAGTTTGTGGGTCTACACTGTATGTACATAATGAACATTTTAAGGCTCATTCATCCAGTGTTTTCCACATGCTCCCATTTGTTTAGTTCTCCTTTTTAAAAACCAATAATTATGGAAAAATTTAGCTATGTACAGAAATAGTAGTGAGAAACCCCCCACTTAGCCATCATGCAGCTTCAGCAGTTGATCATCTCATAGCCAGTCTTGTTTGCTCAATACTCCCAACCATTTCTTTTCTCCCATTTTATTTTGCAGGAAATCCCAGACATTATATCATTTAATCTAAAAGTATTTCAGGATGTATCTGTAAGAGATGAGGACTCAAAAATGCATACACACATTTTGAGAACTTCCCAGAAATGTAAAAAAAAAAAATGCTATACACATATAGAATATATACATGCACGCACACACACACACACACACACACACATATATACTATTTTATGGTCTGTCTGACTCAGAATCCTATGTGGTGTGTTTGGTTGGTAGGTCTCTTCACTCTTTTTTTTATTTTATTTTTTTTTTTTTTTTGAGACAGTCTCACTCTGTCGCCCAGGCTAGAGTGCAATGACACTATCTTGGCTCACTGCAACCTCCACCTCCTGGACTCGAGATCCTCTTGCCTTAGCCTCCTGAGTAGCTGGGACCACAGATGTCCACCACTGTGCCTGGCTAATTTTTGTATTTTTAGTAGAGACAGGGTCTCACCATGTTGCCCAGGCTGGTCTCTAACTCCTGAACTCAAGGGATTCACTCACCTTAGCCTCCCAAAGTGCTGGGATTACAGGCATGAGCCACTGCACCTGGTCCATGCTTATGGTTATATTTTAATGCTATTTTCTTCTATTCTCTAGCATTTCTCATTCTATGGAACAATTTTTTGTAAATAAATCCGTTATAAATTGACACCACAACAGTATATCTGTGCATGTTCTCTTCCATGTGTTCTGTATAGTTGTACCAGCCTTACTCTTTGATAATGTCATCGTCCTCAGGCCTCCGCTCAAGACTATCATATTCAATTTTTGAAGTCTCTTTTTGCCAAAAATAAAACTTGAATGTTTCTAATGATGGCTGCTTTTATTGCTAAGTTGATTTCAATACATTAGAAAATTACAGATTTGGAAATGAAAAGACTAAGGAATTGATGCATCTCTCTCAAATGTGCCTTGAGGGCAGAAATTCCTCAGTTTTGTTCATGCTGAAGCCGCAGGCTAGCACAATATCCGACACTTAGAGGGAAGTTAAATATTTGATAAACAAATGAATTTAATTTTAAGTAAGGTGTCAAACTTGAGGCATCCAGAATTGAACCTGAAGCCACAGTTCTGCCTCCTTTCACAGTCACACATCTTATACTCCACTTACCACTTGAAGATAAGCTTGCTGAGGAGTACCCTGCCATGGGCCCTTCAGAATCTCCTTTCCTCATTGCATAGTGTAGTGGTAAGAGCGTAGGCTTTGACTCCTGACCGCACACATATTGAGCTCTATGATATGCTTCCTGTGCGAACTTAGCAAGTTTCTTAACTTGCCTCTGATTCAGTTTCTCCATCTACAATTGGAGATAAGAGTATGTACTTCTTTTTTTTTTTTTTTTTTTGAGATGGAGTCTCGCTCTGTCGCCCAGGCTGGAGTGCAGTGGCACGATCTCAGCTCACTGCAACCTCTGCCTCCCGGATTCAAGCAATTCTCCTGCCTCAGTCTCCTGGGTAGCTGGGACTACAGGCACGTGCCACCACACCCAGCTAATTTTTTGTATTTTTAGTAGAGACGGGGTTTCACTGTGTTAGCCAGGATGGTCTCGATCTCCTGACCCCATGATCTGCCCGCCTCGGCCTCCCAAAGTGTTAGGATTACAGGCATGAGCCACTGCGGCCAGCGAGTATGGACTTCTTTTATGGGTATTGTGACCTTGATCTTTGTAAGTTCCTTAAGCCATCTCTGATTCAGTTTCTTCATCTACAGTTGTAGATAAGAGTATGTACTTCTTGGGGTTTTATGGGTATTTTGAGCTTAAAACAGTACCTGGCACATAGTAAACATTGTAGAGGTATTAGAGCTGTTATTATTCTAGAATAAAAACAAGTTATTCTCCTCTTACTCATTTTTACCTTTTATCTCTAGCTCTACCTTGGTTTCTTTTCTTAGGCCTAAAAACAGGCCAGGCGTGGTGCCTCACGCCTGTAATCCCAGCACTTTGGGAGGCCAAGGTGGGTGCATCACAAGGTCAGGAGATCGAGACCATCCTGGCTAACACGGTGAAACCCCATCTACTAAAAATACAAAAAATTAGCTGGGCATGGTGGCAGGCGCCTCTAGTCCCAGCTACTCGGGAGGCTGAGGCAGGAGAATGGCGTGAATCTGGGAGGCGGAGCTTGCAGTGAGCTGAGATTGCGCCACTGCACTCCAGCCTGGGCGACAGAGCGAGACTCCATCTCAAAAACAAAAAAAAACAAAAAAAAAAAAGCCAAAAAAAACCCCCCAAAAAAACCAGTTCTCTAAGATACAAAATCCTTGCCATAAAACTTGCACGCTTGTCTTGCTGGTAGCAGTGAAAATTAGCATTATCCCTTTGGAGAGTGGTTGGGCAAGATATATCCAGTTGTGAAAATACACTCTGACTCAATAATTTCACTTTTGGAAATATTTTCTAAGGACATACCCTTAAATGCATAGGAGACAGTATTCATGAAAATGTTACAATGTCCAGGTTTAGAGGGAATGGTTAAATATATTCTGGTACTTACACATTTACAATATTGGTTTTGAAGACTATGTAATATGGAAAATGTCTCCCTGTGATAAAAAGTACATTGTATGTACAATATGATCATAACCATATTAAGTAATATATACTGACATTCAGGAATTTCCCTAGGGTAGGACTTGTAACTGCTCCTTTAATCACCTGCCCCCCCCCCCAATCCTGGATCTATGCTAACCTGGTTCCAAAGGCCCAAATTTTACCTTGAAACTAGGTGCTCTGTATCCTTTGTCGAAGCCATTATCCTTTTTATATGGCTTTAGGAATTCCAAGTTTTGTCAGATTCTTGCAGAATAATACACAACAATGAAGATTCCCTCTGTGTACTTAAGGAATAGTTGTGTTTGGAGGATAAGACAAATACACCAGATAACATTACAGTTTGGGCTCTTGGTGCCCAATGATTGATTTATCTATAGTATAGATTTATTTCTCACAGTACCTCTTGGAATGCTCATTTTTAACCCCAATAGTTAAATTTGCCTTGGTAAGCTACAAAAACAGGCACCAAAGCAGCAATGTTTTTTAGTTTTCTGTTGACCATAAATCTCGTTTCTTTACAAGTAGTAATTCTAAACAGAGTATACCTTAACCAGCCAGTGCACATACTGCTACTTCAGTCTTGGTTCAGCAGATCTTAGAGGCATGTGGTAGAAGGAAGAATAGTTACTCAACAGGTGAGCAGGCAGGACAGTGGTTTTGGCTTTCTTTGGTAAACACTATGGGGCCTATTTCTGAAGTAATTCCCCACCCCCTTCACTCCCACTCAGTATTGCTGACAGAAGTCTTAACTTGCCAAGTCTTTTGTCTACATTGATGCTATAAGCAAACTATTATTTTTAGAGACCAGGTCTTGCTGTGTTGCTCAGGCTGGACTCAAACAACTGGGCTTGTAGCTACCCTTCCACCTCAGCCTCCCAAGTTGCTGGGAGTACGGGGGTGTGCCACTGTGCCTGGCTTGCAAGCAAACTCTTTTGCTTGGTGCACTAATACTTGTTATCCTGAATTTTTACCAACGTTTGCTTGCTTTTGAGACCAGGTCTCTCTGTTTCGCCCTAGCTGGAGTGCAGTGGCATGATCATAGCTCACTGCAACCTCTAACTCCTGGGCTCAGGCAATCCCATGGTCACCTCCCAAATAGGACTACAAATACAGGCCATCATGCTTGGCTTTTTTTTTTTTTTTGAATGGGGGTGGTACATAGGGAACCTCCCTGTATTGCTCAGTCTGATCTCGAACTTTTGTGCTCAAGTGATCCTCCTGCCTTGGTATCCCAAAGTGCTGGGATTACACATGTGAGCCACCATGCCTGGCTGGCTCGTAATTTTTATTTTAGCCTCTTTTTTTCTTTCCCTGGGGTCAAGCCATTTTAAAATTCAGTTACGTATAACTGTGTTAATGGGCCAGCCTGTGCCCAGGTGGCATGTGTTAGGTACTTGGCCTAAGATCATTGTCCAGCCAGGGATTTGTGTGTGTGGTGGCAGATGTGTGCGGTGTCAGGTTGCATTTATACTCTAGAATTAGTAGCTGTACTCTTATTTTTCATATCAAATGTTATTTGACACATAATGGATTTTTGAACTGGATTCAAGGCTAGCCTTGGAATCTTGAATATTATCCCTTAAGAGAGAGCCTTTTGTTTGAGTTACATTTTGGTCAAATAGGGCACATATTAAAGCACTGATCAACTCTTTGAAAGTACTGCAAGTGATGTCAGAAATTGCTATTGCCTTAAAAATATTTTTAAAAAATTTATGTTTACATAAAAATACATGTTAAAGAAAAAACTGATACTTGTTAAAGGTGGGCAAAAAAGACTATTCAGGACCATCGCGATAAGTATAGGGATCACTGCAGCGGGGTCTTGCAGCAAAGGAAAGAGGTTGGGCTCAACTCCAAATACATCATGGGCAAGGAGCAGGATAGGGGTCAGTTGAAGGTAAACTACTAAGAGGAAACATTTGGAGTAAGGGGGATTCTGGCTAAACCCATCTAACAGGATTCTTGCTGAAGACAAGCCAGGGTGATCAGACATCACCTGGGGGATGGTGGAAAATGAAGAACCTGATCAGATATTGAAGATGGGAGGGGGTCTTTTGCTAAAACTGGATTTTGTGAGAAAGTGCACAGATGGGCCTAGAAGAAAGTTTAGAATCCTTACTCAAGTTTGGCCAAGCAAAGGATCTTTGTCATATGGAAAAATGATTGGTTTCAAAGTAAAAGCAAGCATCAGCCCACTCAAGGAAGTAGTGGTTTGCTATGCAAAGGGATAGGAGTTTTATTTTCCTTCAGTTTCTGTAAAAAATATTAGAATAGGTAAAATATGCAAGAGAGTTGTTAATAGGAACTCCGAATATCTGAAAATCCTTGGAAATTAAATTTTCCTGGTAATGCTCAATGTATTTTTCAAAATGTATTAATTTTTTTGGACTTTAACTTTTTATGAGGTTTCATCTGCATTTTGTTGTTCATTCTAGTGGCATTTACCACTGGTAGGCTTTTCATTTGCCTGCTTAGCAGTAAATGTGATATGCTGGAGTTTTGTGGGTGTTTGGCATTATGTCATAGGAGCAATAGGAAATGACTACGGATTAACTTAAACATCATTAAGTTTAACAAAATGGAATGCTTTATTTTGTCTCTATCCTGAAGTGTTATTTAATAATTCACAACAGCTTAAGCAGAAGTTCTTTCCTCCAGGCCCTTCTCTTCCCTCCCTACTCCAACAAAAGTGGGCTGGGGAACTGTGTAAATTTGCATAATATTACTAATTCACTATTTTGTAATACTGTCAAACTATTAGGTGTTGCATTTATTGCGAGCACAAAAGAAAACCAAAGTGTAGTGGCTGTCATTCCCAACTTGTCAATATTCCTTTTTAATATGTTCTGGATACTTTGTTGTCCCATCAAACTTATCATAGACCTTTCTCTACCTTCTGGAAGTTAGCTTCATTTGGTCAATATTATAGATAACTTTGAAGCAGGTAGGTGCTGTATTTAAATCCCATTGTGAATTCTAAGATGGAAGCCGTGAGCAGTTTTTGAAAACCATACATGTGTTTCCAAAGGCCATTCTATTACTCAGTATCCATTAACAGACAATAAAGGACTTTTCTGTCGTTCGCCACTAACCCTAACCACCCAGTCCTCATAAGGCAAAATTAAGAAGTTACATGAATTGATTTTAGAGAATATTCCCTAAAAATAAAAGGGAGTGGACTGCCTCCCCGAAAAAGTCATCCCCCAATATTTTGAAAGTTAATTTGAGAAATACTGCATTTTCTGACCGATAGGGTTATTTTTTCTCCCTTTTTTCCTTTTTTAAAAAAGGCATGCTGTGGGAGTTGGATGCATTTTTTCTGTCAGTGCTTAGAGACATGGAGGGGGAAGTCTTTTCTTGTGCCTCTGCCTATATTCACACCCTCCTGGTCTTGGCATTTTTTCCAATTTAATAGCCATTGAAACAGCCTTTTATATGCTTTTAGATTAGTATGGTTTATGTGATCTGTCTGCCATAATGCATCACAGCTCTGTGTAGTAGTTTTATGTGGCACTTATTAAAAACTGACCTAGTTTGAAAGATAAAAGCTCTTGGAATAGATGCTGTCAGAATTATTTAATTTTATTTGCGTCATAATTTATCGTAGGTTTTCGATATATCATCCTTCATAGTGGGGAAAGTATAGATCCAGGAGACTGTATTTCCTATCTAATTCTAATCTTAATTTTACCACTGTCTAGCTGTGGGGCTTCAGAAGTCACTTTATTTGTGCTTCCTCATTTGTAAAAACAAGGATTTCATTATATATATCTGCAGCACTTTGCTGAAGTTGCTAATCATTTGTACAATGGTCCAGTGAAGAAGGCTGTCATAAGATGGTCTCTGGAAGCTTTTACAGTTTTTAAGACACAAATGATGAATTTTCTTACTGTATACTTTTTTCCTCTCTAAAGGTATTATATAATGAGAAGGGGCCTTTGTATACTATTCTATTTTTATTCCTCCGATTTTTTTTTTTTTTTTTTTGGTCTCCCAAGACGGAGTCTTGCTCTGTCGCCCAGAACTAGAGTGCAGTGACGTGGCCTCAGCTCACTGCAACCTCTGCCTCCCGCATTCAGCAATTCTCCTGCCTTAGCCTCCTGAGTAGCTGGGATTACAGGCGCATGCCACCACACCCGGCTAATTTTTATATTTTTAGTAGAGATGGTGTTTCATCATGTTGGCCAGGCTGGTCTCGAACTCCTGACCTCGTGATCTGCCTGCCTCGGCCTCCCAAAGTGCTGGGATTACTAGCGTGAGCCATGCCCCCAGCCATTATTCCTCCGATTTTTATAAATAAAGAGTGGCTCTTATGCTAATAAGTGACTCCTTTTTGGAATTAGCATTCCTGTGCCTTTACTGAAGCAGAAAGAAACATGAACTGTCGTATCTTCTAACTTGTTTTGATAAGCAAGGCTGAAGACTAGCAAGTTAGAAAACTGGCATCTGCCTTTGATATTGTGGCTTCCTATTAGCACTAAGAGAAATATCGTCCTTTCTCCTTTTCTGACCACGTATTGTCATTCGATTCTTCATCAGGTTTACCCCTCTGTGGACAAGAGTTAGTATGACTCTTTAGGTGTTAGGATTTATCCAAGTACATTTTTTAAAAAGGAAAGTTTAGTTGTCTTTTATGGCTTCATTTTGGGGAGTGTATACTGTCTTTAGGTGAGAGTTTTCTTTTCTTTACTTTTTTAAGCTGAACTTAGAGTCTAAAAGGAATACTGGAATTATTGAATGCAGGATTTGGGCCTTTACTGGAATAAAGTTGCTCAAATTATACCTGGTTCACTATTCTATCTCCCCATAGACCTGGAAAGGATTTAAGCTGACAGGTATGTTGAGACTGTCCTTCATAGCCAAGCTTAGTGAGAGAGTCGCTGTAGTTGGTGCTCACCCTCTCACCTTCTAGTCACCCCTCCATCATGAACTTTTGACTTCTTGTCCACTGTACTTCCTCACAGCAGGGTCACCAGGGGTCTTTATCACCAAGTGGGCACAATTCTTTATTTGACCTTGCTGCTGACTGTGCCTTCCTTTTACAGACTTTTTTTTTTTCCTGATTATGAAAGTAATACATGGTCATTGTGAAAAATTTTGGAAAAAGAGTTGTTATCTCTATCCAGAAAACTTTCTCCTCATTGAAATGTTTCTGTGACAACTGTCTTCTTCCTTTCCTCCTGTTTCTCTTGACCAGACCTGAGTCATTTCGCCTCCTGGATATCTCTGTCTTGTAGGCACTCAAGCCCAATGTTAATTTTTGTGTATGTGTATTTTTTTTTTTTTTTTTACTTTAAGTTCTGGGATACATGTGCAGAATTTGCAGGTTTGTTACACAGGTATACACGTGCCATGGTGGTTTGCTGCATCTATCAACCTGTCATCTAGGTTTTAAGCCCTGCATGCATTAGGTATTTGTCCTAATGCTCTCCCTCCCCTTGTCCTCCACCCCCACCACCCACCAACATCCCCAGTGTGTGATGTTCCCCTCCCTGTATCCATGTGTTCTCATTGTTCAACTCCCACAGTGAGAACATGCGGTGTTTGGTTTTCTGTTCCTGTGTTAGTTTGCTCTCCCCATGGGCTCTCACAGCACCCTGTGCTATCCTTCTGACACGTATAACATTTGTTGTAATTGTCTGTTTGCTTTTCTGTCTCAAGGGCAGCAACGATGTTTTACTCATATTTATACCAGTGTCTAGCCCAGAGCGGCTAGGACATTTCTGATAATAAACGGGTAGGGCTGGGTGTGGTGACTCACTCCTGTAATCCCAATACTTTGGGAGGCCAAGGTGGGAGGCTTACCTGAGTCCAGGAGTTCAGGATGATGATGGGGTCAAATGATGACCCCAACATTTATTAAAGTGAATTTACCTCTGCCTCCCCTGCTCCAAGTATGCTCAGCCACCTGTTGCCATCTCACTGGGAGGCATCACTCTTCATGTAGTTGCTGAAGCCATAGATGAGGACCCATCCTTGACTCCTCTCCCTCATCCTCCATTTTCAGTCAGTAGTTAGAAACCTTCTTGTTATTCCTGTGAACCCATTTACTTGTCATCTCTCTACTCTTAGCACCTTAACTTAGACTCTCTTTATTTCCCACCTACCTGAATTTCCTAAAAGCATCATCCACTTTTGAAGGCTTAGGACTTTGCGTATCTTCCCTCAGGGCTTAGCTTAGAAAATCAGGACTTCTCTGACCTGTTCCTATACCCTCAGGTGAGCTTGGTGCTGATGTCCCCTTCTCCCTCTTCATCCATACCTCTTCCTTCTTCTCCCCGTCTCCCCATGGGCTCTCACAGCACCCTGTGCTATCCTTCTGACACATATAACATTTGTTGTAATTGTTTGCTTTTCTGTCTCAAGGGCAGCAACTATGTTTTACTCATATTTATACCAGTGTCTAGCCCAGAGCGGTTAGGACATTTCTGATAATAAACAGGTAGGGCTGGGTGTGGTGGCTCACTCCTGTAATCCCAATACTTTGGGAGGCCAAGGTGGGAGGCTTACCTGAGCCCAGGAGTTCAGGACCAGCCTGGGCAACTTAGTGAGACCCTGTCTCTACAAAAAATTTTTAAAAAGATTAGCTGGCCATTGTGGCATGTGCTTGTGGTTGCAGCTACTTGGGAAGCTGAGGTAGGAGGATTGCTTGAGCCTGGGAGGTTGAGGCTGCAGTGAGCCAAGATCACGCCACTCACTGTAGCCTGGGTGACAGAGGAAGGCCCTGCCTCAGAAAGAACGAAATTAAATAAATAAAAAATGAGTAGAAGGAAATGAACATTTGTAGGTTGGAGGTTAGTATAAAAAATCTGATGCTACATGTTTTATGGTCTTGGTCTTGGCTGCCTTCAAATTGTATCTTAATATAATTGGCTTTCACTACCTAGTCTAGTAGTCATGGTTCTGTGAACAAGCTTTCAAAGTGTGAAGTATGGTAGAGCAAAGCAGGAGTAAAGCTGTCAGGTTGGCTGGAATGGGCCTCAGCACTTTGCTTGTATTGATAGAGGTTAGGTTTTCCAATAACTGATGACAGTGTAGCAGAGATGACTAGGGCAGTTGTGCTAGGGATAAAGAGTGGCACAGTTTAGTGACTTGGCGATGAGATGTGGGGATCAGAAAGGAGGAATCTAAGTGACTCAAGCTTCTGGCTTAATGGACTAGGTATACTTGAGGCTATCATTAACTAGTAGTGTTGATTTTGAGATTCTTTTTGATATCCAGGTGAGTATGTCTACCAGGCTGTGGGATATGAAGTTGGGGAGAGTGTGTCACTGGAAATGTTTGAGTTAAAACTACAAGAAATCACTTAGATATATAGCTTAAGAAGAGTAGTGGTCTAGAAACAGAAAGAACTCTGAAGAACACTGATGTTTAGGGGCTGGGGAAGAAGAGAGCTGGGAAGTCTATGTCAAAGAAACTGAGGAGCTGGTGGTTGAAGAGGGAATTTGGCAATAAAAAGGCCATTTGACCTTCAGCTCTAGAAGCCAGGAAATTAAGAGAAAAAAGGCCGTTGAGTTTATTGTGTTTTAAAAAGAAAATATCAAGAAAACGGGTGTGTTTTTACCCAGCCCTTAGATGAGATGCTTCAGTATGGACTGTCTGCTTGGCATTTTGTTGGGCAGTTCCACCTTACCCGTTAGTAGCCCAGCACCCCAGTCCACATCCAGAATCCTACTCTTACATTAGATCTAACACATGACCTCTAAAGTCCCTTCCAATTTCAACCTAACATTAAAAACAGATTCTGGGCCCAGTCTGAGAAATTGTGATTCAGCGGGCCTAGGGGATCTTAATTTCTTCTAAGGGCCTTTCTGAGAATCTGAAGAACATTGATGTGTAGGTGCTATAAACCTGCATTTTACTTTATTGCAAGAGAGCAGGACTTTATTATAGCAACAGTTTAAAATACAATTGTGATGAAGAGGTTGGCAACCATGGAAACCTAGCTGGAGCTTTACCCCACCCATGCCTGCCTTTGTGTGTGGGGGTGACTTGGGGGTGGGAAAGTGCCACCATCTGTTGTAATCTGTTGGAGATTTAAAGTTTTTGCTTTATGGATTTTTGCAGCAGATGCCCTTTGCTCCCTGCATTATATCCTCTCAGGCCATCACTGGTTTCAAACAAAACTTAGATTTTTGTAGTTTCTCTGTGTCTTGCCAACAGCTTTCTATTTTCTGCCTCAGGGCTCTCAAACCCAGCAAATGATGGGGAAAGGCTAACCTCAGGCAACCTTCAACCAGTGAGGGATTGGAGCTGGTGCCTAAATGTCCTGCTTCTTTCAGGGGTCTCACAGAATCACCCCACTTTGCAGCAGTCACCCTGTGTGTCCTTACTGGCTATTTTCCTTCCCTCACGTCTGTTCCCTGGGATCACCTCCTATTTTAATCTTGCTAAAATCTTGCACACAAAGTGTTAGTTGAGCTGACTTTAAAGCTGGAATGCAAATAAAAGCCTTCTGTAATTACATTAGTTTCTTTTTAATGTCCCTCTCTATCAATAATAGCACCTAAAATAATATATGGGGGAAGAAGTCAAAGAGAACATATTGTGCAATGCACAATGGCGCACATATTGCTAAAGTTTAAATTTATTCATAGATACTGTGTAATGAGATCATTATGTGAGAATTTATTGGGTTTTTCAACACTTCCATTTCTTTCATTTAGGAATGGGGTTGAACGGATATGAAAATGTAGAAAATAGTTGGCACAGAGAGCACTAGGTGTGCCTCTTTTATTCATTTATATGTCATCCGTTCTTGAATTCTGGGTAGCTCTATTTGTAAGACTATACAGTATAATGATAGAAAGCTATTAAAAATGTCACAGTGCAGAAAGGGGGAAGATCTCTACAGATGATTAGGCTATAAATTGCCAAAGATCAGAAAGACCCTGATAAGATCTGTTTCAAAGGTTTTGTTTGGTTGGTTGGTTGGGTTTGTTTGGTTGGGTTTTTTTGTTGTTGTTGTTTTTGGAGACAGGGTCTTGCTGTGTTGCCCAGGCTAGAGTATAGCAGTGTGATCATAGCTTACTGTAACCTTAAACTCTTGGGCTCAATAGATCCTTCTGCCTCAACCACCCCATTAGCTGAGACTACAGGCACGTGCCGTCACACCTGGCTAATTAAAAAAAAATTTTTTTTAGAGATGAGGTCTTGCCGCGTTGCCCAGGCTTTCCTAGTTGAAGCATACATCTTGGACAGCTCAGTGTATTCATCCTCGTTTGCTCCACATTTACTGAGTGCCTGCCATATGGCAGCCTCTATGGTAACTGTTTTCAGATACCAGTTTTAATCACTAGGAATAAACTTGGTCCCAAACTCCTGGCCTCAAAGGGTCCTCCCACCTATGCCTCCCAAAGCACTGGGATTATAGGTGTGAGCCACCATGCCTGGCTCCTATTTCAGGGGTAACTTTTAAAAAACACTTTGTATGCTTTAAATGCAAAATTTCTCTTTATCTGGCTAGAAGATATCAATATCCATAATTCTTTTATCTGAGACTAGAATGTAGGATTTAAAAGTTGAAGGTGAAAGGTAAACTTGTTCCAGACGATCACTTTCATTCTTGGTGATTAAAACTGATAACCTGAAATCAGTTACCACAGAGGCTGCCATATGGCAGGTACCCAGTAAATGTGGAGCAAAGGAGGATGAATATACTGAGCTGTCTGAGATGTATGTGTTCAGCTGCTGTCCCAGTGAGCAAGAGTAGGTGAAACTTCACGTGCTTAGACCTGTAGGTACTATTGCCTCACTCCCACCAAACTGGGACTGCAGATCTTTAGTTTCTAGGTTTATTTTGCAGGAGTCCAGCCATCCCTAGAAAACACTCTTTCCTCAATCCAGGGTGTTTTGTGTAGCAGTGGGCTGTTTTATGTAAATTGTACATTGACAAGTTCATTAGGTTATCTAGTATTTCAGCCCCTCAGTTAACATTTCAGCTGAGACCGAGAGAGGAAGTGACTTGCCCAAGGTAAAATCACCATGTCTAGATAATCACTGATATGGCAGGGACTGGAACACTAGTCTCTGCATGTAATCATCTTTTTGTCTCGTTTCTGAAATAGCTCCCATCTCTACCCCTGGCCAAGGACCAAAACAAGGCACCATCTTTCTGAACTAGTTTAAAATGGTTTTAGAATTAATAAGGACTGTAGGGTCTATATTTAAGATGGTTACAGGAAATTCGACAGTTAAATGTTTCTACACATAGATTATTTAGAAAATCAAGACTAATAGATGGGCAAAGTACACAGGAAGCAAATGAAAAATTGTAAACATCTAAATATTCAGTATTCAGTGGTATGGGAATAGTTTAGGAAGCAATAATTTTCTTTTTTTTTTTTTTTTTTGAGACAAAGTCTCGCTCTGTTGCCCAGGTTGGAGGGCAGTGGTGTGTGCGATCTTGGCTGCAGCCTCTGCCCCTAGGTTAAAGCAATTCTTGTGCCTCAGCCTCTCGAGTAGCTGGGATTACAGGCACGCCCCACTACGCCCGGCTGATTTTTGTACTTTTAGTAAAGACAGGGTTTTCCCATGTTGGCCGGGCTGGTCTTCAACTCCTGTCCCCACGTGATACGCCTGCCTTGTCCTCCCAAAGTGCTGGGATTACAGACGTCAGTCACCATGCCCGGCCAGGAAGCAATAATTTTGATGGGCTGTTTGCAACTAATAAAATGCGAATTGTGATGATTTAGAAAGGGTGTTTAAAAATCTAGTAGGGATCTTGGAGGAGTTCTTTTTATACTTTCCTTTCTTCTGTACTATGCCTAATACTTAGTTGTTTTCAGGAAGTTCAGATTTTTTTTTAATTTAAAAGGTTAAAGTTTACCAAATGTTAACTGAAGTCAGTTTCTGAAGTTCTTCAGTCAAAACCAATTTATTTTCTGTAAAAAAAAAAAAAAAGTACTACACACCATATAAACTGGTAGCTGTTTGTTATTCTTGATATGTGCAGTAAAAACTATCATGAGAGAGTTGGTAAAGATTTAATGAACTGGTAGAACATGTTTTTCTTAGTTGCTAAGAACCATCTGAGCTTAAATTTAAAAACATTTTTTTCTAAAAACAAAATTGGTTTCTGAATCAAATGTGTATTTCTTTCCTATAGGGGCTTTGTTATGCACCTAAAGCCATATTGGAAGCTCCAGAAGAAAGAGCACCCCCCGGAAGTCAGCAGGGAAACGCAGAGAACTCCTATGAACCACCAAAAGGCTGTAAATGATGAAACATGCAAAGCTAGCCACATAACATCAAGTGTCTTTCCTTCAGCCTCTCTCGGTAAAGCATCATCTCGAAAGCCATTTGGGATCCTTTCTCCAAATGTTCTGTGCAGTATGAGTGGGAAGAGTCCTGTAGAGAGCAGCTTGAATGTTAAAACCAAAAAGAATGCACCATCTGCAACGATCCACCAGGGCGAAGAAGAAGGACCACTTGATATCTGGGCTGTTGTGAAACCTGGAAATACCAAGGAAAAAATTGCATTCTTTGCATCCCACCAGTGTAGTAACAGGATAGGATCTATGAAAATAAAAAGTTCCTGGGATATTGATGGGAGAGCTACTAAGAGAAGGAAAAAATCAGGGGATCTTAAAAAAGCCAAGGTACAGGTGGAAAGGATGAGGGAGGTTAACAGCAGGTGCTACCAACCTGAGCCTTTTGCATGTGGCATTGAGCACTGTTCTGTGCACTATGTGAGTGACAGTGGGGATGGAGTCTATGCTGGGAGGCCTCTGTCAGTTATACAGATGGTTGCCTTCTTGGAGCAAAGAGCCAGTGCTCTGCTAGCTAGCTGTTCAAAAAACTGCACAAACTCACCTGCAATTGTGAGGTTTTCTGGCCAATCCAGAGGTGTGCCTGCAGTGTCTGAGTCCTATTCTGCCCCAGGAGCTTGTGAAGAACCCACAGAAAGGGGAAATCTTGAGGTTGGTGAACCACAGAGCGAACCAGTCCGTGTCCTTGACATGGTAGCCAAGTTGGAGTCTGAGTGCCTGAAGCGGCAGGGCCAGCGTGAGCCTGGGAGCCTCTCAAGGAATAACAGCTTCCGTCGAAATGTGGGCAGAGTATTGCTTGCAAATAGCACTCAGGCTGATGAAGGCAAAACAAAGAAAGGCGTCTTGGAGGCACCTGACACTCAGGTGAATCCTGTGGGGTCTGTATCTGTGGATTGTGGCCCTTCAAGAGCTGATCGTTGTTCTCCTAAGGAGGACCAGGCCTGGGACGGTGCTTCTCAGGACTGCCCCCCATTGCCAGCAGGAGTGAGTTTCCACATAGACAGTGCAGAGTTAGAGCCGGGTTCGCAAACTGCCGTGAAAAACAGCAACAGATATGATGTGGAAATGACAGATGAACTCGTTGGGTTACCTTTTTCCTCTCATACCTATTCCCAAGCCTCTGAATTGCCCACAGATGCTGTTGATTGTATGAGCAGAGAGCTTGTGTCCCTTACTAGCCGAAATCCTGATCAAAGAAAAGAATCTTTGTGCATTAGTATCACTGTGTCCAAGGTAGACAAAGACCAGCCTTCCATTTTAAACTCCTGTGAAGACCCAGTTCCAGGGATGTTGTTTTTTTTGCCACCTGGTCAGCACTTGTCAGACTATTCCCAGTTGAATGAAAGCACAACAAAAGAGTCTTCAGAGGCCAGCCAGCTTGAAGATGCTGCTGGGGGTGACAGTGCATCTGAGGAAAAAAGTGGGTCTGCTGAGCCATTTGTACTGCCAGCCTCTTCTGTGGAAAGTACATTACCAGTGCTTGAGGCATCCAGTTGGAAGAAGCAGGTGTCGCATGACTTCCTGGAGACCAGGTTTAAAATCCAGCAGCTTTTGGAGCCTCAGCAGTACATGGCTTTTCTGCCCCACCACATTATGGTAAAAATCTTCAGGTTACTTCCCACCAAGAGTTTAGTGGCCCTTAAATGTACCTGCTGCTATTTCAAGTTTATCATTGAGTACTACAATATCAGGCCAGCAGATTCTCGCTGGGTTCGAGATCCACGCTATAGAGAGGATCCTTGCAAACAGTGCAAGAAAAAGTATGTGAAAGGGGATGTGTCCCTGTGCCGATGGCACCCCAAGCCCTATTGCCAGGCATTGCCCTATGGGCCAGGGTATTGGATGTGCTGCCACCGGTCTCAGAAAGGATTCCCTGGCTGTAAGCTGGGGCTTCATGACAATCACTGGGTTCCTGCCTGCCACAGCTTTAATCGGGCAATCCATAAGAAAGCAAAAGGGACTGAAGCTGAAGAGGAATACTAAAGTCCATGTGAGAGGCAACAAAAGGACCGGTTTCTAAAGCTGCAAAACACCTAGATACACCGTTCAAATGAGCGTAGCCCCCTGAGTCATCACTCTAGAAGAATCTGTACATCATCAGGACTGCATTGCTCAGGCATTTTCTAAACTCTAAATTTACGAGCTGTACAAAAAAATTGGTCTTGTTGTTTATAGTGGCATCTCATGTTTGAACCCGGGTGGTATCCCACAGTTGGATTCAGTTGGCTGTGAATAACTGCCTGTTTTCCTAAATCAAACCCATCCTCAAAGGATGAAGACTCACCACCATCCAGGACATTCAGAAGAGTTCACTGCAGATGCTGCAGGTAGTCCTCAAAAATGGGTTCCAGAAATGTTTTGAGCACTGGCAACATATTTGAAATAAGTGAATATTGTCCTGTGAAAAGAATAGCAGGACTTTTAGATGAAAAGTATTCTTAAAAAGAAAAGTCAGGCACCCCACCTTAGACCTCGTATGCTTGATCCTGTGAGATTGATGTTTGTGGCTGGAGGTGGATTTCATGCCCTGTGGTGTTTACAGTGTATATAATGGTTGTGTTTTCATGGGGCTATGAAAGTGCACGTTAAACCTGAGCGCCTTTACCTTTAGATGAGTGCTTTGGCCCCTCTGTGAATAGCACGATTAAAATCCAGTTGTATATAATGGACAGCTAACGGAACAATATAATCACCACAATGCAGCTAGGATAGTGTTGCGGCTATAATTTTGTGTTTTTTTTTTTTAATTGTCTAGTCTTAAATTTGTACATCTTGTATAAAATATGAATGTTTCCCAAATAAACTATGAATGTTTCCTGTATAATATATGAATGTTTCTGAGAAGAAACTCTAAATAGTTGAAAGGCTAACCTGCTCAAAGGATACCAAATAATGGTTTAACTGGACAACCTGAAAATTAGCATAGAAAACAATCCTTTGTTATATTTTAGTGATCCACAAGATTGAGAAAATATTATATAGTTAGATAATAACATTCTTGTCTACTTTATCCTGTCTGGTTACAAAATTTTTTAAAACTTAAATAAAAACATGCATCTTAAATGGAACCCAAGTTTTGCAAAGATTTTTTCTCCTGTTTTGATACAATGTTGAAGAAGGTTCTTGTGAATTGAATCATAAGAATTTTTTAAATTGTTTTGAATTGTTGGAGATAAAGTGTTTTTTTCTGCCACGGAAGAGGCCATCTTCACTTAACATTGAAGTTTAAATTTTTGCAACCTGTCAGTTCTTCCGTTTGTTGTCTGTTCACAACCATTGTATTTCCTGTTCGAGTGACGTATTATCTAGGAGATTCTTACAGCTTATCTAGGCGTCATCATTTGGGAGTCACTAAGGATCTATTCAAGCCTGTAGCTGCTTAGTGCTTGGTGGGGTTGGGAGGTGTTGGACCCCAGAAAGCTGCTGTGGGTGGAAGATCTAAAAACTAGGCTGGCTTGAAATCGAGTACCCACCAAAAAGCCTTGAGACCAGTGTCGGCTGCAGGCTGTGGAGAAGGATGGTACGTGCTCTAGGGGAGGCGCTGTGCTGGGCTGATGTGCTTGGTGACATGGTAGGCTGCAGCCTCCAGGCTCATCAGATTTGTCTGTGACACGGGATCAAGAGGAGGCTGAGAATAGCTTTTCCTTCAAGAGTGTTTTTCCTTATGACTCACCCAGGTGAGGCATGTTGGAAAATGCTTCTAAATCCTAGCTGTCCCCTTGGTTGAGGTTTCCAGTGTTTGTCCTACTCCCCTTGTATTTGCTGTAAACTGGCCATCTCAGTAGTGCCTTCTTAATTGGTTTGTTATGATTCATAATTTAGGTTTAAAGGAGATCAACATAAAGGACCTAGAGTACAGCTTGCCTGTAGACGTCAGCTATGGCTGACATTGACTATGGCTCTACACTGGCCCAGCCTGGACACTGGATAAACAACTCTCTTGGTTGGTTTTCACAGATCAGCCACTCTTGATCTGGTTTTCATGTGGGACACAAAGCTGTGACTGCGTGAGGGGTTAAAGTGACCAAGAGCAGAGGGCACAGTAAGTATGTCCCAGCCCCAGTTGGCATGCAGTACTTGGGTCCCTCAGAAATCGCCGGTTATCTGTTTTGAACTATGTGGCAGGACCTGGTTCCCGGTGCTGTCTGCATGAAAGGTGGAGGATTAGCAGGTGGCATCAGAGGACACCCCCTCCCAGGGCTTCATTTCTAGGCAAGTGTAGCTTTCCTCTTAGGTGAAAGATGCTGTTCTTCAGGGCCCCCTAGTGCCAAGCTGGTGAAAACAGCAGGCTTTTAAAATGTCTCCAGTAGTGTGCCGCACTACCTGCTTTCCTGCATTGCTGTAGGATCACAGAATTCAAGAAAGGACATGATAGTGTGTCAGTGTGGGCACCAGCACCCTAGCCTCTCCCCACTGCACCCCTGCCCCCACCAAAAAAGAGAAAACCTCCCCCCTCAGCTTTTCTTCAGGGACTCAGTACACCTGGCTTAGTTTTTTTCTCTCCTACCTCCTACTTCAAGCCCTTACTTGATCATCTGAAGCAAAAACCAGAACCAGGGAAACTAGAGGAGGAGTCAGGGAGCTGCTGCTCCTATTCCTGGAGTGGTTCACCTCTCCCCTGCCCAGTGGATGGTCCAGACCCAAGGAAGGAGTGAATTGAAAGCTAAGGAGGGGCTCAGGTAAGAGTAACATTTGCTTTTTTAGGCTCTCTTAAATGACTCCAGGTTAAAACAGACATACGAGAGGACTGTTCAAACCCTAAGCACGTTGGTGGCTCTGTGCTTAGGAGATACCTCTTTTGGAACCCAACCCTATGCCCCTGCTTGGCTGGGTGCCTTTCAGCGCCCTCTGCACATCTGCCACCACATGCCCCTCTTCTTGTCTGTCACCGTATCTTTGGCCCTCCCCATCTGTAGGTTCTGCATCGCAGATTCAACCAGCCTCAGATTTAAAATACTCAGAAAAAAACATTGTGTTTGTACTGAACATACACACTTTTTTTCTTGTCATTATTCCCTAAACAATACAAGCATAACAACTGTTTACATTAGGTATTATAAGCAATCTAGAGGTGATTTAAAGTAGATGGGAGGCTATGCATTGGTTATATGCAAATACTAAGCCATTTTCCATCAGAGACTTGAGCATCTGCAGATACCGAGGGACCACTGTGGAGCTTGCCCACCCACTGCACTCAACTCAGAGGGCATCGCCCACAGTGCCTCACACAACACACTCTGTAAAATGTGTGCATTCCTCTCGAGTGACCATTTTAATGTGAGGAGTGCCTCCAGGACCTGACTGCTCTGGGCCATACCATAATTTTCTGTTTAGTATGAGAAACCTGACAGGGAGGTAAAGGGGTCTTGGAGGACCTTGTCCTCTGGCCATAGCTGGTCTCATGGGAGCATCCTTGGTGGAAACTCCCACTGCAGCTATGTGGGGTTTGCTCGGTACCTCTCATTGTGCATCTGGTATAACCTCAGTTCTGTTAGCACCAGTAGTAGCTCCCCTAGCAGCAGGCTCTGAGCCGGTGGTTATGTTATGACCTAGAGGTTCCCTTCCTGGGCTTTGTCCAATCACCGCTTCTAACTTGGACTTGTCAGTACCTTCGTGCCAACCTTTTTGGACCAGCTTGGGGCACTGTTTTTATGTGAGTGTTCCCAGGTATTTTCCATAGCTCCGTTCCTTCTTCACTCAGCAGACTGGCTGTTTGTCCTCCTTTATCTACAGCCTGATACAAAAACATGAAATTAGCCTGCACACTGCGAGCCCTTCTTTTGTGTACACCACCGACTAAACCAATGAGAGCTGATGTTATCTAGCTGTATGTCGGGTATGCCTCGTTTAAAGGCATTCTCTACTGTGCAGTGTCTGACACTTGGGGAATCTGATTGTTTCTGGGGTTGGTTTGTTTGTTTTGAGATGGAGTCTTGCTCTGTCGCCCAGACTGGAGTGCGGTGGTGCGATCTCAGCTCACTGCAACCTCAGCCTGCTGGGTTCAAGTGATTCTTCTGCCTTAGCCTCCCGAGTAGCTGGGACTACAGGCATGCGCCACCACGTGGGCCCAGCTGATTTTTTTATTTTTTTATTTTTACTAGAGATGGGGTTTCACCATATTGGCCAGGCTGGTCTTGAACTCCTGACCTTGTGATCTGCCCACCTCAGCCTCCCAAAGTGCTGGGATTACAGGCGTGAGCCACCGTGCCTGGCTGTTTCTGTTTTTTTGAGATGGGGGTCTCTCGCTTAGGCTGGAGTGCAGTGGCATGATCTCGACTCATTGCAGCTTCAACCTCTTGGGCTCAAGTGATTCTCCTGCCTCAGTCTTCCGAGTAGCTGCAACTACAGCTGCATGTCACTATGCCTGGCTAATTTTTGTATTTTTTTGTGGAGACAGTTTTGCCACGTTGCCCAGGCTGGGAATCTGATTGCTTTTATCCCCGTTTTTCCTCAAAAAAGCTAGTGTTGCAATCTTTGTGAGTTGGTCAAGGTACCTGTGTGGGAGATGTGCAGTCTCAACTGACATACATGTCATTTCCTGCCTGTCATTTGTGGCCATAGCTGATGTTTGCACAACCTCTTGGGAAGAGCAAACATTGGTGGTTATAAACCCTTGGGTAACATCCAGTGCATTTATACCAAACTGATGTGAGGAAAAGCACAGTAAGGTAGCATCACCATTCCAGGTGGTTGGTTTGACCTTAACAGTTTTAGGGGAGCAGAGCCAGTGTCTGGGAAGAACTGAAATGGAAGCAGAGATGGCAGTCCCTTATGTGGCAGCAGCCCATGTAAGAGGTGATGTTCCTCTATCTGCAAAGCAGAACAAAACCTTTTACCCTTTCTCCCAGAGGCCCCCTCAGCCAAGCATCCTTCAGTGAGCAGAGAACAGGCCTCAGAACAAACTCCTTTTGGGACCCCCCTCTCATTCTTTTTGAATTAAGGTGGACTTTTCCTTTACATACTGGTACTGAAGTCTCAGATCTGTTTATTAAGAAGTATGAAGGGCTCATGCCTGTAATCCGAGCACTTTAGGAGGCCAAGGTGGAAAAATCATTAAGCTCAGGAGTTTGAGACCAGGCTGGGTAGGAAAGTGAGACTCTGTCGTTGTACAAAAAATAAATGAGTGAGGCATGGTGGCACACACCTGTAGCCCCTGCTATTCAGGAGGCTGATGCAGGAGGACAGCTTGAGCCTAGGAAGTTGGCTGCAGTGAGCCATGATTGCATCACTGCACTGCAGCTTGGGTGACCCTGTCTCAAAAAATATGAAGATGTTGATAAAGTTCTTAAAAAACTAAAAATCAATTAGTTAAATAAAAAATAAAAAATCAATTAGTTGCCAAACATGAGTAAAATGGAAAGCAAGGTTGTATTTAATTGTATCTGTTCCCTCTCCACTGTGAGGCTGGATAATCTATTTGCATAACTTGAGTGTTTGCAGTCTGGTTCAAGGGTAGGGTTGGAGCCAGGCCTGGCCCACCCACCCTTCCCTATTCTGGGACCGAACTGTTGGCCTTCACTCTGCCCTTCCTCACCAATCCTCCCCTATACAGACAACGCAGCATGATTCTGCTACAGGGTGTGTGGCCTGTCTTGAGCAATACCCTTTCTCTACCAGCCCTTATTTTCTCTCCTAAGCAGAGATGACTTGGCTGCCCTAGTGCCTAAGCTGGGACCTCTCGTGAACTTTTCCTTTTCCACGGCCAGTGGTCTTGGCTTTAGGCCCCTCAGATTTCTAAGTCTGTGCTCCATGCAGGGTCTTGAAAGGAAACTGCTGCACACTTGAAATGAGTAAATTCAAGGATTTATTATAAGGGTGTAGATATAGGGACAAGCCCTTCCCAGTATTTGCAGGGCCCATGGCAGGAACACAGAGAGCCCTCCTGCAGCACATCCCCTCCAGCATCCTCCCACCCTCTGTACTGAGCCACGCCTCAGCCACTTCTCAGGACGAAGGGATCTGTCTGGAGGACAAAGCTGGGGAAGGGCTGGAGGTCCTGAGGTTCTGGGAACCTAGGTAATGGTTTATAAGGAGAACAAAGATTCTGGAACAGTGCCTGCCCCCTTGATCCTTCAAACTCCTTGCCCATGAAGAGGCGCAGGGCAGGAAGGCCAAAGGATTGGCCCTACTAATGTGCAGGAGCTGGTGCAGAGGCCCCAGCTGCCTGGTTGGGGGTAGTAGTGGGTGGGGTAGTAGTGGGCAGGGTAGTGGCTGCACATTAGAATCAACTGTGGAGCTTTTAAAATTCTCAATGCTCAGGGCACACCCTAGACCTATTAAATCAACCACTGGGGGTGGGAGCTCCCAGGTGATTCCAGTTGCAGGTGGGGTTGAGAACTACTGACACGTGTAATAGAACCACGGGGTGATTGTGGTTGGGATGATGGTTCCCAGGTCTGGTGGAAGGAGGAGGGTGGTTGCTGGGATGGGAAGGAGGGAGGAAGGAACAAAGACATGGCAGGGAAGGAGCCAGGGAATGAACACCTTGAGCCTCAAAGGGCCTGGAGACCACCGA
Organism: Homo sapiens; assembly: GCF_000001405.40. Lineage (NCBI taxonomy): Eukaryota > Metazoa > Chordata > Mammalia > Primates > Hominidae > Homo > Homo sapiens. Next base: position 55,359,059 of record NC_000014.9, read on the forward strand.
TGCACCACTCCCAGCATAGTCTCTCTGGCAGTGAGCAGGATGAAGGGGAGGGAGTGGACCTAGAGGGGCAAATGTGAACCAGAAACAGCCTTCTGTGGGACATTTCAAGCAGGGAGAGAGTCACTATTTTGTCAGAACAAGCCTCCCCCCAGCTCTTCTTCAGCTTCCCAAAGGCCAGTGCAAAATTTCCTTCCTTCTCCATGCCTGTGGAAGAAGGAAACCTATTTCCTAAAACTTGATGATCCCTAGGAGGCCCTAAATGCACACCTGGGAAGCTGTTCACCAGGCTCTAGATAAAATTCGTTCCATCCAACAGTTCCAGACCACTGCAATAAAGCAAGTCATGAATTTTCTGGTGCATATACAAGTTATGTTTATGTGATACTGTACTAAGTGTACAATAGCATTATGTCTAAAAAACAATGTACATTAAGGAATGCTTTATTGCTTAAAACATGCTAACAATCAGCTGTGAGTCATAATCTTTGCTGGTGTATGGTTTGCCTCAATATTGATAGCTGACGACTGATCAGAGTTGGTGGCTGCAGAAGGTTGGGTGGCTATGGCAATTTAAGACAACAATGAAGTTTGCTGTATCGATTAACTCTTCCTTTCACGAAAGATTTCTCTGTAGCATGTGATGCTGTTTGATAGCATTTTACCCCCATTATAACTTACTTCAAAATCTCAAACCTCTCTGTTGTCATTTCAATGATGTTTGTAGCATCTTTATCAGGAATAGATTTCATTTCAGTTTCTGCCAGTAATCTCAGCACTTTGGGAGGCCACGGTGGGAGGGCTGCTTGAGCCCAGGAGTTCAAGACCAGGCTGGGCAACATAGGGAGACCTTGTGCCTACAAAAAAAAAAAAAAAAAAAATGGTGTGGTAGTGTATGCCAATAGTCCCAACTAGTTGAGGCGCTGAGGTGAGAGGATCACTTGGGCCCAGGACGTCGAGGCTGCAGTGAGCCATGATCATTGCTACTGCACTCCAGCCTGGATGAGAGTGAGGAAAAAAATAATTTTTTTTTTTGAGTTGGAGTCTCGCTCTGTCTCCCAGGCTGGAGTGCAGTGGTGCGATCTCAGCTCACTGCAGCCTCCACCTCCTGGGTTCAAGAGATTCTCTTGCCTCAGCCTCCCAAGTAGCTGGGACTACAGGTGCGCACCACCATGCCTGGCTAATTTTTGTATTTTTAGTAGAGACGGGGTTTTACCATGTTGGCCAGGCTGGTCTTGAACTCCTGATCTCAGGTGATCTGCCCGCCTCGGCCTCCCAAAGTGCTGGGATGACAGGCATGAGCCACCACGCCCAGCCAAAAGAAACACTTTCTTTTGCTCATCCATAAGAAGCAACTCCTTATCCATTCAAGTTTTATTATGAGATTGCAGCATTTCAGTCACATCTTCAGGCTCCACTTTTAGTTCTCTTGCTGTTTTTCACCACATCTGTAGCTACTTCCTCCATGGGTCTTAAACCCCTCAAAGTCATCCATAAGGATTGGAATCAACTCATAAACCCTGGGATTTTTTTGTTTTTTTCACTCTATTTTTATCTTTTCTGTTTTACACGCGATGTTTATTTTAAACAACGAGAGGCTAGACTTGAAGGTGAAAGTAGAAAGGATTGTAAGCCAAACTCCTGTTAATGTTGATATTTTGGCCGGGCATGGTGGCTCACATCTGTAATCCCAGCACTTTGGGAGGCCTAGGCGGGCGGATCACCTGAGGTCAGGAGTTTGAGACCAGCTTGGCCAACGTGGTGAAACTCTGTCTCTACTAAAAATGCAAAAATTAGCTGGGCATGGTGGTGAACACCTGTAATCCCAGCTATTCGGGAGGCTGAGGCAGGAGAATTGCTTGAACTCGTGAGGTGGAGGTTGCGGTGAGCCGAGATCACGCCACTGTACTCCAGCCTGGGTGATAGAGTGAGATCCTGTCTCAAAAAGAAAAAAAAAAAAAGTTGATATTTTTCCTCTTTCCATGAATCACAAATGTTTTTAATGGCATCCAGAATGGCGAATCCATCCCAGTTTTCAGTTGACTTTGCCCAGATCCATCAGAGGAATCACTATCCATAGCAGCTGTAGCGTTACAAAATGTATTTCTTAAATAAGACTTGAAAGTCAAAATTACTCCTTGAGCTATTGGCTGCAGAATGGATGTTGTTATCGTGCATGAAAACATTAATCTCCTTGTATATCTCCATCAGAGCTCTTGGATGACCAGGTACAATGTCAATGGGCAGTAATAATTTGAAAGGAATCTGGTTTTCTGAGCAGTAGGTCTCAATTGTGGGCTTAATCTGTAAACCATGCTGTAAACAGATGTGTTGCTATGCAGGCTTTGTTGTTCCATTTACAGAGCACAGGAAGAGTAGATTTAGCATAATTCTTAACAGGCCTAGGATTTTTGGAATGGTAAATGAACACTGGCTTCAACTGAAAGTCACCAGCCGTATTAGCCCCTAATGAGAGAGTCAGCCTGTCCTTCCCAAGCTTGGAAGCCAGGCACTGGCTTCTCTCTAAGTTGTGAAAATCCTAGATGGTATCTTCTTCCAATAGGATGCTGTTTCATCTCTATTGGAAATCTGTTGTTTAGTGTAACCATCTTCATCAATTACCTTAGCTAGATCTTCTGGATAACTTACTGCTTTCTCTTACACTTTTATGTTACAGAGACAGCTTCTTACACCTCATGAGCCAACCTCTGCTAGCTTTTGACTTTCCTTCTGCAGCTTCCTCACTTCTCTCAACCATCAGAGAATTAAAGAGATAGGGCGTTGTTCTGGGTAAGGCTTTGACTTAAGGTAATGTGGCTGGTTTCATCTATCTAGACCACTAAAGCTTTCTCCGTATCAGCAATGAGGCTGTTTTGCTTTTTAAATCATTTGTGTGTTCACTGGAGTAGCATTTTTAATTACTTTCAAGAACTTTTCCTTTGCATTCACAACTTGGCTGTTTGGCACAAGAGATCCAGCTTTCAGCCTGTCTTGGCTTTTGACATGCCTTCCTTACTAAGCTTAATCATTTCTAGCTTCTGATTTAAAGTGAGAGACATGGGACTCTTTCATTTGAACACTTAGAAGCCTCTGTAGGGCTATAATTGGCCCGATTTCAATATTGTTGTGTCTCAGGGAATAAGGAGGCCCGAAGAGAGGGAAATGAGGGAACAGGAGGTCAGTGTAGCAGTTAGAATACACACATTTATTAAGTTTGCTCTCTTATACAGACAGTTCGTGGGCCTCCAAAACAATTACAATAGTAACATCAAAGATCACTGATCACCATAACAGATATAATGAAGAGATTTGAAATATTGTGAGAATTATCAAAATGTCAGACATGATGAAGTGGGCACATACCACTGGAAAAATGGCGCTGATGACTTGCTCATTGCAGGGTTATCACAAACCTTCAATTTGTAAAAAACCCACGGAGAGGTGTGACAAAGCAAAGCGCAAAAAAACAAGGTATGCTTGTATAAAGGAAAAAAAGAATGTAAAATGTCTCAAAGGAGTAGCAGAACTCCCTTAAGCCAGTACCAGTGGCCCCTGAACCAGAAAACAGTTATTTCCTCCTGTGGATACTAGACTTAGTCCTCTTTATTTTGAATGCAACTGTGAAACTGCTGATCACAGAAGATACTCTCTGCTCCTATCGTTCTTTCATCAGCCTTGGGTTGGGAGGTCTTTCTATTCCATCTACCATCAAACCACTTGGCACTTTCATTCCCAAATTGAGAGCAACATACTTACACTCCAGAAATGTTGTCTTGACAATTTTTTTTTTTAATTAGGGAAATAAGCTGCTGGAAAGGGTAGGAAAGTTCTTTCCTCAAAATCCGGGTGTCTTCTGAAGCCATACAGAAAATGCTAAAATACCACACCCAAAGGGAAGGTGAGGTCAGGAACAATCTCATATGGATCTAGAGGTATCAATGCCACAGGACCCCTTTTTTCTCTCTCTCTTTTTTTTTTTTTTTGGAGACGGAGTTTCGCTCTTGTTGCCCAGGCTGGAGTGTAATGGCACAATCTTGGCTCACTGCAACCTCTGCCTTCTGGTTTCAAGCGATTCTCCCGCGTCAGACTCCTGAGTAGTTGGGATTACAAGCACACACCACCACGCCTGGCTAATTTTTTTTTTTTTTTTTTAATTTCTAGTAGAGATGGGGTTTCATCATGTTGGCCAGGCTGGTCTCGAACTCCTGAGCTCAGGTGATCCACCCACCTTGGCCTCCCAAAGTGCTGGGATTACAGGCATGAGCCACCGAACTTGGCCTTTTCTTTTTTTCAGATAGAGTCTGCTCTTTCGTCCAGGCTGGAGTGCAGTGGCATGATCTTGGCTCACTGCAACCTCAGCCTCGCAGGTTTACATGATCTTTCCACCTCAGCTTCCCGAGTAGCTGGGATTACAGGTGCCCACCACCACACCCGACTAATTTTTGTATTTTTAGTAGAGATGTGGTTTTCACCATGTTGGTCAGGCTGGTCTTGAACTCCTGACTTCAGGTGATCCACCCACCTTCGTCTCCCAAAGTGCTGGGATCACAGCTGTGAGCCACCACGCCCAGCCCACAAGACTCTTTAATGCAAGCTTGTTCAACCGGTGGCCCATGAGCTGCATGCGGCCCAGGATGGCTTTGAATGTGGCCCAACACAAATTTGTAAACTTCTTAGAACATCATGAGATTTTTTGCAATTTTTAAAAAATAGCTCAGTAGCTATTGTTAATGTGTTTTATGTGTGGCCCAAGACAATTCTTCCAATGTGGCCCACAGAAGCCAAAAGATTGGACACTCCTGCTTAATGCCTCTGCGTTTTTTTTTTTACTCAACTCGCTCTAGCCCATTTTCAACACTTAACTAGTGTCATCAAATACCTTCTGCCAATTTTCTTTTTTTTTTTTGAGACAGAGTTTCGCTCTTGTTGCCCAGGCTGGACTGCAATGGTGTGATCTTGATCTCAGCTCATTGCAACCTCTGCCTCCTGGGTTCAAGCGATTCTCCTGCCTCAGCCTCCCGAGTAGCTGGGATAACAGGCATGTGCCACCATGCCTGGCTAATTTTGTATTTTAGTAGAGACCGGGTTTCTCCATGTTGGTCAGGCTGGTCTTGAACTCCTGACCTCAGGTGATCCACCTGCCTTGGCCTCCCAAAGTGCTGGGATTACAGGTGTGAGCCACCACGCCCAGCTAATTTTCTCTTTTTAAAGGGCAGCATTCATTCAAAGGCTCCTTTAGATCCCTCCCACCACCAGAGTATCTCTGGCTCCTCCCTACAAAAGGCACAACAAAAAAGTCATTGATGTAAATAACTCTTTAGTTTACTATCCTCTTTCTTGGAGGAAAGATTGTCCCACTGGTGGTTTCTGGTTTTGTGTTGTTGTTGTTTTGAGATGGAGTCTTTGTCGCCCAGGCTGGCATGCAGTGGTACGATCTTGGATCACTGCAACCTCTGCCTCCTAGTTTCATGTGATTCTCCCGCCTCAGCCTCTTGAGTAGCTGGAATTACAGGCATGCACCACGACACCTGGCTAATTTTTTTTTGTATTTTTAGTAGAGATGGGGTTTTGCCATGTTGGCCAGGCTGGTTTTGAACTCCTGACCTCAGGTGATCCGCCTGTCTCTGCTTCCCAAAGTGCTGGGACTACAGGTGTGAACCACAGTGCCCAACTTTTTTTTTTTTTTTTTTTTTTGAGACAAGGTCTCACTCTGTCACCCAGGCTAGAGTAGAGTACAGTGGTGCAATCACAGCTCACTGTAGCCTCAACATCCCAGGCTCATGTGATCCTCCCAGCTCAACCTCCTGAGTACCTGGGACCACAGATGCACACGACCATGCCTGGCTAATTTTTCAATTTTTGTAGAAATGGGGTCTCACTGGCTGGGCGCAGTGGCTCACGCCCGTAATCTCAGCACTTCTTTGGGAGGCCGAGGCGAGCAGATCACGAGATCAGGAGATTGAGACCATCCTGGCTAATGTGGTGAAACCCCATCTCTACTTTAAAAAAAAAAAAAAAAAAAAGCCAGGTGTGGTGGCAGACACCTGCCTCAGGAGGCTGAGGCAGAATGGTGTGAACCTGGGAGGCAGAGCTTGCAGTGAGCCGAGATCGTGCCACTACACTGCAGCCTGGGCAACAAAGTGAGACTCTATCATCTCTTCTATCATCTCAAAAAAAAAAAAAAAAAAAACAAAAATGGGGTCTCACTATGTTGCGCAAGTTGGCCTTGAACTTCTGAGCTCAAACAATCCTCCTGCCTTTGGCCTCCTAAAGTGCTGGGATTTCAGGCATGAACCACTGTGCCCCGCCCTAAAAAAAATTCACTTCAACTATCTAAGCACTGGAAAATACTCTTTGCAGTGTATTTTCTTACCAAGTCGGCTGGTGGTGGTTTTCCTCATTGAATTTCAAGGCTGAGGTGCAGATGGCTTGCCCAAGAGTCCAGTTTCAAGTTTTCTGGTACATTTTATTGATGCAACTTTTAAATAATCTCCCCACTACCAATGACAAAGTTATCCTTAATTCCTCCCAATCTGTTTCCTGCATCAATCATGACATAACTCAGGATGGAGAAATCTCCCTTTAAACACCAGATGGGAGCATGCTTTAAACTGCTGCCTGGAAAGACTGAAGGACAGTACCACCAAAGCACACACCCTGTTCGAGAACCCTTCCGTTTCCTTGCCTATTTCCTCCTGTTGCCTGCCAGCCTTCTGCTCCAGATAAAGGGGCAGTATGACCATGGCAATAGCTCCTGAGGGTATCCTGGCTGGCCTGGCTCTTCCACAGTAGTCACTCTTGGTATCTTCTCCACCACCTGCAGGTGGTCCTTCTCTACAATAATCTAATCTGAAGGGTACCGCCGACTACCCACCTGGGAGAAATTAGTTATAAAAAATAAGGGTGTTGGGTTGGGGAGGGATTCTCCAAAGCTACTCAGGCATCTGAGTGGTTCCAACATTTCCCTTTTCCTCTTGTCCTGAAGAAAGTCTGGGCAGGTTCCACGTGGGCATCCTAGAGGCCTTCTGCCCCAGGGGTCTGTTGCACAAAACCAGGTCATTGTAGGTCACATGCATCAAATGATGGCTACCAAAGAAAAACACGTCTTTAGGGAAAGTATGCAACCAGCTTCTCAGCTTGGGAAAGATCATTGTTAATACCACCATAATCCATAATTTTAAAAAATATATTAACATTTTTTCTTACCTGGCAAAAAAATTCTACAAACTTCTTCTATAATTTGTATAAAGTACTCCAGGGTTCAATCTCATTCTTGCTACCCTCGATGCAGCAGTGCAAATGAACAGTTTGAAAAAGACATACACATGAGCAAAGTACTGTTAAAAGATTTATTGCAGTAATACAATAAAAGTTTAGAAAACATTTGTATGACTCAAACTGGTTTGGAAGTTGCAGAGCAATGGGGAATTCCTGCAACATGATACTGTGAGGAGATTCTCGGACACTAGTCCTCTAACAGCATGCCACTGAATGCTCTTCCCCAAATTGAGTCCTTACATGAGTCCCGTCCACTCTACCCAATGGTGATATACTGTTTTTCCCCCTTACAGATGTGCAAAACTTTTCTTATATTCCATAACCAAAAAATGTCTTTAACAGACCATTTTAAGCAGCCTGTTTGGTGCCTGTGGGTTTTTATTAGTATTACTTTGTTTCAGTAAATCATTTTAAAATGGAAAACATGACCAAGTTCTATGGCTTTTTGTTTAAACAAAATACCAGCTTCAATTTTTTAAAAAGCTGTTTACATATGGTTCTGGCACCTACATGAAAGATTTTAATGAGCAGCAAAAAGAGTAGAAAAAACAGTGGTTGAAATGTATACTTAAGAGTATTTACAGGGTGGATCCAGTGCAAAATAATGAAACCCAAAATATTTCAGCAGTGTAAGCCAGTATGTTGGTGTTCAAAACCACAAAAGGGTTCGATCACTTAACCCTATGTAAAGTGCCTCTAGTTGATATTAACAACAACAAACAAAATATATCCTATCCATAAAGTTCCCACATCTTTGTAAATTTTGTGGAAGTACTCTAGATGAGTTTGTGATCTCTGGATTCTATTCTTTAGCTTCATCTCTCATTCATGGTTTCATAAGAGGCTTAAGAAAACCATGACTGTTGTGCATCTCTCAGCTGAAGTCAGTCTCCACCACCAAGCTCCAAATCCCACTCTTACAACTCGTGAGACTAAGCTCTTACTTCTGAGGGTTTTAAGTAGCTAGACAACTCTTACAAGATCGTTAAGTTTATTTATCTGTTCAAGTCTACCATCTTCACTCTCTACGAACTCCAGAACTGGATGGGAAAATGGAAGCCCAGCAATCAATCATGAAGCTGAGCACTTAAAACAGAGATCCCAGCAGTGTAGAAGAACCCATAAGGGGCCGGGCGCGGTGGCTCAGGCCTGTAATCCTAGCACTTTAGGAGGCCAAGGCAAGCGGATCACCTGAAGTCAGGAGTTCAAGACCAGCCTGGCCAACATGGTGAAAACCCCCGTCTTTACTAAAATACAAAAATTAGCTGGGCATGATGGCAGGTGCCTATAATCCCAGCTACTCGGGAGGTTGAGATGGAAGAATTGCTTGAACCCAGGAGATGGTGGTTGCAGTGAGCGGAGATGGTGCCACTACACTCCAGCCTGGGCAGCTGAGTGAGACTCCGTCTCCAAAAAAAAAAAAGACCACCCACAACGAGAAAAGCCTACTTCCTCCTTTCATGGAAAATTCATAGAGCCAAGGAATTTGTGACTACCGGATAGAAATAAACTCCGTTCTGCAACTCTACCCAAAACTATACAAAACACCAAATATACCATTAGCAAAAGCTATATAGCACCTCGGACTTGGAGGCAAAGTATCAACTACAATTATTATGATGAGAAAAGAAGCTGGGGCATGGCAAACCTCTGAATGATTTATCAGAGGTGCTATCATGCCAATCACATAAGATATGGTAATAATGCCTGTTAGGACTCTTTCATAGGATTTCTTTTGGTAGTTGTTACATAGGATTTTTTTGCAGTTATTAAAAATAAACTACTTACATATTTGTACATAATGCCTCTCTCATTATAGTTTTCTTGTAAGATTGTCACTAAAAGAATGACAAGACACGTGAGCTGAAAATGATCTCCTGCTGAGGGAAATTCTTTTTTTTTTTGAGACGGAGTTTCGCTCTTGTTGCCCAGGCTGGAGTGCAATGGCACAATCTCGGCTCACTGCAACCTCTGCCTCCCGGTTCAAGCGATTCTCCTGCCGCAGCCTCCCGAGTAGCTGGGATTACAGGCGTGCGCCACCACACCCGGTAATTTTTTGTATTTTTAGTAGAAACAGGGTTTCACCATGTTAGCCAGGCTGCTCTCAAACTCCTGACCTCAAGTGATCCGCCTGCCTCGGCCTCCTAAAGTGCTGGGATTACAGGCGTGAGCCACTGCGCCTGGCTGGGAAATTCTTTCTTTATATTGTGCTTTCCCCAGAACAGAGCAGAGTAGCATCAGCCGTAAGGATCTGCGCTGCATTTCTGAGCAAAGCTGTGTCCTCAGAGCAACAAAGAGTTCGGGGAAACAAGTAGGATGGTTTCCCCTGAAAACACCTGCCACCTACTCAATCCCATAGAAAGAAAGTGGACACCACAAGAATGACCAGAGGCCACTTAACTAAGTGGCTTTTCCCCTGTGCCCAGGCAGGCATTGAGCTTACATAAGGGAATGACCTTCATGACTTATTTTCACCCAGAAAATATAAGTTCAATTTCAAAATGCTCATAGTGTGGATGGCAGGAATTCAACTAGGTAAGAATAAGCTTAATTCCCCTCAGAATACAAGAAAATAGTTAAAAACTCTCTAGACATTATTGCAGCCAGGATTTCTTCCATTTATGGATGTGGGTCCTAAAGAAAAAGACTTTCATTTTCTTTGGTGTGTGGGGGAAAGAAAAACAGGAATGTCTGACAAACTACGACAGAGCAGCATGAATAAAATACGTGTAACTCACCCCTCCCAAACAAAATCAAAGGACCAAATTAGAAATTTTAAATTGCCTGCTGGTTCTCATACAAAAAACAATGGCAGAAAAACTCTTATTAAAGAGCTTTTATCTTTCATGTCCTAATAATCAAGAATCACCTCTTGTGATTCAACCAACCTCTAAAACTTAAAGTGTCAGGAACAGTCTCAGCACCGCAAGGACCAGCACACTGACCCATATCTGT